>NC_000012.12:129508748-129810372 GCF_000001405.40 Homo sapiens | reverse complement strand
TTTCTTTAGATTTTTTTAAAATAAGGAAAAACTATTTCAGACTTGTCAGTGGAGTATCTTGCATTTTAAAAAAAATATATGGACAATCATTTCATCTGAAAATAATGATTTTTTTAATCTTCCAAATTCATACGTTGCTCATTTATTTTTTATGGGTTTCTTGTCTTCGCTATAACTTCCAATGCTGAGTGCTGGCGTTAGAGATATTCTGCTTTTGTTCTTAATAAAAATGCTAGTGATACGGCACCGCCAACTTAATGTTTGTGTGTTGCTGTGGGTTTTTGGTAGATTACGCTGGGAAAATTGCTTCTCCCTTTGGCTGGCTAGAGATTTCCCTTTCTCCTCCTCCTCCTAATTATACGTGCTTTTCCATAGCGAGGACTCCTTGATAGCTTGTTACAATTTGTTAGACATTTACTTTCCATTTTAGTCATGTCTTTTCCAGAGTGCATTTTTGTGTTCTACAGTTTCCTAGAAATATTTCTTTTCTCCAGATTTTCAAATTTATTAACACAGGGTTTTTTATGATAAGTCCTGAAATTTTCTGAGCATCTGTGTTTATTTACCCTCTCTCATTGCTACTTTTCATCATGTATATTTTCTGCTCATATTTCCTAGATTAGGCTAACTGGAGGCTTATTATTTTTTATTATTAGACTTTTTAAAGAACTCTCTGTTTTAAAAAAACAAACATGTACATCAGCTTCCATTTTCCTAGAATTTCAAATTCACTTTACAAATGAGCTAGAGTAAGGTCAGAAAATTCACAAAAACAAAGGACTTGATAATGTTGAGGATGTGTTCACTTAGAAGCTAAATCTTAGCGCAAAGCTGCCCCATTTCTTCATGCAGGAAGCGGCAGGAGGTTACCTTCCAGCCCAGACAGTCGTCTCAGAAACCCCTCACGCACTGACTCTCCCAGCTGGCACCCCAGGGTGTCCATCCCGGCTCCCGTGTTCCTTCCCCTTGGAGTGATTTATCCCCAACCTGCATTCCAGTTTTGGTTTCCACCTGGACCCAAGGTTTGCTCAGAGCGTTCAAAAAAAAATTTTTTTTTTTTTTTTTGATATGGAGTCTCGCTCTGTCGCCCAGGCTGGAGTGCAGTGGCATGATCTCAGCTCACTGCAACCTCTGCCTCCTGGGTTCAAGCGATTCTCCTGCCTCAGCCTCCCGAATATCTGGGACTACAGGTGCCCGCCACCATGCCTGGCTAATTTTTGTGTTTTTAGTAGAGACGAGGTTTCACCACGTTGGCCAGGCTGGTCTCGAACACCTGACCTCAGGTGATCCACCCGCCTTGCCCTCCCAGAGTGCTGGGATTACAGGCGTGAGCCACTGCGCCCGGCCACATTCATAAACTTTAAGTGGTTGGCTTATTGCTATTATTTCCTTATTCTTTTAAAATAACATTACCACATTGCAGTCCAAAAGTTTATTCTATCCTAGTTTTACTTCAGAGATTTATTGATGTTTCTTGTGGTCAATTTTTCTAAATGTTTTTGGACACTGAAAAACATATTCTCTAATATCTTTGTGTTCTTTGTAAAAAAAAAAAGTATTCACTCAACTTTATTGCTTATTTTATTCATGTTCTCTATGGCTTCCTTCCTTCCCGCCTTTGTTCATTCTGTTCTTCCTTCCTATGACCTATCAGAGCTGAAAGGAGTTTGTTAAATATCTGGACTTTTTCTTGGTTTCTTGGTTTCAGGTTTGAAAATACTCAGAACTTCTCTTGTGTTCTGGCCAATTTCTCCTTTTCCTATTCTTATCAGCTGTTGCTTTATACGTTTCAATGCTCTTCAAGGAAATCCTGACAAGGTGATATTCACTGTATCTTCCTTGTACACTTTATCCTTCACATTCATAACGTGACTTCCTTGGTCTTCGTTTATTTTGATCTTGAATTTAAGTTTTTCTGATATTACTGTAGCAACCCCTGCTTCCTGAATATCCCTGTACCCGTCTTTATTTTTATTCTGTCCCAGTTTCACAAAGAGTTTGTTTTCTGAACCAACCCGAGAGTGTTTTTCTTTTAATATGTGAGTTATGACAATGTGGAGTCCCCAATTTTATTCTGCATCTAGATTCTCGATCTAATAATATTGACTTCTGCTCTTCTCATGACTTGAATAAAGGATAGGGCTCATTCGTTAGAGACGATGAGAGAGAATGGTGTTGACGTGTGTGATTAAGCTGTGCTCCATGATATTTGTGTAATTTAAATTTCTTTTATCATGAACAATAATGTTCGGTGTGCAACTAGCTCCTTTCAGCTTAGAATCTAAATCACCGTTTCCTAAATTGAGTTCTATAATTTGTAATGACATGGTATTAAATAAGAAGACAACCCTACTCTGAGTTTTGCTAGCAAAAATAATTACATTTCTTGTGGTTTTCTCATGCAAATTCCCAAGACTTGCTGCTGCTTTGGAACTCATTGTTCAGTTTTCACCAGCACCCTTAAGTAAACGTCCTCCTATGATGCTGAATACTAAGCCAGGGCGCCATCTCAGATAGCACAAATTGCTTTAAGAGGAGTAGAAATGGAATCATGGAGGGTGGCTGGACGTGAATGGCTATTAGGTTGTTTATCAGCTGCAGTTGGACTTCAACCAAATGGGGCTATTTCCATCTAGATTGGCCGAACCTAATCAGAATTGCTCCAGCCTGCCCGCCTTTCACACCTGAATTGCTTTCAGGTAGAAGACAAGGAGAGTCGGAAGACAGATGTTAACAATCAACGCATCGTCTCTTAACTTTGCAAAAATACACATATTAAATCAAGCATCAGCAAGTGCCAAATATAAGCAGTTTATACATGAGCATCTTAGAGAGAGGAGAACTACAGCATGTGGCCAGTGGATAAGGAACATCCTATTTCTATTTTAGTAAAGGAGTCTGGAGACTCGGGCCGTGGTGGGGATTGGGATGGCGATGTCTGCCCACCTGTGAACTTTAGTGGAGACTGAAGAGCATTGTGGCCTCTTTGGTGGCTGCCACCTGGGGGAGACATTGATGGCCAGTGTCACAAACTCAAACCTGTCATGGCCAGGCCGGTAACAGAACGCAGGCGCAGCTGGAGGTCAGAAGCAAGGCACTGGGGAGAATGCGGGTGGACTCCGCTCCCTGGGGACAGGCTTGTCCTGGCTACAGGGGTAGCTGCTCCAGGGTCCTTGCTAATTACGGTCGTGACTGAATGGACATCCACTGTGGTCACGTTGTCCCATCCTGTGTGCTCAAGGGAATTCAGAAAATCTTCATGTTCATGTAAAATCCTCTCATTTTCTTTTTCATTTGGCAATTACTTTATTCATTTATTTATTCATTCATTCATTTATTTAGATAGGGTCTTGCTCTGTTGCCCAGGCTGAAGTGCAGTGGTGCAGTCTTGGCTCACTGCAACCCCCACCTCCCAGGCTTGAATGATCCTCCTGCTTCAGCCTCCCAAGTAGCTGGGACTACAGGTGTGTGCCACCAGGCCTGGCTAGTTTTATTTATTTGTTTATTTTTGTAGAGTTGGGGTCTCACTATATTGCCCAGGCTGGTCTCAAACGCCTGGGCTCAAGCAATGCACCCACCTTGGCCTCCCAAAGTGCTGGGATCTCAGGCCTGAACCACCGTGCCTGGCCTGGTAATTACTTTATTTTTTTATTTTTTATTTTTATTTTTTTCTTTTATTATTATGCTTTAAGTTTTAGGGTACATGTGCACATTGTGCAGGTTAGTTACATATGTATACATGTGCCATGCTGGTGTGCTGCACCCACTAACTCATCATCTAGCATTAGGTGTATCTCCCAATGCTATCCCTCCCCCCTCCCCCCACCCCACAACAGTCCCCAGAGTGTGATGTTCCTCTTCCTGTGTCCATGTGATCTCATTGTTCAATTCCCACCTATGAGTGAGAATATGCGGTGTTTGGTTTTTTGTTCTTGCGATAGTTTACTGAGAATGATGATTTCCAATTTCATCCATGTCCCTACAAAGGACATGAACTCATCATTTTTTATGGCTGCATAGTATTCCATGGTGTATATGTGCCACATTTTCTTAATCCAGTCTATCATTGTTGGACATTTGGCTTGGTTCCAAGTCTTTGCTATTGTGAATAGTGCCACAATAAATATACATGTGCATGTGTCTTTATAGCAGCATGATTTATAGTCCTTTGGGTATATACCCAGTAATGGGATGGCTGGGTCAAATGGTATTTCTAGTTCTAGATCCCTGAGGAATCGCCACACTGACTTCCACAATGGTTGAACTAGTTTACAGTCCCACCAACAGTGTAAAAGTGTTCCTATTTCTCCACATCCTCTCTAGCACCTGTTGTTTCCTGACTTTTTAATGATTGCCATTCTAACTGGTGTGAGATGGTATCTCATTGTGGTTTTGATTTGCATTTCTCTGATGGCCAATGATGATGAGCATTTTTTCATGTGTTTTTTGGCTGCATAAATGTCTTCTTTTGAGAAGTGTCTGTTCATATCCTTCGCCCACTTTTTGATGGGGTTGTTTGTTTTTTTCTTGTAAATTTGTTTGAGTTCATTGTAGATTCTGGATATTAGCCCTTTGTCAGATGAGTAGGTTGCGAAAATTTTCTCCCATTCTGTAGGTTGCCTGTTCACTCTGATGGTAGTTTCTTTTGCTGTGCAGAAGCTCTTTAGTTTAATTAGATCCCATTTGTCAATTCTGTCTTTTGTTGCCATTGCTTTTGGTGTTTTAGACATGAAGTCCTTGCCCATGCCTATGTCCTGAATGGTATTGCCTAGGTTTTCTTCTAGGGTTTTTATGGTTTTAGGTCTAACATGTAAGTCTTTAATCCATCTTGAATTGAGTTTTGTATAAGATGTAAGGAAGGGATCCAGTTTCAGCTTTCTACATATGGCTAGCAGGTTTTCCCAGCACCATTTATTAAATAGGGAATCCTTTCCCCATTGCTTGTTTTTCTCAGGTTTGTCAAAGATCAGATGGTTGTAGATATGCGGCGTTATTTCTGAGGGCTCTGTTCTGTTCCATTGGTCTATATCTCTGTTTTGGTACCAGTACCATGCTGTTTTGGTTACTGTAGCCTTGTAGTATAGTTTGAAGTCAGGTAGCATGATGGCTCCAGCTTTGTTCTTTTGGCTTAGGATTGACTTGGTGATGCGGGCTCTTTTTTGGTTCCATATGAACTTTAAAGTAGTTTTTTCCAATTCTGTGAAGAAAGGCATTGGTAGCTTGATGGGGATGACATTGAATCTGTAAATGACCTCGGGCAGTATGGCCATTTTCACGATATTGATTCTTCCTACCCATGAGCATGGAATGTTCTTCCATTTGTTTGTATCCTCTTTTATTTCCTTGAGCAGTGGTTTGTAGTTCTTCTTGAATAGGTTCTTCACATCCCTTGTAAGTTGGATTCCTAGGTATTTTATTCTCTTTGAAGCAATTGTGAATGGGAGTTCACTCATGATTTGGCTCTCTGTTTGTCTGTTGTTGGTGTATAAGAATGCTTGTGATTTTTGTACATTGATTTTGTATCCTGAGACTTTGCTGAAGTTGCTTATCAGCTTAAGGAGATTTTGGGCTGAGACAATGGGGTTTTCTAGATATACAATCATGTTGTCTGCAAACAGGGACAACTTGACTTCCTCTTTTCCTAATTGAATACCCTTTATTTCCTTCTCCTGCCTAATTGCCCTGGCCAGAACTTCCAACACTATGTTGAATAGGAGTGGTGAGAGAGGGCATCCCTGTCTTGTGCCAGTTTTCAAAGGGAATGCTTCCAGTTTTTGCCCATTCAGTATGATATTGGCTGTGGGTTTGTCATAGATAGCTCTTATTATGTTGAAATACATCCCATCAATACCTAATTTATTGAGAGTTTTTAGCATGAAGGGTTGTTGAATTTTGTCAAACGCCTTTTCTGCATCTATTGAGATAATCATGTGGTTTTTGTCTTTGGCTCTGTTTATATGCTGGATTACATTTATTGATTTGCGTATATTGAACCAGCCTTGCATCCCAGGGATGAAGCCCACTTGATCATGGTGGATAAGCTTTTTGATGTGCTGCTGGATTCGTTTTGCCAGTATTTTATGGAGGATTTTTGCATCAATGTTCATCAAGGATATTGGTCTAAAATTCTCTTTTTTTGTTGTGTCTCTGCCTGGCTTTGGTATCAGAATGATGCTGGCCTCATAAAATGAGTTAGGGAGGATTCCTTCTTTTTCTATTGATTGGAATAGTTTCAGAAGGAATGGTACCAGTTCCTCCTTGTACCTCTGGTAGAATTCGGCTGTGAATCCATCTGGTCCTGGACTCTTTTTGGTTGGTAAGCTATTGATTATTGCCACAATTTCAGATCCTGTTATTGGTCTATTCAGAGATTCAACTTCTTCCTGGTTTAGTCTTGGGAGAGTGTATGTGTCAAGGAATTTATCCATTTCTTCTAGATTTTCTAGTTTATTTGCGTAGAGGTGTTTGTAGTATTCTCTGATGGTAGTTTGTATTTCTGTGGGATCAGTGGTGATATCCCCTTTATCATTTTTTATTGCATCTATTTGATTCTTCTCTCTTTTTTTCTTTATTAGTCTTGCTAGCGGTCTATCTATTTTGTTGATCCTTTCAAAAAACCAGCTCCTTGATTCATTAATTTTTTGAAGGGTTTTTTGTGTCTCTCTTTCCTTCAGTTCTGCTCTGATTTTAGTTATTTCTTGCCTTCTGCTAGCTTTTGAATGTGTTTGCTCTTGCTTTTCTAGTTCTTTTAATTGTGATGTTAGGGTGTCAATTTTGGATCTTTCCTGCTTTCTCTTGTGGGCATTTAGTGCTATAAATTTCCCTCTACACACTGCTTTGAATGTGTCCCAGAGATTCTGGTATGTTGTGTCTTTCTTCTCGTTGGTTTCAAAGAACATCTTTATTTCTGCCTTTATTTCGTTATGTACCCAGTAGTCATTCAGGAGCAGGTTGTTCAGTTTCCATGTAGTTGTGCAGTTTTGAGTGAGTTTCTTAATCCTGAGATCTAGTTTGATTGCACTGTGGTCTGAGAGATAGTTTGTTATAATTTCTGTTCTTTTACATTTGCTGAGGAGAGCTTTACTTCCAAGTATGTGGTCAATTTCGGAATAGGTGTGGTGTGGTGCTGAAAAAAATGTATATTCTGTTGATTTGGGGTGGAGAGTTCTGTAGATGTCTATTAGGCCCGCTTGGTGCAGAGCTGAGTTGAATTCCTGGGTATCCTTGTTGACTTTCTGTCTCGTTGATCTGTCTAATGTTGACAGTGGGGTGTTAAAGTCTCCCATTATTAATGTGTGGGAGTCTAAGTCTCTTTGTAGGTCACTCAGGACTTGCTCTATGAATCTGGGTGCTCCTGTATTGGGTGCATATATATTTAGGATAGTTAGCTCTTCTTGTTGAATTGATCCCTTTACCATTATGTAATGGCCTTCTTTGTCTCTTTTGATCTTTGTTGGTTTAAAGTCTGTTTTATCAGAGACTAGGATTGCAACCCTTGCCTTTTTTTGTTTTCCATTTGCTTGGTCGATCTTCCTCCATCCTTTTATTTTGAGCCTATGTGTGTCTCTGCACGTGAGATGGGTTTCCTGAATACAGCACACTGATGGGTCTTGACTCTTTATCCAATTTGCCAGTCTATGTCTTTTAATTGGAGCATTTAGTCCATTTACATTTAAAGTTAATATTGTTATGTGTGAGTTTGATCCTGTCATTATGATGTTAGCTGGTTATTTTGCTCGTTAGTTGATGCAGTTTCTTCCTAGTCTCGATGGTCTTTGCATTTTGGCATGATTTTGCAGCGGCTGGTACCGGTTGTTCCTTTCCATGTTTAGCGCTTCCTTCAGGAGCTCTTTTAGGGCAGGCCTGGTGGTGACAAAATTTCTCAGCATTTGCTTGTCTGTAAAGTATTTTATTTCTCCTTCACTTATGAAGCTTAGTTTGGCTGGATATGAAATTCTGGGTTGAAAATTCTTTTCTTTAAGAATGTTGAATATTGGCCCCCACTGTCTTCTGGCTTGTAGGGTTTCTGCCGAGAGATCCGCTGTTAGTCTGATGGGCTTCCCTTTGAGGGTAACCCAACCTTTGTCTCTGGCTGCCCTTAACATTTTTTCCTTCATTTCAACTTTGGTGAATCTGACAATTATGTGTCTTGGAGTTGCTCTTCTCGAGGAGTATCTTTGTGGCGTTCTCTGTATTTCCTGAGTCTGAATGTTGGCCTGCCTTGCTAAATTGGGGAAGTTCTCCTGGATAATATCCTGCAGAGTGTTTTCCAACTTGGTTCCATTCTCCCCATCACTTTCAGGTACACCAATCAGACGTAGATTTGGTCTTTTCACATAGTCCCATATTTCTTGGAGGCTTTGCTCATTTCTTGTTATTCTTTTTTCTCTAAACTTCCCTTCTCGCTTCATTTCATTCATTTCATCTTCCATCGCTGATACCCTTTCTTCCAGTTGATCGCATCGGCTCCTGAGGCTTCTTCATTCTTCACGTAGTTCTCGAGCCTTGGTTTTCAGCTCCATCAGCTCCTTTAAGCACTTCTCTGTATTGGTTATTCTAGTTATACATTCTTCTAAATTTTTTTCAAAGTTTTCAACTTCTTTGCCTTTGGTTTGAATGTCCTCCCGTAGCTCAGAGTAATTTGATCGTCTGAAGCCTTCTTCTCTCAGCTCGTCAAAGTCATTCTCCAACCAGCTTTGTTCCGTTGCTGGTGAGGAACTGCGTTCCTTTGGAGGAGGAGAGGTGCTCTGCTTTTTAGAGTTTCCAGTTTTTCTGTTCTGTTTTTTCCCCATCTTTGTGGTTTTATCTACTTTTGGTCTTTGATGATGGTGATGTACAGATGGGTTTTTGGTGTGGATGTCCTTTCTGTTTGTTAGTTTTCCTTCTAACTGAGAGGACCCTCAGCTGCAGGTCTGTTGGAATACCCTGCCGTGTGAGGTGTCAGTGTGCCCCTGCTGGGGGGTGCCTCCCAGTTAGGCTGCTCGGGGGTCAGGGGTCAGGGACCCACTTGAGGCAGTCTGCCCATCTCAGATCTCCAGCTGCGTGCTGGGAGAACCACTGCTCTCTTCAAAGCTGTCAGACTGTTGTCTTTTTATTTGTCTGTGCCCTGCCCCCAGAGGTGGAGCCTACAGAGGCAGGCAGGCAGGCCTCCTTGAGCTGTGGTGGGCTCCACCCAGTTGGAGCTTCCCGGCTGCTTTGTTTACCTGAGCAAGCCTGGGCAATGGCGGGCGCCCCTCCCCCAACCTCGCTGCTGCCTTGCAGTTTGATCTCAGACTGCTGTGCTAGCCATCAGGGAGACTCTGTGGGCCAGGACCCTCCGAGCCAGGTGCGGGATATAATCTCCTGGTGCGCCATTTTTTAAGCCCGTCAGAAAAGCGCAGTATTCGGGTGGGAGTGACCTGATTTTCCAGGTGCCGTCTGTCACCCCTTTCTTTAACTAGGAAAGGGAACTCCCTGACCCCTTGTGCTTCCCGAGTGAGGCAATGCCTCGCCCTGCTTCGGCTGGTGCACGGTGCGCGCACCCACTGAGCTGTGCCCACTGTCTGGCACTCCCTAGTGAGATGAGCCCGGTACCTCAGATGGAAATGGAGAAATCACCCGTCTTCTGCGTCGCTCTCGCTGGGAGCTGTAGACCGGAGCTGTTCCTATTCGGCCATCTTGGCTCCTCCTCCCTGGTAATTACTTTAAACAGGCAAATCACGTTCTAGTGATCCTGCAGTGACGTTTGGGAGCAAAGGTGCTCGGAGGGAGGGATGTTTTGTTTACTGAGTCCTCCAGCCTCTACAAGGGGTACCCACCTATTATAGGATTCTATGGCCTCCACTGCTCCCCTTTTGTAACACTAATAGAGACACAATTACATATTCAATATCTGGATTTATAACTGCATAGCTCCATGGAGAGGGGCTAGGACTCTCATCTCCAGAGCACCTGAATCTAGCCCAGGGCCTGGCGTATCATAGGCTCAATATATGGCTCCCCCGCCCTTTTTTTTTTTTCCTTTGCTGCTTTAACCCTTGATTTTCTTCATCCTTTTGACACTCTCTGCCCGCACCTCCTTAAGCTAGGAGCTTGGGACTTAAAGTTTTGGTTCTGAATATACCCTGTTCTCTATGCATTTCCTCTTCCCCTTTAAAAACTCAGAAAGATTATAGCAAGATTTGTGCCCTACTTAAATCCACGTCCTTTCTGGGGCAATTCCAATACAGCTACAGATTAAATTAGATGATAAGAGACTCTCTTGTTAGGAGAAATTCAGTCATGGCAGGGGAGATGTGCTGGGGTTGGACCCTAGGTCATCTAGAAGACTTTTTTTAGGATTCGATGATCAAGGACATTTTCAGCTCTAAAGCTCATAAAATGACTGTACGCACGTGCCTGAGGCAGCATGTCCTGTGACCCAAGTATTTCTGTGCCACCATCTCAGGATGGGATGAGTTTTGGCAGAAAGATGACAGACTCCTAGGGAGAGCCTCCTGAGAAGAGGGCAGCCTGTGCCCCCAGGCTGCAGAGCTGTCTAACACGCGAGATCTTCAGAGGACAAGCCCCAGTCCCTTCTGTGCTCAACCTCTGTCTGTGGGGGAGGAGTCTCCCTCCGCCCTTCCATGGGGTCCTGGCAGTTTTCCTGCTACTCCCCAGTACCAAAGCCTGTAGATTCCTTTACAGCAGGGATGGAAAACACAGGTACTAACGAGGACCAGGCAGATCATGAGAATAAGTGAAGTGCGCAAGTGTGAGAGACCGACGGGCCAACTGGGTGACCCAGGGCAGCTGACACAAAACACCATCTGTGCCTCACTATGGGTCACATGCTCGGTGGAGACGAGGAAAACCTGCAGCTCCAGGTGATGGCTGACCTCGGAATCTGAGCCCAGAACTTTCTCCATCCAAAAGAAGTTTGACATCCATCCATCTATATATATATGTATATATATACATATATACACATATATACACATATATATACATATATAATATGTAT
The DNA here is from genome assembly GCF_000001405.40 of Homo sapiens. Taxonomy (NCBI): domain Eukaryota; kingdom Metazoa; phylum Chordata; class Mammalia; order Primates; family Hominidae; genus Homo; species Homo sapiens. The sequence continues at coordinate 129,799,391 of NC_000012.12, read as the reverse complement.
ATATACACATATATATACACATATATACACACACACACATATATACACATATATATACATATATAATATGTGTGTGTATATATATATTTTTTGTTTGTTTGTTTGTTTTTGAGACGGAGTCTCGCTCTTGTTGCCCAGGGTGGAGTGTGCCCAGGCTGGAGTGCAGTGGCGCGATCTCAGCTCACTGCAACCTCCACCCTCCAGGTTCAAGTGATTCTCCTGCCTCAGCCTCCTGAGTAGTTGGGATTACAGGCGCCTGCCACCACACCCAGCTAATTTTTGTATATTTAGTAGAGACGGGGTTTCACTGTGTTGGACAGGATTGGTCTCCATCTCCGGACCTTGTGATCCGCCCGCCTTGGCCTCCCAGAGTGCTGGGATTACAGGCGTGAGCCACTGCGTCCGGCCGACATCCATATTTTTATGTGAACTCTTCCAGTCGTTAAGAGTTTGTGAGTAATTGCAAAAATGTTTGAAATCTTGTGCATACCAAGCAAAAACAGTTGGTAGATTGGATTTGGCCTTCAGATGTCAGCTTGCAACTTCTGCTCAAGCCAGAAACTAGGAATTCTGGGGCGAGCCCTCTTTGGAAAGCCAGAACCCTGACTTCCTTCTCAGTCTTATCTCCCTCCACCCCTTCTCTAAGCCAGAACCCTGACTTCCTTCTCAGTCTTATCTCCCTCCACCCCTTCTCTCTTCTGCACATTCATTCCCTCCCAAGGATGCTCGCCCAGGTAGGGGAACATGGGCAGGAAGACCCACGGAGCTCACTGTGGGTCCTTATCTTTCATCTCCTAATGGGCACAGTGCATGTACCCATTAGATTAGTGTATGGTAGAGGACAACAATCCTGCACCATTTAACTTAATTTTTTTTGCTTTAATTTAGCTGATTTCATATAGTTAAGTTTATAAAAATTAAAGAAATGTATAATATGTTTCTACTACATTAGCTTAGCGCTTCTAATTATTTTACAGAATTGAAAAGCAGTTAACCTACTTGGCTCTTCCAGAATGTTTATAAACACACATCCATTTAACCCTTTCCACATCTTTTGCTAAACTATTGAGAAAGACCTTTAAAAAAATCTGACTCCGTTTTTCTTTAAAGGATTGTGTTAGGCCATTTTTGCATTGCTATAGAGAAGTACCTAGACGATAATTTATAAAGAAAAGAGGTTTAATTGGCTCACGGTTCTGTAGGCTGTACAGGAAGCATGGTGCTGGCATCTGCTCAGCTTCCGGTGGAGTCTAGGGAGCTACAGTCATGGCAGGAGGGGAATGGGAAGCCAGTACATCACATGGCAAGAGTGCAATCGAGAGAGAGAGGAGGAGGGTGCCACACAGTCTTAAACAACCAGATCTCTCAAGAAATCATTCACTATTTTGAGGATGGCACCAAGAGGATGGTACTAACCATTCATAAGAAATCCATCCCCATGATCCAGTCCCCTTCCGCCAGTTCCCACCTCCAACACTGGGATTACAATTCAACATGAGATTTAGAGGGAACAACTATACCAAGGATGCATTGATCAACTAGTATCTCCGAAATCTCCTGTCTCCAGCTTCATTTACACACTAAGTGTTCACTGGATATTCTTAGCCATCTAGGTGTGCAGCCCAGAATTCAGAATGCCTGCCCTCTTCCAGGTTATCCAGGGACATGTCTGTTGGCAAAGCTGTGATGAAGCCCCCAGGCACAATGGCTTCCACCTGGGTTGGGGAACAACACACAGGAAGACTGTGGATTTCCATAACTCAGAACCATGTGTAACGACACACACAGGGTCTCTCATGTAAGTCACAGCCGGGACTTTCAGAACCTTACCTGCCTCCCAACCCAGAGCCCCTCCACGAGCACCACTCTGGGTCTGATCAGCTGTGCAGTGAAGCATCCTGCAGGTGGATGCGCACAGTGACCTCTGTGGGAAGGCTGAGCCCGGCAGGTCCCTGCAAACTGCATGCTCTGGGTGTTCCTGTGCAGGGAATATGAACGTTACATGGCATATGTTGTATCGTTTGCAACTAAAACTCCATGCTTCAAGGAAAAACTGCTATACAGTGGAACGAGGGAAATTATTCCAAAGGGCAGTGAATTCACAGGAAACAGGTAACTGAAAACATTCAGCTGTGGGTAGCCCTCCCGGGAGACAGGCAAGTGAAAGACCCTGAAAGTAAAGAGGGGACAGCAAGACAGTGTCCTCAGAAGCCATTGCCACCCTCCCGCGATGCCTGGGCTGTGGGGAAATTCTACTCACCTTTGAAGAAAGAGAAACAAACAGAACTTTGAAATATGAAGTGAGTTGGTCACATGAAAGATGAAGAGCATAGCGTTGAGAAGAGGTACAGTTTGGAAAGAAAGTGTCCCTGTAGAAAACAAGCCGGTGTTAAAAGATGCCTAGCTAATATTTGAGAGAGGCCTTCTAAAGCAAGAGATGGTCATTGAGACGAGGTAGTGGAATAAGATGAAGGCAAGATTAAAAGAGCTGGATCTACTTATTTATTTATTATCTTAGACTTTAAGTTCTGGGGTACATGTGCGGAACGTGCAGGTTGGTTACATAGGTATACACGTGCCATGGTGGTTTGCTGCACCCATCAACTCGTCATCTACATCAGGTATTTCTCCTAATGCTACCCCTCCCCTTACTCCCCACCCTCCAACAGGCCCTGGTGTGTGATGTTCCCCTCCCTGTGTCCATGTGTTCTCATTGTTGAACTCCCCCTTATGAGTGAGAACGCACGATGTTTGGTTTTCTGTTCCTGTGTTAGTTTGCTGAGAATGATGGTTTCCAACTTCATCCATGTCCCTGCAAAGGACATGAACTCTTTCTTTTTTTTGTGGCTGCCTAGTATTCCATGGATTAATTAATCCGTGCAACAAACCTGTGTGACAGGAGTTTGCCTATGTAACAAACCTTCACATGTACCCCTGAACCTAAATGTTTAAACACACATAAATTAAGAAAAAAGAGCAGGATTAGATTAGAAAAGTATTTCTAGAAATGAAAACAACAGAAGCAGTAAATGGTATCCGTAGGTTAACTTTTTTAAAAAATAAAAACAAAAATTGGAACAAATGAGTAGGTGGGAAAGATTCAAACTGAATAAAAATATTGTTACATTCATCATCCCCCCAAAAAAGATTTAGCCCAAAGAGTTTTATATGATGTTTTCCTTTAATTTTAGTATTCATTAATTTTTATTTATTTATTTATTTAGAGACAGGGTCTCAGTATGTTGCCCAGGCTGGTCTCAAACTCCTGGGCTCAAGCAACCCACCCTCCTCAGCCTCCCAAAGTGCTGGGATTAAAGGTGTGAGCCACCGCACCTGGCCCTCTTTAATTTTTAAAGGGATATTTATTTCCATTTGATGTAATTAGAAAGTAATAGAAATGGAACATGGGAAAAAAGGAAAAAATATTTTAATGAATTTTAGGAAGCCAACGTAATCCAGGCACTGAAATCTAAAAATGATAGTAAGAAAAATCATAAAGAAAAGTCTCATTCATAAAAATAATTAAACTCATCCATAAAGCCTCCAATAAAATAATAAGTCAGGTGGGATAATATAACACATTAATGACACCAAATGGTTTTGACAAACATGTAAGAATGATGTCATATTAAGAAACGTGTTAGTAAAGGAGACCTCTAGATGTATGTCAACTACAATTTCGATAAAACCCAACATACATTTTTGATGTAAAGAGAGAAAAACTGTAAGATAGGAGTAGACTGACACTTTCCCCACATTACACACGGTGTCTGTCTCCGTCCAGCAGCTGGCATTATATGTTACAGCAAAATATAAGTGACAACAGAATGCATGAGGCCTATCGTTGGCCCCAGGATTTAGCAGGATGTTTGTAGGTGGGGCCAGCAGCCTTGGCACCACGAAATACTGTTTTGTCAGAGTCCATTGTAAGTTTGGTCAACATTAAATTTTTTAAATATTTATCAATGTCTGTAGATGACTGACTTTAGGGGATCCAGCGGAATCTGTCTGACCTTGTCATTCCCACCCAGGTGAGAAGATGCAGCTTTTGCTTGGGAAACGCTGCTTTTAGCCATAGCCAGGCCCAGTGCACGCTGGGAGGGCTTCCGTGAGCCGGCATCCCATAGCATTGGTGCCGAGGTTAAAAACAACCAAGGCACTTCATTATAGCCAATGCAGTGATGTAAGAAAAGAATGATGACCAGCTCCTGGAAGGGATGAAAGAAACTGTAATTCAAATGGAGTATCATGTTAAGTGGTTAATAATGTGTTTAATGTAAGGAGGTTTTTAGTGTAAAGAAGAACACTATGAAATAGTCAATCAACCTCCTCAATATTAAAAAGTATTAAAGCAATACACACACAATTTAGAATATTCAAACAAACCTGGGTAGGCTGGTGCCAAAGGAGAAGCTGATAGCCACGTTCCCTCCGCCTGCCTACTCGTGTGGCACACTTTTAGTATGATTTAAATTTCCCCGGAAATGCATATATGTGCATGTCTGCTTTCCTATTTACGCAGGAGGAAATCGTTACTTAGCAGTGATATGATTCTCTTTATAGAGAATTTAAAAAAATCAAACATCAGCAGAGCCACAATAATCATTTTCCCATTAACAGCAAAAATTATTTTGCAAATAATGTGGAAAAAAGATCGCACTCACAGATAGTAAAAATATAAATGATCCACAAATAATGTAATAAAATGCCCAAAACTGAAGGAACTGACCAATAATGCTAAAATCTGTAAAACGTAATGGGCAAAAATAACACAAATTATGGAAGGCTCAATATCATACAGTATCATTTTCTGGAATTAATCTATAATGTTACCTTTTTAATCAAAATAGAAGTGTTTTCTTTAAGGTTAACTTAACAAAATGATTCTAAAGTTTATCTAGAAATATAAATGAATAAGTATAACCAGGCAAATATTTAAAAGAAGAAGAGCGTTGTATACCTGCACTGTAAGATATTAAAACACACTAAAGGCTGGGTGTGGTGGCTCACTCCTGTCATTCCAGCATTCTGGGAGGCCGAGGTGGGTTGATCACCTGAGATCAGGAGTTTGAGACCAACCTGGCCAACATGGCAAAACCCTTTCTCTACCAAAAATACAAAAAAAAAAAAAAAAAAAATGCTGGGCATGGTGGTGCACGCCTGTGATCTCAGCTACTCCAGAGACTGAGGCAGGAGAATTGCTTTAACCTGGGAGGTGGAGGTTGCTGTGAGCCGAGGTTGCACCACCGCACTCCAGCCTGGGTGACAGAGCAAGATTCCATCTCAAAAAAAATTAAAAAAAAGAAAAAAAAAAACCCATACACTTAAAAAAAAATACTGCAGTATAAACTCAAGAATAAGGATCTCCATGGAATAAGTTAAAAAATCCAATATGTGTGTGTATGTATTTGTGTGTGTATAAAATAACACCTTTTAAACATCTTGGTAGTTCTTAATACTTACAAACAAAAATTAAGTTCCTATGTGTCTACAACACCATAGGCAAAATGAAAAGTAAGTTTCAGGCCTGTGGCATTTTTAGAACACCGACAATACATAATGTGGGCCAACTAGGTGCCGTTTTTGTGACAAGTTTAAGGCATGTTTTGGAGAAGGGTGAGAAGGGTACTCCTAAATTTCAGATAAGCGGAAACTGGAAAATGGTACAAAAATTTTAAAAGGCAGTTTGGCTGTGTTTATCAGAGATTTAAAAATATTCCTATCCTGGCTAGGTGTGATGGCCCACGCCTGTCATCCCAACACTTTGGGAGGCCAAGGCGGGTGGATCACTTGAGCTCAGGAGTTCGAGACCAGCCTGGGCAAAACCTCATCTCTACAAAAATACAAAAATTAAGTGGGTATGGTGGCACATGTCTGTAGTCCCAGCTACTTGTGAGGTTGAGGTGGTGGGAGGATCGCTTGAGCTGGGGAGGTTGAGGCTGCAAGGAGCCATGATCATGCCACTGCACTCCAGCCTGGGTGACAGAGCGAGACCCTGTCTCAAAAAATAATAGTAAAAATTCCTAGCCTTTCATTTCCCAACTCCAGCTGGAGAATTTATCTCATGGGGAAAAAAAACTCAAGAAGATATGCTAAGATCCAATTGCAAATATATTCTCTATATTACTAGAGAATCCTTAAGGGCATGGGGAATTGTTCAAGATATAATACGAAGATCAGGCTGGGTGAGTTGGGTCATGCCTGTAATCCTGGCAGTCTGGGAGGCTGAGGTGGGAAATCACTTTAGCCTTGGAGTTTGAAACCAGCTTGGACAACACAGTGAGACCCTGTCTCTATTTCTTTAAAAAAAAAAAAAAAGAATAAAAAGCATTAATGTAAAAATGATGTATTTAATACACACATACTCATGTATAGTCATCAGCATGTATGTGTGTGCACATAATATCGTCTAATCTGTATCATCCCAGAAAGAAATATTGGGTAGAATGAACACCAGTTTCCCTCCTGGTAGTAGGATTATGGGTGGCATTAATTTTCTTCTTTTTATTCTGTGTTTTCCGTACCACCTAAATGGAAATTCAATAGTTATAGGTGTAGTCAGAAAAAAATGCCAAATGTAAGCTCTCCCCAGCTCTTCCCTTCGATAATGTCTGTTCAATTTTTAGTCTTCACCTTAAACTTACTTCTTAAAGAACTTTTTTTGGAACCCCGCATCCAAGTTAGAGTCCTCTTACAAAGCTCTCAAGGAAAGAACCACTTTTTTATTGTCTCAGCATGTATCGGAGATATTATTTGTGTATTTACTGGTGGATTGATGTATGTATTGCCTGACCGTCAACGCCCCGTTGTAGGAGGCACTGTGTCTCATTTGTTTCCCATGCTCAGCACAGCGCCTGGTGCCTCACAGGTTTTCGGTAAATATGTACCGGACGATGAATGAGACAATCCATGGAATAAATACTCAGTGATTATAAAAATAGCTAACATTGATTGAGTTACTCTCCCATGCTTATTTAATACTTTCTGTCTCATTCCAGCAATAACCGGGTACATACACATTGATCCCGTTTTACAGGGGAGAGAGCTAAGGCCCGTAGAGATGAAATAGCCTATTCAGGATGATATCAATGGTGAGAGGTGTAGTTGGTGTTTGACATGAACTCCAGAGTGGGGGCTTTTAACCACTATCCCCTACTGTCTCCAGTGCAATAAAAAGGAAAGCAACAGAGCAACCTATGCATGCTAAGCAGGGCTGGCCCCGGCAAGAGCATCGTTGACAGTGGGATGTTCAGTCCCTCCCGGAATCAGTCATGTATCTCTCTTGCTTTTCACTCAGAGCAATTCAAACATTTGCTTTGGAACGTGAATGGCCCCCTGAGATGTCAATCCACGTATCCCCCAAAGCTTTGCCCCCTCACAACGTCACCCTTGAGAAATAAAAGATGGGTTACTTTTCCTCTGTCGGGGGCAGCATCAGCTGAGGAGGCTCCATAACTTCTTTTGGTCTTTGCCCTAATGTTTAGGAAATACAGGAGTGTGTGTGTGTTAAACAGCCTCCTGGAAAATAGGTCTGTGGATTGTCTAAGTCTGCTGACGGCTGTTTGACTATTTGCTTTTCAAATTGATTTTTTGCAGCCAACATTCAAAGAATCAGTAGCTAACAAACTCAAAGCTGGGCTGAAATGGAGACATTCATTTAGTAATTGGATTTTGAAAAATCATAACCTTGGTTCTTGGAAATGTGTGGAGAAGCGCGGATTGGTGACTGGGGGGGTTAATTCAGTGTCTTCCTTCCAAGCAGTAGGATGTTTGTGATTGGAGGGCGAAGCGAATCTAAATTAAAATATGTCTCTTGCATATTTTAAAGTGGTCAGAATTCAAGGCGATGACAGCTTTTTAAGGCATTTAAAATTTTTTCACCACCTCTGTTGCTTGACAGTGAGTCAGAATGAATAGCTGTATTATTCTCTACTGTTTTGCTCTAAAACCAATATTTATCTTAAAAAGATGAAACATGTAATTTGATGTGCTATATTTAATAGGCATCTATTAATAGTCTACAAAATTGTTAGAGGTCCATTTCTCTTTTGTTGTCAGGCTGCAGGTATATTTCCATAGTTTTATTCCCACTTTTTAATTTTTGACCAATATATTTTCAGGCCATGCTTCCTGACACAACTCACATAAAAATGTAGGCTTTTGTGATTCTAATGAGATAGGACCTGCTGATTTCCTCCTCTTGTCTGCCCTGCCTCTGACCAGACACTCCTAATTTGATTGTGCCTTGCTGGGCAGCATTATGCAAGCTATTGAAATTAAATAAATGTATGCAATTGACATTAAACTTACAACACTTCCAGTGGAGAATGAAATAAAGATATGTCACTAGAATATAGATATCAGAAATGAAATATTAAAGGTCTTAGTACTTTTGACTCTCTGACAATTGCCAGCTTTCAATTTCTTTCCATTGAAAACAAATGCAGCAATTTATAGATGCAGATAGCCTGAATATTTGTAGAGTTGTTAAAAGGCATTTTAAAGAACATCTATTAAACATATTTCTGGTTTAGACACTGTGCATGCTATGGAGGATACAAGATGTTTATTTGCAGGGAAAACAGAATTATGACTGATAAGGACAGGAGGCAGGGAAATTCTGGGCAGAGGAGGGTGGATCCCTGGTGAGGGCCCGACCCTCAAGCCAAAAAGCCTTATACCATGGCCCAAAGTGGGAACATGCATTCCTGTTTTCCTGCTCAAATGTTGCCTTTTCCAAAACTACCCATGGCCTGCCCTGCCCCCCCATCCTGTGCCGTAAAAACCCCAGGCTCCACTTATGGAGAGCAGAGGAGAAGAGGAGAAGCAGCTGGACATCGGAGATAAGCAGCTTGACTTCAGAGGGACGGCTTGATGGTGTTGCTTTGGAGAGGAGTCCAGCCGGGGACAGCCCTACTCCGGGGAAAGATTAGATTCCCACTCCAAGCCCTTTTCAGCTCCCCTTCCTGCTGAGAGCCGCTTTCATTGGCAATAAAATCCCCCACATTTACCATCTCCAATTTGTTCATGTCACCTCATTCCTCCTAGAGGCCAGACAAAAATTCAGGTGCGAGTGCAAAAGACTGCCACACTTGACCCTTCACTGAGCTGTTAACACTTAAGCCATCCACCGACGGCAAAGCTAAAAGAGCTGTAACACTCCTACTGGGGCTTCAGGGGTCGTGGGCATCCCCCTAGATGCTGCCGCGGGGCCACACAGAGTTTTGCTCCTGCTGGTACCAAAAAGCACTCGCCCCAGCTCCTGCATCTGCTCACCTGCGCTCCCCCTCCTGCAAAGGGTGGAACACAGTGGGACTGAGCGAGTGGAGTCCATCCCTGCTGGCGTCGAAGCAGCCCGCTAGTTCTAGCACCTGCGCACTCCAGTTCCCTTCCGCAAAGGGGTCGGAGAAGTTTCCTGCTTCATGATCATAATACCATAAATAGTGCAAAAAATAATCTCTGTGCTAATTTATGGATTTCAGACACAAGTGATGTCCTAATAGATGACCCTATGTTAGAAAGATTAAATTGTTTGTTAGATTTAGAAAGGTTACAGAGCAATTTTCATGGATAAAAGATTGTGTGGCTCCCTATGGTGTCGCTAAAGGGTGAAAATGTAGGCAACATCATGTTTCTTCTCAATGTGTCCCAATCCCTGTCTGCTGCCTGCTGCCCTTGGTCCCATCTGGACTCTGACCTAATCCATCATATTCTTGCTTGACACATGTCAGAGACTTCTAAGTGGTCTCCTTTCTTCAACCTATGCCCTCTACAGTCTTCTCTGATCAGCAATGAAAATCTTTCAAAGCATACAAATCGAAATTGTTGGTTCCTTCATTTATAGCTGAGTAGTATTCCACGGTGTATATTGCATATACTGCATTTGACTTATCCACTCTTTGGTTGATGGTCATTTGGGTTGGTTCCATATTTTTGCAATTGCAAATTGTGCTGCTATAAACGTGCGTGTGTAAGTATCTTTTTCACATAATGGCTTCTTTTCCTATGGGTAGCAACCTGGGTGGGGTTGAAGACCATTATTCTAAGTGAAGTAACTCATGAATGGGAAATCAAATATTGTTTGTTCTCCCTTATAAGTAGGAGCTAAGCTGTGAGGACTTAAAGGGGCATAAGAATGATGTCATGGATTTTGAGGACTCGGGGGGATGGGTGGGACGAGGGTGAGGGATAAAAGACTACACGTTGGGTAGAGTGAACACTGCTCGGGTGATGGGTGCACCCAAATCTCAGAAATCACCGCTAAAGAACTTATCCATGTAACCAAAACCACCTGTTCACCCTGAAAACTATTGAAATAAAAATAAAATTGTTGATTCCTGATTAAAACCATCCGTGATTTGCAACCACGGGGTTTAGAGCAAAACCCCAAATCCTCCGTGTTGCTCAGCACATGCGCTGCTGTTCCTCTCTCTGACATCTCCTGTGGTTCCCCATCACTCACGGCATCCCTGCCTCATTGCCCTCCCCTGTTCCCCACACATGCCAGACTCCCTTCTGCCCAGGGCTCTTCCGTCTAACTGGGAGGCTCTTCTCCTAGGTCCCTCCCTATCTTGGCTACCTGTCATTTATGTCAATTGCCAACTCCTCAGAAAGAGTCTTGACTCCCCGAGAGCAGAGACCAGTGTCTTGTTCCTTGGTAAGTCATCATACCCTGGTATAGTGTCTGGCACGAATTTATGCTCAAAATGCTTGTTCACTGCATGAGTCAATCAATTCATCCTGTAGTTCACATTTCTCCCTCCCTGAAATAAGCTTAGTCATACTTTGCTTAAATATTTTGTGTGCCAAAGTCTTTTTGAATACTTGAGACATCCACGTTGATTTTTCTTCTACTTTCAGTTTGATGATCTGTATTTATAGCTATATCTCTATATCTCTTCTGCTGAAAAATCATGATTATTTCCTTTGAAAAATAGTTAAGTGGAGATCAGAGGGTCATGGGTTTATTCTTTATGTTTCTTACAATTCTGCGCAAGCAACTAAACAATATGCATTTGAAGATGTAAATATATAAAAGACAAAATCCCTACCCTCACAAAGCTTCTAATCTGATATTTGGAATTGATCCCAGGGGAGTTTGTGAGATCACAGGCAATAGTAGGTTAAATGGAGAATGCTAGAGCTCTCATAGGCTACCTTTCAGGAAAGTCCAATTCCAGGAGTCCGTGCAAGTAAAAGAGAAAACAACAATACTCCTTTTCACCCACATTCCTACTCTTTGCCACAGCTTTGTATCTCCAGATGTTGATGAATTCAGAGATTACACCATTTCAGTGCCTTGGTTTCCCGCATATTCAAGCTTGTGTACATCCCTGTGCCCCGAGTGGTTGGGCCAGGATGCCTGGGTGGGGGCCTTGTCCGAGGGGTCTGGTTGGTTGAGTGTGGAGGTTTAACCGTCTCTTCTGTTTTCAGAGTCCTGCCTTGTCCAGCCTGCCCTCTCATCTGAAGGTTTTTTGGCTGGGCCTTCAACGGGCCCCTCCTCTGTCCTGCAGCAGCCTCCTTCCCTGCAGGATCCAGCTGCTGTGTATTGCTCCGCAAACCCAGTTGCCCCTGCCTCATTAGCATTTCTCTTCCCCCAAGTGTGATGAGGCATCTGGTGTGGTCCTCATGCCCACTCTTTGCCCTGGTGGCCTCTACTTCGTTCAGCTCTGTTATGCTTTGTCCTGTTGATGAAATTTTGGGAGGGAGCTGATATGAACTCAGGGATTCTCTCCCGGTTTGCCAGACACCTCTGGGATGGTTTGTAACTCATTTCTCTGGAGGAAAGTGGCCCTTCTTGAAATGGATAGGACTGAGGTTTTGGGAAAGAGAATTAACTATTATTTCTACTTTCCATTTAATTCGGGCAAATAAAACTTCGCTCTTTCTGTAGATTAAGAGACAGAAGTTTAGGATGATCTAAGTGCAATGTTTCCATTAACTAAGGGGAAACAGAGGCTCAGAAAGGAGATAAAATATCCTCAGGGTCACAAAGCTTGTCTGCTGAGCTGGTGCTAGAATTCAGAGATGCTCTAATGCCCTCGGTGACATGGCAAGTTCCTTTCAAAGAAAAACATTCTTTTTCCTTCTCTCCTTCCTATCTTCTACTTACTTCCCTTTAGTCTCTCTTTCCTCCTGACTTTGATCAACTATAAGAAGCCAAAATGTTAATATCTATAAATTAAGGGTCAAAACAGAATAAATGAAGGAATTTCAGAGTAGCATGGTTCACATTTTGGCAGGGGGATAGAAATTATAATGAGGAGGGTGAGTGGCATTTTCTTGGTTGAATTTCACCTGATTTGGGGCAAAGCTTTTCACAGCTCCCAGTGCCCTGCACAGACCCTCTCACTGCACCAGCGGGGATCCTGGTGGCCTCACAGCCCCTCATCATTCTGCAACTTGCCCGTCACATTCCGATGCCCCTGGAGCTCATGCTGTCACTGTTTCTCTTCATGCTTTCTTTGTATCACCTTCCCCTTCCCCTTCCCTTCCCATTTTGAGACAGGGTCTCACTCTGTTGATCAGGCTGGAGCACAGTGGCACTATCTTGGCTCACTGCAACCTCCACCTCCCGGGTTCAAGCGATTCTCCTGCCTCAGCCTCCCAAGTAGCTGGGATTATAGGCATGTACCACCAAGCTCAGCCAATATTTGTATTTTTAGTAGAGACCGGGTTTCACCATGTTGGCCAGGCTGATCTCGAACTCCCGACCTCAGGTGATCTGCCCGCCTTGGCCTCCCAGAGTGCTGGGGTTACAGGCGTGAGCTATCATGCCTGGCCACTCTCTCTTTATTTCTTATGGCAACATGAAACCATCCAGTTGGATGAAGAGCATTTCATGCCCCTGGAGTGTGGGAAGAAACACAACATTACACGTAATACCCATGAAGGTTCGTCTTCGCTCCTTTCAGGAAGCTGATTAATTACAGTTCCCTTTTCTGTATGGTTTTTTTTCCCTTGTGACAAAAGCAGGCCCCATTTTCGCCACGAGGTGTTACCTCCCTTGTGCATTTGTATTGCTACTGGGCCTTATGGGGTCACTGCTGCGGAAGCTCAACTCCACACCCACAGTACAGGGTCTCGTTGGAGCCTAGATTTAGACAGAGGAACCAGAGCTTCTGCAGGTCTAGGCAGGTCGGATGTGGGCCCCAGGGGCGCTGCAGCTCCCATAACGGGAGCAAGGGAAGCTGGTGGGCATCCAGCCCTCCACCTGGAGGAGGCAGGGCAGCATGAGCCTCAGAGGAAGAGGGAGTGGTGGACATAGCCCAGGCCTGGGGGGTGGAAGGATGCTGAGCTGAGAGGGGCACAAACTGGGCCTGGCACCATGCATTTGACACACAGTCATTTGAGTAGCCATATTTTGCTATCACCTTGATCAACTATTTCTTAGGAATTCTGATTTATAAAGACAGGGAAGAGGGCTGGTTAAAATTTAGAAAACAAAAAACTGCGCCAATCATAAACTGCTATTTCGAGTGATAAAATTATGTTTTATCTGATGTTCATGGTGGCACTTGGTTTAAAGAGTTGGCTTAAATACTGACCACAAGAAAGAGTCAGGTGGTCCCTTTTGCTAACACACATTCCATATAAGGTGTTGTATAAGATAGCTCAGGCTGCTGAAACAAAAATACGATAGACTGAGTGGCTTAAACAACAGAAATTCATTTCCTCACAGTTCTAGAGACTGGAAGTTGGAGATCTAGGCACCAGAAGGGTTGGTTCCTGGCTGGGGCTGTCTTTCTGGCCTGCGTTTCAAAGGCCCTCACACAAACACCACATGAAGAAAGCTGTAAATCTAAACAGACTCTGTGGTTTCTAAAAGTTACTTGGTTTAGTGCATACAATGTTCATTGACAAATTTGTGAAGTGAGGGAATGATGGTGATTGGAGTCAAGAAATAACGTTGATTTAGCATGTACTGTGCGCTACGTGATCCTCAGGGTATCTTAATCCTTACAAATCCCACAGAGGTAGATTTTGTTATTTCCATTCTACCTATGAGAAAGCTCAAGTCCTAAAGCTATACAAATGCAAACATCAAACCCAGTTAGTGGCAGAGTTGAGATGGGAACTCGGTAGCAGCAGTGGTTCTTAGAGTCTGATACTAAGTAGAGCGAGGAGTACATCAGGCTGAGGATGACCAACCTGGCTGGGAGCTCCCTGAAGGCCAGGGCGCTGTCTGCTTGGCTCATTGCTGCAATCCTGGCCCCTAGGACGGCGCCTACACACAGCAGCACTCAGTGGTCTTCACCCTAGGAGCCCACTGATCCCAGCTGGTGCAAGGGAATTAAGAAAGTTGAATTTTAATATGAAAGCTCATGATTGTGGAAGTTCATGATATGTCGATGGCAACGAAAATAAACGTGCCACTGAGTGGGCCTAAAGAAACACCCTCAGGCCTCATGAAATTCACACTGCTGGTTTTTAGCCTTTGTTTGCCATTGCTGGTGCCATAGATGATGTTGAGGTTAGACAGAAAGCTGTGGTCCATCCCTCAGAAAATTGCCTGTGTGCATTCAGCGTGACATTTTATATAGAATGGCTTCCTCACCATGTATGGACAGTGGCATGAAAATTACATTCCTCTGCTCTACACCTCAACACTCCCCACTTCAGGGCGAGCCTCCCAGAAGACTGGGAAGGTCAGAAAAGGATGGATCTTCAATTCACCCAGGGGATGCTTCCTGCTAATAGGAGGGAATGGAATGATACACTTTTCAACCGAACAGACTTCAAATAATGTGCTTTCCAAGGAAGGGGAGAGACAAAACAAAGATGAGAGAAAGAGAAAAAGAGATGGAAATTATATAGGCTTTATACATATGGCCAGCACAGATGCCGAAAATGGGCTTACCTTAGCCCTAAGGCATGCAAAGAATCTTGTGCTCCGCCTTTTATCTCTGGATTTATGAGAATAAATAAGTCTGAAAAACATTAAAAATAAAATGGATTTTTAAAAGTTACTTTAAAAATTGAAAAAAAAATATTTTAAAAATAAGTCGGTGACCTCCACTAGCGTCTATTTGTGGCCCAGACTGAACGTGAGGTGGGACACATGTTTTGCTTTTTTCTGTGTTGATTATTAAGTTTGCACTTAACATTCCTGGAATGAGCTTCCTCCACTCAGAGAGTAGTTTCAGGATTTCAAGATGAGTTTTTCCCACAGAGTGAGCCCTAAATGCCAGCTCGTGGTCTCACGGGGGGATGGCCTCAGTTACCAGGTCTTCCAAAGCTTGTGTCTGTTATTTTTCAGTTGTTGCAGTAGGTGGGTGAAGCCTTTGCTAGTTAATGTCACCCTAAACTTGAAAATCATAACATCATTCTGCTTCTCTGAAATAATAGCTCCAATTTCCAGGGCTCTTGAATCATCTAGGATTTCAAGGGCTTCAATGCTGGAAGAGGGAACGGGATGGGGAAAAAACAACCATAAAAGATCAAATTCTGTTCAAATTACTCAAAGATGTGATGATCGTTTAGAATGGTGTGGCTTGCTCAGAGACTTTCAGATAGAATTTGTGACCCTTTCTGCCACACAGGCAGAAGTGATCTTTGCTCGTATGTGGGGACACAACTTACAGCGAGCAAGCATTTAGCCAGTCGCTAAATATCACAGATGTTACTCCTGCTTACACGCTGGTCTAGTGCCATCCACTGTCTTCATTTTCCATAAATCTCAAATAGAAATATTTGGGCTCAAACCAAAATATTCTAATGTGCAGACGTTCTGAACATTTGGTTCCAATGGAAACACCTATCAGATCTTGAATAAATGAGGCCACTTTTCCCAGCGGCATTTGTCTCTTCAGCACTCCCTCTGCACATCAGGGCCCTACAATGAAAACAAGTACGCCTGGAATATAATTCTCGTTTGTTCACACATAGATCCTGTGAGGAAAGAGGCAAGTCCAACACCATCAGATGGGAGTGTTCTAAGAATACTGTAGGAGGATGTGTATGTGGCAAAGGAATTTATTAATAGTAAAATTATTTGCAGAATTAAGATGATATTTATAACCATATTATTGACCATTCGTGTCTCTGAACATGAGACTTTTTCTAGTGTGTTTCCAACCCTCTGACCCTCTGAAGGTAGATGGATGCTCAACACTGTTAACTTACCTGCACATTCCGAATTGATTTAAACTGATTCTGGGGCTCTCAGGGTTGTACATTTGAAGAGCTTTGGAAAGAGATCTGTGCATGTAAATGTGGTGGCAATTCTTCCTCTAAAGCACTTGCATTAATGTTGAAATCCTAGTGCTTCAAGAGCCTGAGAAATTGCAGCTATTGTTTCAGAGAAGCAGAATGATGTTATGATTTTTAAGTTTAGGGCGACGTTTACTAGCAAAGACTTCACCAACCTACTGCGACTACTACAGAAATAACAGACACAAACAAGAAGAATCCAGCTCTGAAAATATGATTAGGGGTTTATCATGAACATGAATTGAGCCATATCACAGAGAGCCTGTCTCCTCCTCAGAATATTGAGAAGGAAAAAAAGTGTTAAGGTGCCACTTCTCTGCCTCCTACGCCTCGAGGGGAGGCCGTGGGACTGACTTACCTGGCTTTATCAGGAATACACCTGTGTGACTTACCTGGATTTATCAGAAATACACCTGTGTGACTCACCTGGATTTATCAGGAATACACCTGTGTGACTTACATGGATTTATCAGACTTACCTGGATTTATCAGAAATACACCTGTGTGACTTACCTGGCTTTATCAGGAATACACCTGTGTGACTTACATGGATTTATCAGGAATACACCTGAGCTTCCTTTTCCCTTCCCCTTTTCCCAGTGGCTGGGGCACAGGCAGGAATGGGGCTGAGGCCAGGCGCAATTTTAGGGCCTTTGTAAGCATTGTGCTACTTAATTCTCATGATATCCCATAAGCCAGGTACAATCAGCCGCCACCCCCACGGGCACCCCACCACATTTGTACAAACAACAAAGGCACAGAAAGGTAAATCAACTTGTCTAAGATCAAACTGCCACAAGGTACTAGTAGAAGCAGTATTCCAAACCAAGGTTTCCAATTCCAGAGCCCATGGTCTGAAACACAGTTGAACATCTCCCGATCCGAAAAACTGAAATCCGTCATGCTCCAAAACTGGAAACTTCTTGAGTGCCGACGTGGTGCTCAAAGGAAATTTTCACTGGAGGCTTTCAGATTTTGGATTTTTCGGATTAGGGATGCTGAACCAGTAAGTGTGATGCAAATATTCCATAATCTGAACAAAATCGAAAACACTTCTGGTTCCAGGCATTTCGGGTAAGGGATACTCAGCCTGTACTATGCTATATGTTTTCACATGTCTATTCTTACATTGGGGATCATATGAGACATTAACCTCGTCATGAATGCTCCTCCATCCTCTTTTCCAAGAGTTAATATTGCATTACATACGAGGTTGTGTGCAGAAAGGGTAGCATCTTGAACTTCTTAAAAAAATTCAAGGTCTCCTGTCTCCAGTGTAAATGTGACTGCTAATTGCCAAACAGGATCTTTTCTCATATTTTCTTGAATAAGTTAACTCCCGGATTTTAGCTGGGCCCATGGATGCCCAGCTAAAGATGACATTTCCCAGCCTCTGTTGGATCTCAGTGAAGCCACGCTGCAATGAAGCTGTTGCCAATGTGATGTGAGAAGCAACTCATGTACTACTTAGGCCTTTCCTTTAAAAAGACAAAATGTGTGTTCTCTGGTTCTTTGCTTCCTACAGGCTGGGATGCAGATGTGATAGTGGTAACCAAAGCAGCCACTTTGGTTCCAGAGGTAGAAGCCATATGTTGAGAGTTTCAGAACTACCCTACTAGGCCAGGACTCTCTACATGAGGGGGAAAAAAGAACAGTAAACCTGTGTCTTATGTAAGCTATTGTATTTTTGGATGACCTTATTATCATTTTAAATTGACAAATAATCATTGTATACATTTATAATATACAACGTCTTTGAAATATGTTACAATCACTTGTTTATGGTACCCCGATTAACGTACTGAGAAACATGTCTCATACCTGACCATCATCAGAGTTTTCTCAGCCTGCTTTGCAGTGCCTGTCTGATTGGGTGTTTAGAACTATTTCTATGAAACACAAGTCAGAAATCTTGTGACGCAACCATAGATTAAGACAGATGAACCACCTAAACATTTATGCATAAAGAGCCAAGAAGAAGACATGTGGCGGTTTCTGTACTGTTAGCATCTGTACAATCATTAAGAGACTTAAAACCAAACTCTGCTCTTAGGAGTTTATAGATTTAAAATATATATTTTGCAACAAAGCTTTTGATGGCATAACTCCTTGTCATTCACTTTGTGCCCCCAAAAGATGCCTTTGAGCCCACAGAGCTCAAGCTGCTGTCACCCCCCAGCAGGGAGTGGCCAGACAACTCAAATCATCCTCTCATTTATGGATTCAGGAGCTGGTTAGAAATTAATTCACTACGAATGTTCCTGACTATGGCTGTTACTGGAATACTGCTAAGTTCCGTGTTAATCAGCTGTCTCCCCAGAAACATGGTTATTAACATCCCTTTGCTGTAGATCAAAGAGAGATCCCAGCCACTGTTTCAATTTTCTCTTCAATTTAATGATGGTAAAAAGGTACCGGATGAATGGCCCTGAGGTCCTTTTCAGGTATTTATCTATGCAGCAGGTACAGGGGGCTTGTGGTAGCCTGAAATTCACCAATTACGGACATTTCCTGTAGCATAACTATCTGTGTCTTTGCCCCGCCTTCCCATGGGTCATAAACTCAAGTGCCCTCAAAGCCAGGCAAGTAAAGCAAAGTTTGGGGAAGCAGCCAGATGGCAGCAGGGTCTCCACAGAGATGCCTCCTGGCTGGAAGTGACAGCTGCCCCTCAGCTACCACAAAGGTCGCTATCCAGGAATGAGGGCTCTGGGTTCCTGGATCTTCCTCTCTCCTGAGGACAGGTAGATGTCGAGATTTCTATGCAAAAATCTCCCATTTTAAAAGGTAAATAATTTCCACAAAAGATTTAAAAACATTTTGTGCCCCCCCGGCCCCCCCCCTCCCCACCAACAAATTCTACAAGCTAAGCCAAAGCCCTGAGTGTCCTCTTTCAGACATTACTCACCTGTTCATGCTCGGAGGGGGAGGGTCAACGCTGTCCACAGTGCCCAGCACACAGCGGGACGGGGAGATCAAACTATGTCTTTCAAGTGAGAAACCTCAAAGGCAGAAAAGCGACCGGTGCTCGGGCTTGGATGGTTTGGGCGAGACACATCTGAATGCCCCTTTGCGGGTGGGTGTGGGAGAAGCGTCTTAGTTGAAGCTAAGAAGTCTGCTCTTAGCTTCAGGGTGTGGAGTCGGCTCTTCACACTCCTAACTGTGAAACCTGGGGCAGTTAGTCTTCTGGGCTCCTGATTCCTCATGGATGAAATGGGGCTGACAGTGCTTTCTCGGAGGATGGTTGTAAGGATTTCTGGAGTCAATGCGTAAAAGCACGTTGGTAAAAATAGTAATGTGCTTCACCTGCAGATTCTTTTAATTATTGTCCTCGCAGCTCAGTTCATTTCTCTCTGTCTTCCCCAAGTGGCATAGAGACCTTAAGGCCGTCATGAGTTTGAGTGGGGAGGCGACCCCTTAAATCCTGTTCCCAGAATAAACCATAAGTAATGAGACTCGCCAGAACAAGAGCTGTGTCTAAAAATGGGTGGGGCCTGACTGTGGAGGGGCCTTCTGATGGTCTCTTCCAATACCTGCTCTTCTTCCTTTCAAGAAACAAAAGAAACAAACAAAAAAACCCAAAACAATAACAAAAACCTGGGCCGGGTGTGGTGGCTCACACCTGTAATCCCAACACTTTGGGAGGCTGAGGCAGGCAGGTGGTTTGAGTCCATGAGTTTGAGACCAGCCTGGGACAATATGATGAGACCTCATCTCTACAAAATATTAGCTGGGCATGGTGGGTGGACACCTGCAGTTCCTGCTACTTGGGAGGCTGAGGTGGGAGGATCACCTGAACCCAGGAAGTGGAGGTTGTAGTGAGCAGAGATAACACCACTGCTCTCCAGCCTGGGCGACAAAGTGAGACCCTGTCTCAAACAAACAAAAATCACTGAGCACATGGCCAGCTGGAATAAAAGCTTCATTTCCTGGTACTGCTTGTAGCTGGGTGTAGCCGTTCTACTCTGCATGTTAAAGCATCAAATGGGGCTTTCCAGATGGATCCTTCCTAAGGCCTTGTATCCTTCCTGCTGGGTGGATTTGGAATGTGATGCCTGGAGCTGTTGCAGTCGCCTCGTTGTATGAGAATGGTAAGGACATTGACGGAAAAAGAGGCAAGGGGTCAGGCTCCCTCTCAGCCATGGAGGCACAATTCTAGCCCAGGAGTGCTTAGCACTAGATAGTATTTACGTGAGAGAGAAAGAAACTTTTATCTTTTTTAAGCTGCTGTTCCGTTTTGCTCACATAGCCTTTATCATTGTCCTGTTATTCACAAACCCAGTGTCTGTTGCCACAGGCGAGGTAAGCAGCTATATAATGATGATGGAAAAGTCCAGAAGTGGCTAATAGAGACATAGAAGAATACCTCCCTCCCAAGACAGAAAGCAAAATAATGTCGAAAAGTTTAAGCACCACAGTATTAGGATTATAGCAGCTCCCTCCATAGTGCATCCTACCCAGGTAAGTCAAAATACAACCATGCCGGGGTCAGAGTTCAAGCTACGATTATTGTTTACAGTCACCAATTCCAAACATGTTTTTAGCGTCAAAGTATCAGATTGTCTAAAATTATCCCAGTGCAAGAGCAACTTGCCAACCATTTTCTAAAGTGTCTTCAATGCTCAGGATGACTGTGCCTGGGGGTGGAAGAGAGCCGAACTGATGTGTGCCTGATGGTGCCAAGTGCTCACGTGTCTTTCGGGAGTCACAAACAGCTGGAAAGAACGGCTGCAGAGTCTCCAGATGTGTTTTTCTTGTCCATCGGCAGCTGCGTTGAATCCAGATCAGTGCAGGTTATGAAGCCTTTTATAGGACTGAGCTAAAAGTATACCCTGGGTTGTTGGAGCATCAGGTGTGGGAATGATATAATCAGTGAGGTATGAGAGTCGGGCTGGCACAGTAAAATTAGGAAAATTTTGAAATTTAAAGGGGGCAATTTCTGGTAATTTTTTTTAAAGAATGGGAGAAATAAAAAATATTTGTGTTTTTTTTTTCTGATTCCTTCTTTTCTTAGATTGTTAAAAATTATATAAGGGTAAAGAGTGATTTTTTTTTTTTTTTTTTTTTTGAGACAGGGTCTCACTCTGTTGCCCAGGCTGGAGTGCAGTGGTGTGATTATGGCTCACTGCAGCCTTGACCTCCTGGGTTCAAGTGATCCTCCTGCCTTAGAAGTAGCTGGGATTACACACCTAGCTATTTTTTTTTGTTTTTATTTTTTGTAGAGATGTGCTATGTTGCCCAAGCAGGTCTTGAACTCCTGGGCTCAAGTGATCCTCCCACCTCGGCTTCCCGAAGTGCTGGGATTACAGGGGTGAGCCACCATACCCAGCCTAGAGTGATTTCTGATTTAAAATTTATTTTTTGAATTAAATGAAATTTATTTGTGTTTGATTTTTTTTGTTTTATATGTGAGGTGCTCTTGGCAGTAATTGATAATGCTTGTGTTTTGTAAAGGGGTGGTAAAAAGTTGGTATATGATAAGAAAAGAGGAAATTCCTCTGAGTTGTACTATAAAGTCCACACAGATTACCATATATACATGGTAAGTGGTTGTCCTCTTTCTGTTTACAGTAAACCCCTGATCATATTTCCAGAGCTGGGTTCTTCTTGTATGTGTCTGTTATTATTTCTGCAGTAGTTGCAGTAGCTTGCTGAAGTTGCTGCTTGGACGCTAGGAGCCAGGATGAAGTAGGCTGGGTGGCCGTTCTGGTACAACAAGGAAGCTGTTAACCAGAGGTTGGGAAGGTAGGAGCTTGCAGCCTGAATCTAGCTCGCAAGTGGATTCTGTTCTTCCCACGCAGAGTCTGTTTTAAAGTTTGGATTAATCGCTAATTTAAAAATTCTAGGTGATATCACATAGAAAAAAATGGGTGTCTGGCTTCTTGACAACGAGTAGGGCTGAGCCCCAACTTTCCTCTGAGACAGGGTGTGTGCCCTAATTCTCGGCACCTCCTGCCTGACTCGCTTTTCACCTTTGTGGTATCAGACCACCGCTGAATCACCACTCTTCCTATTCCTGGTTAAATAAATGTCGTATGAAATAACAGTAACAAACATCACAAGTGGCACTTTGCCCTGGGGAAGGTTTACAATTTATAGACCCAGCTGCTAACAACCCTCAGCCATTCTCTAGGGTTTTCTAAAGTGACTAAATCAAACATATATGGTGCAGATATTTAACAACACCTTTGTTAATAAAAAAGAACACATCTCAGAGCCTTGCTCTGTTGTTGGAAATGACGCTATTCAAAGATACAGATTTATTTTCCTACCCAAAGGTGTAGATATCGATTAAAAACAGCTAAAGAAGGAACAGATTTTGTGATAAAAGATGTCTTTTTTTTCCTCCTTAAGAGGAAGGGATTTTTCCTTTTCTTTTTTTTTTTTTTTTTTTGAAGCCCATTATTTAAAAATGTAGCTACAGACCTGACATGTCGTTGCCACTATTTCTTTCCTAGTTAAGAAGCTAGAACTTGCATAAATGGTTAAGGAACACAGTCTTTCGTTGCTGAAGTATTCAATTTAAATATGTTTATCACCAAGTGTATTACTGCTTGAAAAAAATGGATTAAGCAATTTTTCCAAAATACAAGCAGCAAAGTAGAGATGTGATTTCGTATGAAGCATGAGGGGTGAATATTCGGCTTTTTCCTTTTTACTAGTAGTCAACCACTGGTCCCTGAGAAAGAACCAGAAAAGAGTTGCCTTGGGAAATTGGGGTAAGGGTGGGTGACAATGAATATTTGACAAATAAAATAAAGCATCATTGGAAGGCGCTGAGTTTTTCTGTTTTAACTTCCAAAAAAAGCTTCCCAAGTGGCAACTTCCGTCAAATCTTTTCAGCAGTCGGCCTTAGAACCCACAGCTAGCAGAGGGATTACCTGTACATACAGGGGCAGTGTTTACTCTCACCTTGTATCTCATGCTTTTTGGGGTTCACGTCCGTGTGGTTATGGAGCAATTGGCATCATGGATGAGGTTCCAGCATTTACAGCCCAGGATTACCATCTTTATTCTGGACTTCTTTCTCATGATTTTGCTTTTAGGCGACAAAAGGGATGAAGATAGACCGACCCCTTTTCCAGCCTTCCTGGAATTATTCGGTTGAAATCACCAGCACGACACAATATTCATTACAGCTCAATTTGAAGGCTCATGAGTTGCTGAATCTTGTTTTTTCACCGAGACAGAGGAGAATGTTTTTTTCTTACTATTGAAGCAGGATAGCCTGGGGTACTGATTATCAAATGGATAGATAGATTGGTATATAAAATTCCTTATTGATAGACGATTGATAGAGTCCTTTACAGTTAAATAGATCAATGAATAGATAATTATATTTTCACCATATTTGGGACTCTGGAATTATGGCAGGTGCATATTTTTGTGCAACAAATTTAATGCCTGTAGGTGCTGATCTGTGGGGACAGAGTGTAGGAGGAGGGGCCTGGGAGGCAGGAATAAAGTCAGAACCCTTTTAACAGATCGCAACTGGATGCCATTTATGGCAGTTTTATCCTTTTCTCTTTGATTTTCTCCTGCATTTTTCTGTTTTTATTTATCTTCTCGCATCCCTTCTGCAGGGATGCTTCCATCCCTTTGTTGCTTCCATCCCTTTGTTAGTTGGCCTCAGTTTCTGTCACAGACATGCTAACGGATGCAGAAACGTGACAGCCTCGAAAACTGCAGCGACACTCAACCAGTGAACAGGGGCGATTTGTACTTTTCTCTGGCAGCTTGAGAGGGGCCTCTGCACAGTGCTGGTGGCTCTCCCATGCCTGGTTCTGGTACAGCAGGAAACTCACTCTGGTAGGAGACTGGGCAAGGTCGCTGCTTGTCATCTGCAGCTGGGGTGGCATTCCGCCCAAATGTTTGATATTTCACGGTGTCCTCATTGACATCCAAAGCCTTACTTGCAGAAAATCAGGAGTGGCATGGATAGGAAAGAGAAGGAATACCTTGAATAAATACACGATAAAAATCAGAATCAATAGCAACACTTTTAATGATTGAACAGCTGAAGAATACATCTTTTCCTCTTTAGATTATTACACTTTTGTGTGGATTAAGGCTAGGCATTTATTGAGATTGTTTTGTGTTCTAAGAAAAACCTGAAGAAAGGAAACTATACTTCAAATAAATGTCTGTAACAATAATGGTTAACATTTCCCCAGTGCTTTATGAAGGCCTGACATGGTTCTGTGCCCCTGATTTGTCCACACTTACTGAATCCTCACACTTCTGTGAGGTTGGTGCTGTCATCATCTCCATTTTGCAGCTGGGGAAACCGAGTCACAGATCCATTACTCAGCGTGTCCAAGGTCATGCTGCCGAAAGCGGTAGACTGGTTAGAATCCCAACAGACTCACTGTAGAGACTAAGCCAGGGACAGTTTTGGTGCCATATGGTGTCTTCATTTTTGCCTAATCCTTTGCAGTCTTGGTCCACATCTGTGCATTCTGCCTCATAGCTGTGACCATTGTGTACAGGAGCTTTCTGCTTTTGTTCACATCACATTCCATCAGAGACTTGGTCTTAGTTTCTGCTCTTATTACAATTACTGTGTAACTGTGGCAGTCTTATATTTGGAGTCTCTACCCCGGTTACAGTTGGCTCCCTCACTGTTACCAATGATCTCTGGTATTTACTGCCCCATCCCACAACCGACGTGATTGCAACGGGCCCCCCACCTGCTTGATGGAGATGGGCCTTACCTTCAGGTTACACCCGATCTAGGCAGCAGCCATGAAAATCCCTTCCTGGCAAACACAGAGTTGAAACCAAGACAGAGGTTCAGTCACTGTTCATGAGGTTGGACCCAGGGCAGGTCACCTTGAGATCTGAAGGGTGGGCCCAGGAAGTAGAGGGAGATGAGGACGTAAAGAGAAAGAATAATGAATCCAAGTCCTCAGAGAGGCAGAGATGAAAGACAGAAAATGTATCCTAATGGCCATGTACAATGTGTTCCCATGTGGCCATTAATAAACTGCCCCTTCTTTGGGGGGGCCTGGGACACACCCCTGGTCAGGCAACACTCCTCTTCCTGTCCTGCAATTCTCATCCACAGAACTGAAAACAGATAGAATTTTACATTTCTGTGTGTGACTATTGTAATAGCCTCCTGCTTTTTGGTTCACCATGGTTTCCACAACCACCATCTTAGAATATAGTAGCAAACATGTATTCAGTGTATCCTATGCTCCTGGTACCAAGGACCAGGTTTATATGCATTGTCTCATTTAGTAACCAGAGCTGTATATCTTAGCATTCTCATTTAATGGATGAGAAAATGGAGGCATTAAGAAATTTGCCCAAGTCTTCATGGCAAGTAAGTGGCAGAGCTGGGATTCAAATAAATACCACTTGGTGAGGCCCCGTGTTCTGTATGCCAGCCCAAGTTGATTTATGTTACTTCCAACCAAGAATGTCCTGGTGAATATGAAGTATTCCATCCAGTGACGTGCTCTTATTGTTTAACCATTCATAGACATTTAGGGTGCTCCTATGCTGCCTTGGTCTAGTTAATCCTGCTCTGAGCATCTTTAGCGGTGGAAAAAGATACTCTCAATATATACCCTCCAGACACGCAAGCCTCTCTCTGTTCTCGGGAGAAGTGAAGCTTGTCTCTCCCTCTGGGTTTTTGCACTAATTGTTCCTTTGCCTGGAACATCCTGCTGCTTCCATATCTTCACTCAACCGACCAACCTTTCTCATTCCCAGCCCTCACCTCCAGTGTCTCCAATGAGTGAAGGCTCTGCTGATTCCACTGAAATCACCACCACCACCCTTACCTGCCGCTCATCTGTCATCTCATGCTATTGTCTTCATGACACGTGGCAGCCTCCACAATTAAGCTGTTGGCTGTCTACCTGTTTGTGTTCCATTTCACTCCATTGCAATGTGTCTGCCTTGCTCACTGCCGCCGCCCTCGCACCTGAAGTTTGCATAGCATACAGGAGGCGCACGATGTCGAATGCGTAATTAAGTGAATGACTGTATCTTTTTTAATTTAGCAAATTATTTCGTCAGCATGAATCCCTACGAATGGAATGCCTACAGGGCATTTGTATCCTAGATCCTTGCATACCCAGGAGTGGCTGCTGCCCAGAAAAGCAGCCTGTATTTCCCCCTTGTTTGTTCTAACAAACCGCTGACTCTTCCCTCATGATTTTCTGCTCTGCAGGGATGAAAAGAGTCCTGTTTGCTCTTGCTTCCTTTTCTCAGTGGTACAGCAATGAATCTTGCGCACTCTGTCAGCATCTATGTCTTCTCCATTCCTCAAAGATGCTAAAAAAGATAAATGATGTGGGAGGAAGTCCGAGCCAGGAGTTGCCTAAATGCAATGCAGCTTCCGCCCTCACAGGTCCCCAGGACCTGGGCTCAATGAGCTTTGAAAATGGAGGCAAAGCAGTTAGTTACACAGCCCTGGGCCTCTGCTGGCTTAGAGGCTCTCTTTTGAGGCTCTGATTTGTCCTTTGACTTTGTGTTCTGCTTTTAGAAACATCTAGATGCTGTTATCAGGGGAAATGAAAGAGTAGGAACAGACAATAGCTCATGGGTTTGCTGACATGTATGCTGCAGGAGAGCCTTGTTTTCAGGGGACCTTTGCAGACCATGCCACGGGATTTATGACTCATGGGAAATGGAATGCAAATGTTATGTTGATAGGAAGCCCTTTCCAGGAGTCGTGGGCTGGATTTCAGTAGTTAAAATGGAAATACACATTTACTTTCTTTAAAATATGCAACTTTTCCCCCCTATATGATACTGGACTCTTTTTCCCATTTAAATGACTTAAATTTCTTACTATATATGAAGTCCGCATCATTAAATTAAAAAGATACAGTTTGTCTTCTTACAAGAGTTGTACTTTCTTACTGTAAAGCCCTCAAATTATACTATTGAATTTTTGATGCATATCTTAATCAATTTAAATTATAGGTGTATGAAAGTACTCAAAGGAAAATTCTGTTGCAGCTATGCTTTGGAATGGCGTGCACCTGTTAAAAAAATGAGACAGGTCAATAGTTTATCACACAAAGGGAGTTTTACAATACATTAATTTTTTTTTTTAAAAAGGCTTCTTCCACTGTGTGATCCCACTTGTGAATGATAAAAGGCATACCTCTGGGCAAGTTCTCCCCTAGGGTTGCCACTGGGGGAAATGCAGCACTCTGCTTTCTTGGGGGAGATATCACTGCCGTCCTTTGTTTATATAACTTAGGTTATTTAAGCTTTATTGTGACTCAGTTTCTTTGTCTGTGTAATAAGCATAATAGTACTGACTTCATAGAGCTTTTGTGCAAATTGATGAGCTAATATTTGTAAAGTCCTAGAGGTTCTGTTAAACTTTCATGCATGTATATGTGTGTGAATATGATTGACAGGTTTACCTGAATTCTCGTCATCAGAGAACCCCACACTGTATTCAAAGGCAAGGGTAGTAAATGTCCCATTGTTAACCGGGATTACCCAATAAAAATGGCTGTCAGATGCCAAGTGCATTGGATCGCTGGGATCACAGGACCATTTTGATACTCTTCTTGCTCTTGAGAGTCTAGATTCTTGGTGTTAAGGAACAAGGTGCCTTTAGCAAACATGAACTCTCAAAATTACTCCAAAGCACGTACATGGCCCCAGTTTGCAAATAGGCAACCGGCAGTGGCAAGATGAATAGCTGCATCCATTCAAGTAGCAATTAAGACCCATTGCTGTGTTTTGTCATGCTAATGATAGTAGCGGATGCTTACCTGGCAATTACTGAGCCCCCAGCACAGGTGAAGCAGCTTATGTATGTTATCTCCTGGAATCATCACAGAAGCCCATTGAGGCAGGGACTGTTATTATCCACATTTTACAGATGAGGAAATTGAGGCACAGAGTGGTTAATCCCCTCAAACCTGCACAGTTGGTATGCGGTAGAGCCAGGAATGGAACCACTGCCCTGTGCTGCCTGTTAGGAATGACACGTGCAAAGGCAAGAAGTACATCATCCGCCTGGGGAGTACCCTCGTCTTAGAGTGGTGAGCGTGCTTCATGTACACACATTCTGCAGACATGAGCTGTTTGGGGAGAGAGGAACACAGCTGGAGCCCGAGTGCGGGCTGCACCCTCTGTTCTGCTCATGAAACCCTGGAAGGGGAGCAAGATGGAAGGCAAGAAGGGGTCATGTCCTCAGGGACCTCCCTTCACCTGTGCCTCTCCGAACTCAGTGAGATACGAGTATTTAACTAAACACAGGACAACTACAGACAGTCCTCGGCTTACGATGGTTTGACTTAAAGTTTCTTTTACTGTACAATGGTGCAAAAGCAGTACACATTCGGTAGAGACCATACTTTGAGCAGCCATACAACCATTTTGTTTTTCACTTTAAGTACAGTATCCCATACATTTCATGAGCTATTCAAGACTTTATTATAAAATAGGTTTTATGGTGGATGATTTTGCCCACCTGTAGGAAAATGTAAGTGTTCTGAGCTTGCGTAAGGCAAGCTAGGCTGAGCTGTGATGTTCCGTAGGTTAGGTGTATCAAGTGCATTTCTGACTTCTGATATTTTCCCCTATCATGGGTGTAACAGGAGGTAGCCCTATTGTAAGTCGAGTGGCATCTGTATTTCCCTGATTCTCAGTAATATGTTCCAGTGCCATGTTAGATGAGCTGAAAGAATTTCTATCTCCAATGTGGTGCATAAATATGGCTGAAAAAAAGCACCTTCCCCACTTTCTCAAAAGAATCCTGGGGAGGCACAGTGGCCCACGCCTGTAATCCCAGCATTTTGGGAGGCCGAGGCAGGCAGATCACGAGGCCAGGAGTTTGAGATCAGCCTGGCCAACACGGTGAAACCCAGTCTGTACTAAAAATACAAAAATTAGCCAGGTGTGGTGGCATGTGCCTGTAATCCCAGCTACTCGGGAGGCTGAGGCAGGACAATCGCTTGAACCCAGGAGTCAGAGGTTGCAGTGAGCCGAGATTGTGCCACTGCACTCCAGCCTGAGTGACAGAGAAAGATCTGATCTCAAAAAAAAAAAAAAAAAACAACCAAAAAAACCCACAAAGAATCTCATGGGCCCTATGCAGTGGCTCACACCTTTATTTCTAGCATTTTGGGAAGTGGGAGGATTGCTTGAGCCCAGGAGTTCGAGACCAGCTTCAGCAACAAATCAAGACCCCCATCTCCACAAAAATTAAAAATAAAAGAACGTTCGTCGGGTGTGGTGGCACGAGCTTTGGTCATACCACTGCATCCTAGCCTCAGCGACACAGCAAGACCTTGTCCCAGGGGAAAAAAAATCCCAGTCTGAGTATGTACAATCCTAACTCATAAGCAGATCCTTAGTTTTCTGCTTCCCTGGACAACTATGTGAGTCCTTCACAAGTTTGAATGTTTTACCCCCTGGATAAACACCCCTTAATAGATTCAAAAATCCTTACCAGTTAAGACCTCTTTCAAATGCCTGTTGCCAGCACTTGTTTTTAATAGCCTTCCAAGGATTGGCTAACTTACAAGGTAATTCTTCCCCAAGACTCTCTTTTCCTGAGAGTCAGGGGGCTTTTATCCGTCTCTTCAACAAGGCTGCTTTGGAGGGCAGTATTAGGCATGTAGGTATGCAAGAAAGCCTGACCTTCTGACATGTCAGGGACTGATACGGTTTGGCTGTGTACCCACCCAAGTCTTATCTTGAATTGTAGCTCCCGTAATTCCTCCGTGTCATGAGAGGGACCAGGTGGAGATAATTGAATCATGGGGGCAGGTTTTTCCCATACTGTTCTTGTGGTGGTGAATAAGTCTCATGAGATCTGACGATTTTATAAGGGGTTTCGCCTTACACTTGGCTCTCATTCTCTCTTGCCTGCTGCCATGTAAGACATGACTTTTGCCTTCTGCCATGATTGTGAGGCCTCCCCAGCCATGTGGAACTGTGAGTCGTTCAACCTCTTTTTCTTTATAAATTAGCCAGTCTCAGGTATGTCTTTATTAGCAGTTTGAGAACAGACTAATACCGGGACCTAGGGGAGGGGGCACCAACTTCAGGCTAATGAGTACATCCCTTCCCTCCCTACAGTGAAGCTCTTATAAAATGATGAAATCTTCTCTTCAAACTGTGAGTCTGTAAGCATTTTCTCCACCATGGCCACAACTGAACAGGCTGGCCTACATGCACCAATCCTACTGTACTTGATGTGGGCTCGAGGAGCTTTTCAAGGATAATTGGAAACAAATGTGATTTTCTCCTTAGCTGGTACCTTTAGAACTGAACTGCCAACATCAGGTGCAATCCCACAGTATCCTAAAAGTTCGTTGAAAATCCACGATATATCTGTATCACCTGATGTATGTAAGAATGCTTTTGGCTAAAAATAGCAGAAAGCCCAATTTATTTGTGGCTTGAGTAAACAGCAGTGCATTTTTCTAACTTAACAAGAAGTCTGGAGGGAGGCTGTTGCCAGCATCGGCAGAGCTGCTGACAGGGCCATCAGGCTCCCCAGCACTGTCCCTGTTTCGCCTCTACCATCTTTCATGTTAATTTCCTTCTCATCCTGTCATTGGGAGGTCTTGAACTGATGATGTATAACTCAGCCCCGTTCCAGGCAGAAGAAAGAGGAAGAGGTGATTCTGTTTTCAATTCTTTTGTACATATACCTAGAAGTAGAACTCCTAAATCATATATTAATTCTACTTTTAATTTTTTAAGGATGGTTCCTTAAATTTTTAAGGAACCGTCCTTAAAAAATTAAAAACCACATTCTCCTCACCACAATGAGATAACTGTCACCTTACACCCATTACGATGGCCACTGTCAAGAAAAGAGAACATGTGATGACAGCAGAAACCTTGCATAATGTTGATGGGAATGTAAAATTTACAGCTGCTATGGAAACAATATGGCATTTCCTTAAAAAATTAAAAGTAGAATCAATATATGATCTAGCAATTCTACTTCTAGCTATATATACAAAAGAATTTAAAACAGAATCTCAAAGAGAAATTTGTGCACCTTTATTTTATAGCAGTATTACTCACTGATATGGTTTGGCTGTGTTCCCAAAGAAATCTCTTCATGAACTATAGCTCCCACAATTCTGACATGTCATGGGAGGGACCAGGTAGGAGGTAACTGAATCATGGTGATGGGTCTTTCCCATGCTGTTCTCATGATAGTGAATAAGTCTTACAAGATCTGATGCTTTTATAAAGGGAAGTTTTTCTGCACAAGTTCTGTTCACTTGTCTGCTGCCATGTGAGATGTGCCTTTGCTCCTCCTTGCCTTCTGCCATGACTGTGAGGCCTCCCCAGCCACGTGGAAGTGTGAGTTCATTAAACCTCTTTTTCCTTGTGAATTACCAAGTCTTGGTAAATCTTTATGTCTTTATCAGCAGCGTGAAAACAGACTACTACACTCACAATAGCCAAGAGGTGGGAGCAACTCAAGTATCCATTGATGGATGAATGGATAAAGTGTGGCATGTCCACATAGTGGAATATAATTTAGCCTTAAAAACAAAAACTCTGACACATGCTACAACATGGATGATCATGGAGGGCATTATGCTAAGTGAGAAAAGCCATTCATGACAAGACAAATGCTGTATGATCTCAGCCATTTGAGACTCCTGGAGAGATCAAATGCATGGAGATGGAAGTAGAGTGATGGTTGTCAGGGGCTGAGGGGACATGGGGAATAGGATTTGTTTTTTACTGAGGACAGTTTCAGTTTCCGAAGATGAAAAGAGTTCTGGGGGTGGGTGATGGTGATGGTTACACAGCAATATGAATATACTGTAGGGAAAGCTGTGGATCACCTCTACCCATCTTAGTTCTTAACTGGGATCTTCAGCTGGGTCTAGGAGCCAAATTAACACGAGACAGATTAACTGGAGAAAAGCATGCATGTTTTATTAATTATAGATGTACAGGTACATGGGAACCCTCACAAGAGAGTGAAGGCCCAAAGAAACAGCCAAAGCAGAAAGCTTTTATGCTTTTCAGAAAAAGAACAATACATTTTCTGGAGCAATTGATACAGGGCAGCTTCTTGGCTTCTCCTGGAAAGTAATTCAAGGTGGTAGGATTAAACAGCCTCATTGAGGCGGCAGCTGGGTAACAGCTCTGTGACTGCTTCTGCAGAGCAGGGCTACTCCACGGGCAGTGTACAGAGAGCAACAGCCCAGGGGCGGCTGTGCAGTCATATTTATACCCACTTTCAATGATATGCTAGTTAGAGGGCAAGCTAATCTGTATTAGCTGGAAAATGGGTGGTAACTTCCGGGTGTTGCCATGGCAATACTAAACTGTCATGGTACTGGTGGGCGTCTCTTATGGAGCTGGGCTTCCTGCACCTCTTTCAGGTTTTATTCAGTCTGGAGTCCTGCCTGCCTCCTACCTCACAAAGGCAACACAGAGGGGCCTGGGCTAGGGATAGTGACCTTCAGGAGAGTCACTAGGAGGTGCATAGAGGGGGTATAAGAGCTCATAAAGGATAAGGGTTACTCAGTATATTTATACAGACCCATTGCAGACCCAATTCCCAGCCACTGGAGACAAGCATTATCTCCCTGTGTTGATACAGGGAAGATAGCTCTCCCTCAGGAATTTTTGTGGCTTGCTATAGGTAAGAAAGGGCAGCTCAAATAGCCCTTTTTATAACTTCTGCTTCTTTAAGTGCTTTCAGCTCAAAAATATTTGTGTCAGAGAGGCATATTTTGGGGTGATAGATTCTGATTTCCTTCAGTACTTAACACTATTAGACTATGCAAGAAATGAGGAAGATAGTAAATGTTATGGTATGTGTATTTTAACACATTTCAAAATTTCAAAGAACACAGGAGTGAAAAGTTACACGCACATAGAATTCTCCTGAAAAGGCTTTACCATTTTATTGTGGGGA
The DNA here is from genome assembly GCF_000001405.40 of Homo sapiens. NCBI lineage: Eukaryota > Metazoa > Chordata > Mammalia > Primates > Hominidae > Homo > Homo sapiens. Next base: position 129,766,291 of record NC_000012.12, on the reverse strand, counting down.
GGGAATGGATTCTAGTGAGTATAAGTCAGGGCTAATCTCTAAGTAGTAGTAGCTAAAAACAAGTAAGGCTTAATTTTGGCTCATGCTTCATGTCCATCATGGGTCAGCAGGGAGCTTCTGGTCCTGGCAGTCAGTAGGGGTCCAGGAAGCAGCCACCCCATTTCAACTTTCCTGGACAATGTGTAGGAAGGAATAGAAGAAGGCAGCATTGTGCAGAAATGTTTAACTTTCCACCCAGAATCACACAGGGCACTTCTGCCTCCGCCTCATTGTCCAGAACAAGTCCAAGGGCGCCACCCATCCACAAGGAAATCAGGAAGTGCAGTTCTACCATGTTCCCAGAAGGAACAGAAAGCAGACACTGGTGAGCAGAACAGCCTACTGCAGAGCCCTTCCTAGCACGTGCCGCTTCACAGCTCATCGGCCATGTTAAAAGAAGATCTTCAAAGAAGGGCAAAATCATGACTCTCCTGTGGATATCAAAATGAACATGGTTTAAAGTTTATTTAACTCATGAGGATACCAAACAGATGTTATAACCAGGACAAAAGAGAATCCAAAGAACAGGTACAAGTATAGATGGGTGATATTGAAACACATGTAAAAAGGAAGCACACAAGGGTATCCACAAAAGGAGATGGGAAGAGGGAATTTGGTTTAATCTCTTGTGGACAGAACAGAATTTGAATTTCTTTTTTTTTTCTGGGTCTTTTTTTTTTTTTTGGGAGATGCAATTTCACTCTTGTTGCCCAGGCTGGAATGCGATGGCGCAATATCAGCTCACTGCAACCTCCACCTCCTGGATTCAAGCGATTCTCCTGCCTCAGCCTCCTGAGTAGCTGGGATTACAGGCATGCACCACCATGCCTGGCAAATTTTGTGTTTTTAGTAGAGATGGGGTTTCTCCATGTTGGTCAGGCTGGTCTCAAACTCTCAACCTCAGGTGATCTGCCTCCCTTGGCCTCTCAAAGTTCTGGGATTACAGGCATGAGCCACCGCACCTGACCCAGAATTTGAATTTCTGTAGACAAATTATTTGCATTGCTATAAATTACCTACAACTTTCAGAGTTGTAGAATTGCCTCCACAGAATCAGATAACTGAAGGATGCCCTCTAGAGTCTAGACAATCCACACTTTTCCACTGAAGCACAAATATTTTCCTACAGCCCACCTTTAGATAATCACAGGCCAAGAGGGATGCAATCCTCATGATTGGATTAGAGCAATGATTTGATTCTAGGGCTCCTGGAGGGCTAGCTGCTGCCTGACAAAGACTGTATTTCCTCACTGCCTGAACAAATAGGGCATTTTTCTTCAGGACATAAGTGGGGTGTTTTCTTTTTCTTTTTGAGACAGGGTCTTGCTGTGGCCCCCAGGCTGGAGTGTGATGGTGTGATCACAGCTCACTGCAGCCTCAACCTCCCAGGCTCAAGCGATCCTCCTACCTCAACCTCCTGAGTAGCTGGGACTATATGCTTGTATCACCACACCAGCTAATTTTTTAATTTGTTTGTAGAGATAGGAGCTCACTTTGTTTCCCAGGCTGGTCTTGAACTCCTGGGCTCAAGAAATCCTCCTACCTCGACCTCCTAAAGTGCTGGGAATACAGGTATAACCTACTGTGCCCAGGCAGGGTTGGTTATTAGGAGGCAATGAACAGAGTTTTCTAATCACATAAACACACACACACACACATACAAACACACATACAAATACACATGCACGTGCACACACACGTAATAGCATTTTTTTTTAACAAGGAATGTGATATTGATTTCTCAGAAACTGGTTGTTACTAAAATCTCTATAACCTTTTTGTGTCCAATGAAAAGGTTACCAGAAAGAAAAGCCTGTAATTTTTGAAGCTCTTTTACAATTATTTTCCTGTTGTGCTGAAGTAATTTTGCTTTCCACCTTTCTTAACCCTACTATAATATTGTCATTTGAGTTTTGGGTGGAAGTCTAGGAAGACGTCCTATATTTTCACTTTTTCCTTCTTCCTTTCCTATGCTGAAGGGGTATCAACACAAATTGTAATTATATATGTCACACACTTCTTATGAGGCAAGAGAAAGAAAAATTAATATGATGACATTACCACAGCTTTGTGTTTCTAAAAGCAGCAATGTTGTTACCAAGTGATGGGCTTGCTACCTGATGACGCCATTATGGTGCAAGCTTTTGAGAAAAGCAAAGGCTTTACTGAAAGGTTAACTGGCAAGGAGATATGAGGCAATACTCAAAGCTGGGGCATGGGGGCAGGTTCTCTAGGCAGAGGGTAACCATGAGAAAGGTAGGAAAATGCAACGAGGTGTGATCTGATTAAATCATGCCAAGAGGCTCTGCGTATCCTTGGTTCTAAAGTTCCTACTGCAATGAAACAGGGCACCTCTCGATTCTTAATTTGGTTCCTGTTCCTTTACCTGAGCACTTACGTTCCACCTGCGGCTGACTTTTTCATTCATGCCAGCTCTGAGGTCATGAATTGGGCACACTTGCTTCATCTGGGCACACTCAGTTTACAGGACCTGCAGCCTTGGGGGTCCATGGTGACTGTAAAGCAACTCATCATTGAACCCCATTGGACTGAGTCTGTAGTTATAAAGTCATTGGGAAAACTTTTCTGGGCAGTCAAACGTCTCAAAACCCAGAAACAGTAGCAAAAAAATACTAACAGAACATGCTTTCAAAGAAAGTGCCATCAACTCACATAACCTCTGGGACCAGTTACCCATGGAGTGAAGCAAGCTGGTATGCGGACAGGTAGGCCTTATAGCTCAGTATCAGTCAATTATTGGCGTTCCAAGTGCCAAACCTAAAGCTGCTGATATTTTACTATTTCAGAAAAAAAAAAAAAGCCAGAAATCTAGATCCTCACTGGAAATTTCTCAAGTTTTAAAAGTTGAGTTCTTGGTCGGGCATGGTGGCACATGCCCGTAACCCCAGCACTTTGGAAGACCGAGGCAGGAAGATAGCTTGAGCCCAGGAGTTTGAGACCAGCCTGGGAAACATGAGGAAACCCCATCTCTACAAGAAATACAAATATTAGCCAGGCATAATGACACGCATCTGTAGTCCCAGCTATTCGGGAGACCGAGATGGGAGGATCAGCTGAGCCCAGGAGGTCAAGGCTGCAATGAGCTGAGATTGCATCACTGCACTCCAGCCTGGACCACAGAGTGAGACCCTGTCTCAGGGAAAAACAACAACAACAAAAAGCTAAAGATGGCCAGTTTACACTCTCTGATTTAAGAACTAGGAGGCGTATTTCTCCTTTTACATGCAAATATTAGAAAAGGTGCCGTGGAGCGCTGAGCTAGTGGGCTGTTGATTCCATCTGCATAGCATGTTTCTTTTTGTACATTTCAAGCAGGGTGTAGGAAGAACAACAACTGCAGAGTTCAATAGCTGCTTTCCACCCACCCTAGCGAGTTTGCACGGGTGGTACAAAACATATTAGACAGCTTTTTCAGCTCCTCCGTGCATAGAACTGTTATAGTGATAACAGTTGCTTTCAGTTCATCTCCCCAAACAAGGATAAACCCTTTGATTTGTACAATATATGTTTAAAGGCTCTAGAAACAGACTGCCTGGCTCCAGTGAACCGGGCCAGGTTCCATGTCAGGAGAAGTTATGCGTGACAGAAAGCCCAAGGGTTTGCAGCTTTGATGACACATCTCCAGCCATTAGCACTGTCTGTTTCCCCTCCGTGCTTATGAAGGCAGAACACTAATGCTGCCCTTAAAATGAGTCTACCTGCCTGAGACTTCAGAAGGGTGAAAAGAAGACAGAGCAAAACACCTACACAGAACAGGGATTTGAAACATCATGGGAATGATGGTCTGCACACGGATGGGCTCGCTGCGGTAATAGTGTCTTGTTCTGGGATTTAAAAAAACAAATCTTTTTGGAAAAGTATCAGTTGATTTTTTTTAAAAAATTCAATCTGCCCATCTTAACCAAGCAGAGAGTGGCAGCTCATGTTCCCATTGGGACTAGGAAATTAGTTTTGAAATACTTTAGTCAATCACATATCCATCCCTTCCCTCAGCTAGGATGTTGTGTTTGCAAATAACAGAATAGGCAGCTCAAATCGGTTTAGACAGTAGAAAAAAATGGACACACATAATTGCAACATTTAGAGCTCTTTTGGCATCAGGAACAGATTGATCCAGGGGCTTAAGTGTGCAGTTGGAGCCCCAGGTTCCCTTTTCTAATTGTCCTAGTCTTCTTCTTCATGTCTCATCTTTATCTGCAGGCTGGAGTTTCTCATGACAGAAAAATTGCAGTGCTGATTCCAGGCCCGAGGTGTTGTGAGCACTTTAATCCAGTATTTGAATATAACATCCTGACATTCACTCTCCTAGGACCCATTTTGGCCATGTGCTTACTTGCGTGCCAGTTGCTGCTGGTCAGGAGAATTAAACAATCTGGTGACTTGGCTGAGATCTTGCAGGCTCATTTCTGGGGTAGGGATTTGTGGAGGCAGCTTCCTAGGAACCTGTTGTAGCTTCCAACAGAAGTTGGAAGTTAAAAGGGGATAGAGGCTTATTGGAGGGCTTGTTGGGAGTTATCGTAGCCCAAATCCCCTGTGAAAGCAGACCGCGTGGGAATACTTACATGTTATACTTTATTGTGGAAGGGAGGGGAGCTGTGGCCAACCGCGGAGAACCGAGAGAGAGCAGAAGAGTGACAGGGAACAGGGAAGTGAGTGGGAAGCGTTGTCTGCGAAGTTGCCTGACCTTCGCCAGAAAACACAGCAGTGCCTTGTTCACGTGCTTGTGTCTTGAGAGGCCCTCAGAGGCCTGGGAGGATGGGAATGGCTCGTTCTGCCAACTCCTTCCTGACTCCCGAGTATCACTAGTTCATAGCTCTGTGGGCAGTGACTTCTCTGCAGTTCCAGGCGCTTAGTGGCCCTTTGGGGGCAGCCAGGTGGGAGGTCAGATCCATCGTGGTGCTGCACCCGCCTCCAGAAGTGTGCAGGAACCGTGCCCACCGTCTTTCATCATGGTGGTCCAGCCCTAGAGTCCATCCTGGGGTCTAAGATGGGGGCTGGTGATGGTGACCGAGACATTGAACCAACAGTCAAGGCTTACAGATCCAAGTGACTCTGGGGATGAGGAGGATGACACTGGAACGAGGTCCTTTATGGGAGGCAACCAAACCAGCGTTTACCACATTTCTGATCTCTCCAGTTCCTCCCGCATCCATTGTCTGCTGCTGAATGAAAACCCCGCCTGTTTTTTTTTTCTTTTCCCCACTAACACTAAATCAGTATGTGTAGAACTTATAAAGAAACAGTTGTGTCCTTTGCAGGGACATGGATGAAGCTGGAAACCATCATTCTCAGCAAACTAACACAGGAACAGAAAACCAAACACCACATGTTCTGACCCATAAGTGGGAGTTGAACAATGAGAACACACGGACACACGGAGGGGAACATCACACACGGGGCCTGTTGGGGGTTGCAGAGAAAGGGGATGGAGAGCATTAGGACAAATTCCTAATGCATGCAGGGCTTAAAACCTAGAGGAGGGGTTGATGGGTGCAGCACACCACCATGGCACATGTATACCTATGTAGCAAACCTGCACATTCTGCACATGTATCCCAGAACTTAAAAAAAGAAAAAAAAAAAAAGTCCGGGCGCAGTGACTCATGCCTGTAATCCCAGTACTTCAGGAGGCTTGAGGCAGGCGGATCCGGAACTCAGGAGATCGAGACTATCCTGGCTAACAGGATACCCCATCTCTGCTAAAAATACAAAAATCAGCCGGGCGTGGAGGCGGGCGCCTGTAGTGGAGGCGGGGGCCTGTAGTCCCAGCTACTCAGGAGGCTGAGGAAGGAGAGTGGCGTGAACCCGGGAGGCGGAGCTTGCAGTGAGCCGAGATCGCGCCACTGCACTCTAGCCTGGGCAAAAGAGCGAGACTCCATCTCAAAAAAAAAAAAAAAAAAAAAAAAAAGAAAGTGGCTTACATCATTTCTGTCTGTTGCACTAAGACTTAAGTCATATAACATCATTCAGGTTTCAGGGGATACTGGGAAAGGCAGACTTCCCGTGTGTTCAAAAAGAGGAGATGGGCTGGGCACAGTGGCTCATGCCTGTAATCTCAGCACTTTGGGAGGCCAAGGCAGAAGGATTGCTTGAGCCCAGGAGTTCGAGGCCAGCCTGGAAAGCATAGCGAGACTCCATCTCTACAATAAAATTTAAAAAATTAGCCAGGTGTGATGGCAAACACCTGTCGCCCCAACTTCTTAGGAGGCTGAGGCAGAGGATTGCTTGAATCCAGGAATTAGAGGCTGCAGTGAGCTATGATTGCACCACTGTACTCCAGTCTGGGCAACAGAGCAAGACCCTGTCTCAAAAAAAAAAGGCAAATAAGAAGGCATCCACGGCCCACAGCACCACCAAATATTTAAATGTCTTGAGAATCTGATTTTCATGGCTTATCTTGTATTCTCCCACTGCTCTAGAAAACCTATAGTTTCATGGTTTAGGAAAATGACTTTGCTTCTAGTGTTTATTGTTAATAATATGTTGGTAACACAGCTGTATACATCAACATTTGTCTATCTCTGATTTTTCCTTTAGGATCTATTTAGGATAGATTCCTAGATGTAGAATGGATACAAATAATTGCTAAAATATATTGAATGATGGAATATGTCTGGCACTGGCACTGGGACTTTTACCTACTCTCTCATGTAATGAGCAAGGCGTTGGAATAAACTCTCTTTTACAGAGAAGCAAACTGAAGCTTGAGCAGTGAACGAACCTGCCTATCTTCCCATGGTGACTAAGTGCCTGATCTAGCGTTAGCATTGTAGTGCCACGGGAGTAAGGCTTCCTTCCGTTCTCAACTGCTAGTTCAAAGGGCCTTTGGATCTTAGAGCCGATTTCTCTCATAAAAGTTGTCCTAATTTACGCTCTTATCAACAGCATGTAAAAATGACTGAAGGCCAAACCCTAACACATTGTTTTTCTTAATTTTGTCCAAATTGGTAGTCACAATGTAGTAACAGAGCTTGGTGGCTAAGAAATTTTAAACACGTGACCCGGCGTGGTGGCTCACGCCTATAATCCCAGCACTTTGGGAGGCTGAGGTAGGTGGATCACCTGAGGTCAGGAGTTTGAGACCAGCCTGGCCAACATGGTGAAACCCTGTCTCTACTAAAAATACAAAAATTAGCCAGGCATGATGATGCACACCTGTAATCCCAGCTACTGGGGAGACTGAAGTAGGAGAATCACTTGAACCTGGGAGGCAGAGGTTGCAGTGAGCTGAGATTGCGCCACTGCACTCCAGCCTGGGAGACAAGAGTGAAACTCCATCTAAAAAAAAAAAAAAAGAAAGAAAGAAAGAAATTAAACACACACCACAAAGGATTTATTGCCTTTCAATTGATTCAGTTTGTACCTCTATAAAATTACTAGATCACCTCAATAGATTTGAGGCTAGGACATTATACAGTATTTCTCTGAGCTTCCAAAATATGTTTTCCAAAAACAATAACTATGAGCAGAATTTTCCAAGGTACTGAAATTTTAATACTCCTAATTCTGGAGCCCTTTAGAAAATATTTAGGTTGGAAGTATTTTAAACAAGTACAGAAGCTGCCAAATTTCATATCTGTTATTAAAGGAATTGGCACTACCTATGATATGTGTTAGATACATTCATTCACTTTCTTATACAAGAAGTGTATACTAGGAGCATATATTACCAGGCACTTTGGAATACTCTTGGGAATAGGAGAATAAAACAGGTGTGACTTCTCATGGATTGTTTATTCTTGTGTTGAAAACAACAGACAACATGCTAGAAGGGTTCACATTAATAATTAATTTTAATTTTATTAAGGAGGAATTGTGAGAGCTTACAGCATGAAATCTGCTATAATCCGGATAAGAGAGCATTTCCCTGAGTAACTTACACTTAAGTGGAATCATAAAGAATAAGTAGGAATTATTCGAGTTGAAGAGGAAGAAATATCTTCATGCCAGGCAGAGGGAATAACATAGGCAAAAGTTTTGAGGCAGGAGGAAGAGTGGTGTCACTTAAAAAAAATAAAATAAAAGTGGGCCAGGCGTGGTGGCTCACACCTGTAATCCCAGCACTTTGGGAAGCCGAGGCAGGAGGATCACCTGAGGTCGGGAGTTCGAGACCAGCCTGGCCAACATGGTGAAACCCTGTCTCTACTAAAAATACAAAATAATTAGCCAAGCATGGTGGCAGGCACCTGTAATCCCATCTACTTGGGAGGCTGAGGCAGAAGAATCACTTGAACCCAGGAGGCGGAGGTTGCAGTGAGCCGAGACCATGCCATTGCACTCCAGCCTGGGCAACAGAGTGAAACTTTGTCTCAAAAAAATAAAATAAAATAAAACAAAAATAAAGCCAGTATGGCAGACATAGAGAGGGTAGAGCTGAGGGGCAGGTCAGCAAGGTTCTGGGTGGACACATTTTGGATTTTTTCCTAAGCTGTGGGATCCTGTTGAAGGCTTTCCAGCCAAGTGGAGACATGATTATATTTGCATTAAACACACAAAACATTGCTCTGGCTGTATCGAGTAGTTTTAAGGAAGGACCTCAGGAAACCCTTTTGGAGGTGGCTGCTGTAGGGTGGCAGCTCTGGAGGAAGTCATGAGGATTTGTCCAGATTTCCACCCTTTTCTAAGAAAATACTGGAGAAGAAGTAGGTGGGAGTGGAAAGATCATGGGGCTGGCTTTGGGCACGTGAAGTTTGGGAAGTTATCAAGACGCCCAAATGGAGCTGGTGTGTAGGCAGTGAGATGCAAGGGTCTGGAGCTCGATGGCAGAAGTTTGGCTGAGGATAGGAATTTTTGAGTAATTGGCATATAGATGGTATTTGAAACCACAGATACGCAGTCAGAAAAACAAAATTGGCAACCTTTAAGCAATGACCCCTCTGCAAATACATGAGATTAAGGAGGGGAAAAAAAGACATCTCATAATGGGTTATTCTTTAATAGCAGAATTCCATCATCCCACAAGCATTAGTAATTTCTAAAATAATGACAGGGTCTGCGAGCTGGTAAACTGGGGCAGCATTTAAAGCTGTTTTTTGATATGAAAACTTTAAGACATGCTTTATAGTTATAAAAGATGAATAACCAAATTGGAGAGCATTCTTCTTATTTTTCCTGTGACCCCAACTTCAGCCTGTATTCCTTTTCATAATTATTGCAAAAGATGATGTTCCCTTTCTGTTTGTTTGTAACCCCCAAGTATCTGCCATGACAGGACCTAGCATCTATTAAGGAATAGCATTGGTTGGAAAGGTGGCATGGGAAGGCTAACAGGAAGAGGGAGGGAGACAAACCTGGGGAGGGAGAGAGACTCTGACATCCACCAGAAAAGGGAACATCAGGGCGCAACCTTCCACAGCCTGAAGGCAAGCAAGCAAGGGTTGCAGAAAGCGGAATGCTGGAGCGGCATGGACAGTTGTGCTGCATAGCCAGGCAGGTGGTGAACAAGCTAGGTTTCAATTATTCTGAAACTCAATAGAATTCTTCTTTAGAGAATTGGTTCGCTTTTCTTTTTAAAATTGTAATTTTAATTCTGGTAAAATATACATCCCACATAATTTACCACCTTAACTAATTCTAAGTGTACAGTTCAGTGGCATTTGGCATGTTCACATACGTTGTGCAGCCATCACCCTTATCCATCTCCAGAACTCTTGCATCCTCCGAAGCTGCAGCTCTGCACCCCTTAAACATAAACTCCCTGTTTACGACTTCCCCAGCCCTTGACAGCTGCCATGCTACTTTCTGTCTGCATAAATTTGATTAAAGATCTCTTATAAGTGGAATCATACAATATTTGTCCTTCGTGACTGGCTTGTTTCACTTAGCGTAGTGTCCCCAAGGGTCATTCATGTTATAGTGTGTGTCAAAATTTCCTTCCTTTTTAAAGTTAAATAATATTCCATGGTGTGGATATGCCTGATTCAGAGTTTGTTTTTCTCTTCTTTATTATGGTAAGGACATTTAACCCACTTAATAAATTCTTAAGTGTACAGTATGGTATTATGAACTCTAGGCACAATGTCTTCCAGCAGAAGACCCCCGGAACCTACACATTTTGCATAGCTGAAACGTTAAACTTGTTGAACAGCAGTGTCTCATTTCCACTACCTCTATCCCCTGGCTCCCACTATTCTACTCTTCGCCTCCCTGAGTCTGACCAGCTTAGAGACCTCCTATGAAAAGAATCATACAGCATTTGTCCACCTCATTATCCTGGTGAAATAGGCCTGTCACAGGACAAACAGGGCACTTGTTCTTGATTTTATTCAGATTTGTGTATTATGGACATTTTTGGGTTCTATGTGAGCTCAACTACACTGGGGAATTTTCCCCACGTGTGTTGGAGATAGGGTGGGCATGACCAGAATGTGAGAAAGTTTGACTCTAAGACGATAGATGGGGCATTGGTGAAAGGTAGGTTTTACCGGTGCTTGGGACAGGAATGGGTGGAGGTGGAGAGAGATTTCCTCATCTGCTTTACCTTCTCTGAAACAGAGTATGCTCTCTAAAGTCTAGCCCATTCTCTTCCCTATCTTTCCAGATTCAAATTAATAAACTAATGACAGGGTGCTAGAGAAACAGTCTACTTTCTTTCTTCACCTAATAATAGACAAAAGGGGCATAAAAAGATAACTAGTGCCTAGAGACCAGCTATGAGTTTTGGTGGCACCAATTTGCTTTGTTTGCCTCTGAAACCACCAGACCCTGATGAGCGATCGGGTCACAGGGGGCTCCCACTCCCAGGACCCAGATCACCTCTGATAGTCTAAGGGCAGCCATTCCAGCTGCTGTCCATATAATGCACTAATCCAGCAACCTATCCCCCTTGTAGTGTCAAAGCATACTACTCGAAAGTGTAATAGCACACTTTTCGTAAAAATAGAATATCAGTATGTGTTAAAGATTTTATGCACCTTATTCATTAATGAGAGAACCAGAGAGATGGTAAGACTGGCTCAAAAAACCTTTGGAGAGGTAGATACTTATAAGCAATTTGGAAAAGGAATATGATACTGATCTTGCTAAATTAGCTGCAACACTAGTTAATGTCCATTTGGGCAAAAAGCCATAGTTACAAGTTAGCATGTGGCTTCACTGTGTGTGAACTCCAATCCAGTGGCAAATAGCAAAGTCAAACACAGGTGCCTTTCTCCTAGATAATGAAATAATCCTTGGGGGAGCCTAAGAAACAATAACATTGAAAGGACAGGAGTTACCAACTGCTTTGATTCCAAGTTTTGGAAAATTTTTTTATATTATTGCTATAGGAAAATGCCTAGATGTCACCGTGTGGTAGTGGTGACAAACGTGGTGGCCTTTTCCAAACCCATTTCTGCTTGACTTTCTAAAGATAACACAAGATGCCTCCAGTCCCTATGTAAGTGTAAGTTGAAATGTTTTTCTATTTTAGTCTCTGAGTCTTTGTCTAGACTGTGTGGTATCAAAGGCAAAATCGCTGTCTCTTTGGTCTTTCTTTTAACTGCCTTAATGTAATGAATGTGATTTTTCAGGCTCCTTAAGTAAAAAGCACTTTGGTTTTAAACTTAATCTTTAGAATTTTATGGCCATCCCTTTTTCTCTGTAAATGAGTCTAAATTTCAGGTCAAGGGAAGGTGTCTTCTCCTCTGCCCTCTACTGTGTCCCGCCTGATCTCAGCCATGACTAACCTTTCCATGTTGACATCATCCAAGAACCCCATCTTCTTGTCTGGTCCCTGGCTGTGTGGTCCAGACCTCATTCTATCAGTCACAACCTGGATTCTTTCAGAGCATGAACTCTTTTGGTAACAGCTCTCCTGTTCTTCCTTGGGGTCATGAGATTCTGAGTGTTGTTGCCTTAGCTTCTCAAAGTTCCAGACTTAGCATCCAGACATGTCAACTCTCTGATTGTCTTGCTATGCTGGACTGGGGGAACTCTGATCACTTTTGATGCCTAAGATTCTGCATATGAATTTATGGCATATATTCTTTCTGCTTTGGACCTGGATATCTGATAGGGATTCTGTTTCTTCTCTGTCCAACTTGCCTTGGAGGGAGCTTTAAGGTCAGGCGGGGTGAAGAATCCTTCTCAGAAGCTGTTGCCAGCACCTACTTTTCCCGCTCTTTTCTTCATATCTCTTCTTCTTCTTCAAACCAGAGAATTAATCTCTAAGACTTGGGATAATGCCTGTATTCTCTGAAATCTATTGCATAGGGCTGGATGGACCTTGGTGTTTAAAACTCAAAAGCCAAAGTTGCTGTTTATTCTTCACACCTATGCTAGAACATAAAGGGGAATTTGACGGCTGGAGGTTATCAGGCTCTAGTGGAGGAATAATAGGGGAAGACATCAGGAAAAGGAATGAAGCGAAAGGTTATGACAAAGATGAGAAAGAATTATAGGGGGAAAAATGAAGTAATACTTGAAAATATTTTCCCAGCACGGTTAGCAGGGTGCCCTGCATGCATAGAGATTCCTGTCCTGTAGAGTCATCAGGTGGCAAATGTGTCTTGCATAATAGGAAACACGCAAAAAATGTACCATTTTAATTTCCTTTTGTTGAGATTGACGGATTTTAAGTGTTTCATTTCCAGTACTTGCTGAATATCGTGTGATTGTGTATGAGTGTGTATGTCTTTTTTCAATTAAGTTGTCAGTCTACCCTTATTTTTAGGGGATAAGAAAAGCATTTTAAATTATTTTAAATTGTTTGAATAAGTGTGCTCACTGATTTGTGAAAGTCCAGGATTGGGGCTGCAGCGTTTTTCCTGGAATCTTTTTGTGATTTGGAGAACGTTAGGAAGACTCGTACAAAACAATTCTTGCTTTAATCAATTAGATTAAGTTTCAAGAAAAAGATACTTTCTGATTTCTTTTAGATCTGAATAATGCAAGAGCCGTTGGCTTTAAAGCCTCTCCACATTGCATTGCATTTGTGAATTTTTCAATATTGCAACCCTTTGTACACTTTTTGGACAATGATGAAGAATATCGCCCATGAGGCCTTCACTCCAGGAGGTTCTGATATAAATGCTGAGCACATCCCTAAATCCCAGGATAGCTGCACCAACAGACGTGGTTCTAGTAAACCCGGGTTTACAGAGAAGCCTAAGTTTAAACATCCATCTGCAGCTTTGTGAGAGATAATGTTTCACTTTACTTGTCCTGTTAGCCATGACTTTTGGTCTTGAAAGTCACATATAACAAGGGCATGAAACTGTACTAAAATCCGTATGCACAGGGCAGAGGACATCTGTGTCTTTTGCCTGTCCAACATCCACTCCCTTTTCTTCTAATAGCTTCTCACCAAAGTTGCTTTGGGGGGACCACCCTTCCTCCTTTGGATGAAGTTTTGGTGGAAATGTCAATTAGGATACCTCCTTCCTCCTCGCCAAGTAGTAAGTGGTCCCATCTGAGCCAGTCCCCAGTGGAATGACATGTAACCACCAGCCATGACAAAAGCTTATGTATCACAACTGTGACATCTTGGAGATGATCCTTCCTGGTTCTTACACCTGGATCCCCAAAGCTGCACAGGGCCCTGTCCTTTCCCGCAAGTTTAGTTTTGTTTCAGGGCCCATTGTCCATAGCATAGGTGAAACTTCCTCCCTAAATGGCATAGCTTTGGCCAGCACTGCTGCTCTTGCATGCGGCTAGACAGTCCTAATCGAAGCATAGATTATCAGGTAAAACCCTCTGGATGAAATATAAGACAGGTTTCAAATTTCCAAATCTCATGGAAGGATGCTTTGACAGAGCTCATGTGGACATAAAGGTCTTATGACTTATTCTACACTGTTTTGAGGCATGAACATTTAATTTGCTGGCTTTCTTTAGAAATTCCTGCATAGAGATGTTGACAAAATCAGGGCCTTTAATCTGAGTTAAAGAGAGGAATAGTATTCACAAAGAGACATTTGACTTAAGTCTCACACTCTTGGAGTTTTTTACATTTGTATGTTTTCAGTTATATTCCGATAATGCTATACATGCATTGAGGGGGGTGTGTGTGTGTGCGCATGTGTGTGTGAAATTGTAAACATTGCACTTAAAATATAGCAACATTTTCACACCTTTTTGGTATTTCTTTATTAAATATTGAAGTTATATAGATTTATCTCCCTGTCTGAATGGCTGGGGTTATGATCCATAAAAAATCTTCCCAGTAGTATGAGGGGATGGTGTGTTGGCAAATTGATATTTCTCTCATTATCATTTTAAAGAATTGGGATTTTGTTAAGCAAATAACAGTTGAAGTTTGATGACACATTATACAAGATTAATGTTGTATGAATTAGAGTCCCTGATGAGATTAGTTTTAATTAAGATCTCAAGGAAGAGAAAGTATTAAGGGAGGATAGTGCAGGGACAAGGAGTGAGATTGTACTAATATCAGCTTTATTTCCAAAAGCGCTATTTAGAAATGCCTTTAAACTCTCCTAGGATTCCACTTTAACAGGAGACAAAGTCATCCTGGTGTTTGTAGCGAAGTTGCAAATCCTAGTTTGTTATGCAGACATGGCTTTGTTGGACAATCCATGTTTAATGCACCAAAAAAATGCACTTCTTTGCAGTTTATCACAGAGTGATAATGAAAACATCTGTCACCTTGGCTGGGGAGCCCCAAAGCAAATGCCTTCCAAAGTTATCTTTATGTTTTAACAAACAACTTAAGGGCAGGGTCCTGAGTCAGTGCTTTCTGGGACTCTGGTGGATGCAGGGAGCTGGAGGCTGGCTGGTGGGGGCGACACAGGAAATGCTGTGGGGACTGATGGTTTGGCTGTGTGTCCCCACCCAAATCTCATCACAAATTGTAATCCCCCCATGTCAGGGGAGGGACATGGTGGGAGGTGATTAGATCACAGGGTGGATTTACCCCTTGCTGTTCTCTTAATAGCGAGTGAGTTCTCACAGACAACTGATGGTTTCAAAGTGCGTCATGTGCCCACTCGCTCGCTCTCTCCTGCTCTGCCATGGTTAAGACTAGCTTACTCCTCCTTTGCCTCCCACCATGATTGTAAGTTTCCTGAGGCTCCCCCAGTCATGATTCCTGTAGAGCCTGAGGAACTGTGAGCCAATTAAACCTCTTTTCTCTGTAAATTACCAGGTCTCAGTTATGTCTTTATAGCATTGTGAAAATGGATTAATACAGGAACACTCTCATCTCCAGAGGGCAGCAGGAATTATGTCCACAATGAGGAAATGTGGGCCCAACACTGCCAAACCTTCTGAATTTTCAGAAACCAGAAATCAAAGATTTTAAATGTGATACTTTTGGCTTTTTTGTTAAAGTATGATTGACACATAGTAATTGTACATATTTATGGGGTACAACATGATGTTTTGATACATGTATACATTGTGTGATGATCATTTTCATTGGCTTAAACATTTATTTTTTTTTTGGTGAGGCAAACATCCAAAAACCTCTCTTCTAGCTACTTCAAAATATACATTATTGTGAGTGCTAGTCACCCTACTATGGCGCAGCACAGCAGAACTGATGCCTCCTCTAGTACTATACCTTTGTACCCGCTGACCAACCCCTTCCCAGCTTTCCCTGCTCCTCCCCTCCCACCCTCTGGTAGGGAGTGAAACTCTTGGCTTTTAAAAGTCAACCAGTAAGACAATTCCATAACCATGACACAGGACCTTGTGGCCTCTGAGTTCCATTCTTTACCACTTACGAATAGGCCTGTTATTTGGAAATACTGTAATTCTGCAATGTTGGTCCATCATAGTCTTTCACCATATTAATGGAATAGAGAGGTCAAACCATAAGTAGATGCAGAACCAACACCATTTATGATGAAAATTCTCAGAACACTAGGATTAGAAAATAACTTTCTCCATATAATAAAGGGCATCTGGCTGGGCGCGGTAGCTCACGCCTGTAATCCCAGCACTTTGGGAGGCCGAGGCAGGCCAGATCATGAGGTCAGGAGATCGAGACCATCCTGGCTAACACAGTGAAACCCAGTCTCTACTAAAAATACAAAAATTAGCCAGGCGTGGTGGCGGGTGCCTGTAATCCCAGCTATCTGGGAGGCTGAGGCAGGAGAATGACGTGAACCTGGGAGGTGGAGCATGCAGGGAGCCGAGATCGCACCACTGCACTCCAGGCTGGGTGACAAAGCGAGACTCCATCTCAAAATAAATAAATAAAAAAATAAAGGGCATCCTCTGACAAGCCACAGGCATCATCGTCAGTAGAGACGGACTGAATGCTTTCTATCCAGGAGAGGGAATGGGGATGGGATGCATCTTCTCCCACTCCCTTCAACATTCACTGGCTTTGCTAACCACTGCCACAGGAAGGGAAAAGGATTAAAAGGCATGTAGACTGGAAAAGATGCACTAACTGACTTTCTTGGCAGATGACAGAATGGTACATGGACAATTCTCAAGAATGTACAAGTACCGTGAGCCAGGTCTACATACTCTGTGTCTTTCTTGAAGGAAGTTTCACCCATTAAGAGAGAGATTCTAGGCTAGGCGCGGTGGCTCATGCCTGTAATCCCAGCACTTTGGGAGGCCGAGGCGGGCAGATCATTTGAGGTCAGGAGTTTGAGATCAGCCTGACCAACGTGGTGAAATACCATCTCTACTAAAAGTACACACAAAAAAAAATTAGTGGGGCATGGTGGCTCATACCTCTATTCCCAGCTACTTGGGAGGCTGAGGCAGGAGAATTGCTTGAACGTGGGAGGTGGAGGTTGCAGTGAGCTGAGATCGTGCCACTGCACTTGAGCCTGGGTGACAGAGTGAGACTCAAAAAAAAAAAAAAAAAGATTCTTTTCACTTCATTTGTAAACAAAACATGCTAAAAATTAAGCTGTTGCCTCACCTGAAGAGACACCTCTGATTAATGACAGTTCATGAAAGTTTTACTTCTCTGAAGGTTGCCTCTGTGCACGTGTGTGTGTGGCCTCCACAGCTACAGAGAGGCAATCGTAGTTCAGCGAGGAGGCTCTAGAGCTGTGCTATGAGCTCTGGCTCTGCCACGTTCTATCTGAGGCTACATTTATAGCTGGACTTTGACTCTGATGCAGTGTGTCAGTGTGCATGTATGCAGAGTCAATTAGCATCGATCTAAGTGTGAACATTCTTAGAAATACAATCAATAACCATGATACCAGTTACAAACCAATCATAGCAACTTAAGAACTGTGGATGGAGCGCAGCAGCATCCCTTTGCCACCCTTCTTCTCTGCTGATCTCTCCTGTGTGATCACTCCTCATCTGTCTCCTTAATTAGCCTCTTCTCATCAGTTGTTTCTTTAGCTCAGAGGTCCTGAACACAAATGAACGAATGGTCCAGGCAGATGTCCTCAGTGTTTGGAGGTGCAGGTACAAAAAGTAAGGGGTTTGGTGAGGAGTACAGTGAACATGAGCCTTGTTTCTCAAACCCTCTGTGGTGAAGGACTCACTTTTATTTCTTACTTTCTTGGATAAACACCTATTCACATCCAAAATTTTGAGCAACCCTGAAGGAGAAGATGCTTGTCAAATCACACATATCTGCAGCCCACTGGCTTAGCACGTGTGGGTTTTTGTTGCTCTGGGAGCCCTAGTTTTTCTTCTCTTCTTACTTTGTTTTTCCTCCATCGGGATCCACCCATTCCTCTTCGTTCCAGAACTTTCTTTCCAGCTATATATTGAACCTCCTCGTTGAAATAGTGCCCAGATACTTTAAACTCAAGATGAACTTGTATTTTTCTATGAGCCCTGCTTCTCTTCCTTGGACCCTTTCTCCCTGTTAATATTTAAGAACATCACATGTGCCCAGACAAGCTCAAAAACATGAAGTGCTCCCTCTCTCACATCCTCCCTGTCTGGTGTGTCCTCAAAGCCCATTTGGTTTACCACCACAATGAAAAACCTCCCTCCTCAGTCTCATTCTCCGTCCAAATTGCTAGGACAGTCGATCAAAGCCAGTCGGTATCTTCATGCTTTTGACTCCCTCTTTTCCTCCCCCAGAATCTTTCTTTCTGCAATGCACCTGGAAAATCCTAATTCATTCTTCAGACTCAAATGCCTTTTTGTATCATTCTCTAATTCCAGCAGGCAGAGATGGCCATTGTTGCTTCTATGCCAAGGTTGTTCTGCAAACCTCCATTGCAGTGCTTACCACTGTCTAAAGAGTCATCCATGCATCTGAGCAATGCTCATACTTATCAAGCAGGTACCATGCACCAAGCCCTGTTGCAAATGCACAGAAAACAGGGTCTTGCCTGCATGGACACGGCATCCTAATGAGGGGGAACAGACAGTGCCCAAATAAATAAGCAAATACGCGTCGCCTGTCCGCGGTGATGAGTGCTAGAAAGAAGAACAAAGCAGGGAGATGAGTTCAGCTGTGTGTGTGTCTGAATGTGTGTGTGTGTCGTGTGTGTGTGTGTCTGTGTGTGTCTGAATGTGTGTCGAGTGTGTGTCAAGTGTGTGTATCAAATGTGTCTGTGTCGAGTGTGTGAATGTGTTGAGTGTGTGTGTGTCTGGATGTGTGTGTGTCAAGTGTGTGTGTGTCTGTGTGTATGTCTGAGTGTGTGTTGAGTGTGTCTGAGTGCATGTCTGTGTGTGTCTGAATGTGTGTGTCTGTGTCTGGTGTATGTATCTGACTGTGTGTGTCTGTGTTGTGTGTGTCTGTATGTCAAGTGTGCATGTGAGCGCGTGTGTGTGTGTGTCTGAAAGTGTGTGAGAGGGTGTCTGAGAGTGTGTGTGTCTGAATGTGTGAGAGTGTGTGTGTGTCTGAGTGTGTGTGAGAGGGTATCTGAGAGTGTGTGTGTCTGAATGTGTGTGAGAGGGTGACTGAGAGTGTGTGTGTCTGTGTGTGTGAGAATGTGTGTGTGTCTGAGTGTGTGTGTGGAGCTTTCAAATGTGTAAAAGTGAGAAACTACCAATTGGGCAATGTCCTGAAGGAGACTTTAGAATGAGCTATGTGGACATCAAAGAAAAGTCAACTTGAGGCGGATGGAAAGGTCCAAGCTGGGCTGGCAGCTGCCCCGCCCGGGTCACTGTGAAGAGGACAGGGTGGCTGGAAGGAGGAGTAAGAAGGAGAGGGAGGAGGGAGAAGGAGAGCTATTGGACAAGCGACGGGAACCGGATGGGCTCAGGGCCTTGTGGGCGGTTATGAGGACCTTGGCTTTTACTCTCAAGGAACTGGAGCGCCCTGGGCTCCACGAACTGATTGACCTCTTAACGATTCACTCTGGCTGCTGTGCAGAGAAGGGACTGTCGGATGAATGGGCAGGAGCAAGGCACCCAGATGAGAGACGGGGCCAGAGAAGTTGTAGCAGGGCAGGTGGGCAGACGTGGTGAATGTGGAGCCGATAGGATTGGGTGATAAATTGGACGAGGAGCCTGAGACAAAGAGAAGAGAGAATGACCGTCGCTGAGCAAGTTGCACGGATAGAGTTGCTGTCTGCTGAGTCGGGGAGGCTGGGAAAGGTAGATGCAGGAGGGGAGACGGCAGGAGTGCAGAGAAAACCTTCCTTAGGAGTGTCTCTTCCGTGACACTGTCGCTTCTGTAGGGTATAAAAGGTTTTACCCTTATCACCAAAAACCTGAGTCTTGGGAGGTCCTCGATAAAGGTTTACATAAATGATGAAATCCCTTTGCTCTCACCAAATATGGCTTATGTGTATAAAAAATAGCATTTCTTTGCTGAGAGAGAGAAAAATAGAACAAGCTTTGTTCAGTGCTACAAAGCATTCCAACCCACTGGCCACCCCCACGCCTGACAATGCTTTTCAAGTCCTGAGCTCACCTTTAATGTATTTTAAATCTGATGATATCCTCCCGTCTCCTAATTTCATGACCCTGGTCCAGGATGCTGTCTTCTTTCTCATCAGCCTCCTAATTGGTCCTCCCAATTCTACCTTACAAGCCGTTCCTCTCACAGCAGGAAGAGTCATCTCAAATGCAAATGAAACCACATCACTCTTTAGTTTAACATCCCTGGATAACTTTTCATTGCAGTAAAGATGAGACACAGACTCTTTACCTGTCAGGTCTTGTACACCCTGGAACTGCCCACCTTGACCCTCTGCCAATTCTCTTACTGTGCTCCCTTTGCACTGGCTCTCTCTCATTGCATCGTTCAAACCTTTTGTTTCACCAAGGCTTTTGTAAGTGTTGCTTCTCTACCTGCAAAGTGGATTCATTGGCTTTTGATCATTCATTCGTCAATGTTGTTTGGGAAAGCTCATTCCTCCTTCTGGATCTCTCTCATGGTCCAGGTCCCTGGATGAATGTCAGCCTTCTAAGAGACCTCCCCAGACCTGTGCCTGAGTCACCAAAGAGTTTCTCCAGGATTCTCCTTCCGAAGGGCTGGGGTGGCTCTGTTTGCATGTGGGGAAGACTGGTTTATGGGATCCACACAGAATCAGAGACCTTCACTCTACGCAGGCGAATAGTTTACATCATTTTTACTCTTTGCAAGTTGGTTCCTCCATTTATTTATTTGCTTTTTGTTTTGTGTATTTAGCAAATATCATGTTAAATGTACCTGGTGCTCTGTTCCAGAGTTACCTCCAGGCAGGAACACAACAGGTGATATTCTTTATGGTGATACAAGTAACTGACTCTAGACAGTCCTAAGCATCAGACCCAGATGGTAACTGTTTAGTGTTAATGGCCCTGTGAAATGGGTTATACCGTTATGAGTTCCATCTTGAAATGAAAGAAGTGAAGGAGGGAGAGATTAGTAAGAGATAGAGGGGGGTTGAATCCGTGCACTCACAGGTTAGAGGACATTTGGGGGATGGCTGTTGTGAAAGGGCAGTCTGGAGGCCTGGTCATGAGAAGGTGGATATAACCAGATGACCTGGTAGGCATCAACCCCCCAGATCTCTGATCTATGGACTTGGGGTTTTATAACAATGACCACATCCGCATTTGCGGGTGTTGACTTTGGAAGAGTCACTGCCACAAGCAAATATTCTAAAAATGAGCAAATACTATGAAGTAGAACATTGCCTGCCCAGCACTTCCAGCCAGTCTCTAAGAATTGGTTTTGAAGGGATGTTATATAGGGGTATTAGTTCTTTTTCAAATAGATATAAAGAAGTATCCAAGACTGGGTAATTTTTAAAGGAAAGAGATTTAATTGACTCACAGTTCCACACAGCTGGGCAGGCCTCAGGAAACTTACCATCATGGCAGAAGTGAAAGCAGGCATGTCTTACATGGTAGCAGGACAGCGAGAGAGCATGTGTGTAGGAGGAACAGTCAAACACTCAATAAAACCATCAGATCTCATGAGAATTCACTCACTATCACGAGAACAGCATGGGGGAAACCGCCCCATGATCCAATCACCTCCCACCTGGTCTCTCCCTTGACATGTGGGGATTATGGGGATTGTAATTCAAGATGAGATTTGGGTGGGGACACAGAGCCCAACCATATCAGTAGGATTATATATTAATAATTTCCTTGCCTTTGTGTCATTGCATGCTTTCCCCTAGCAGACTTTATGAATCTCCAGTTGAGGCCTTTTCTACTCATTTGCGTTTGCTCAGGACCTAGATTAGGGTGTATTAATCTAGTGAGGTACCTGGACACAAAATTTAGGGAAGTGCTCACTCTCAAGTTTACTCAGTCCAGGGTGTGTGCCTGAGAGTGCGCTCCTTAAATTTAGAGGCCTAAGCAGCTCAGTCTCACCCTAGTCCCAGCCCTGTATCTGCTAGAAGCCTGGAGAGCTTGATGACACTGTGATATTGGCAGGGCTGCAAAATATATACTATCTGTATGCAGCACTACTTTTTATAATTACCTACAGGCATATGTTTGTCAAAGGCTCCATTTCAGACTGTCTGCTCCAGCTGGGGCAATATGAAATCTCCTTCCCACACCCACTTTTAATAACTAAACAGGAATCTTTGGGGCACATGAGATTCTGGAGTGGAAACTATAACAATAATACCTTTGGTACAGAGTTGAGGAAAGTACATCCTTGGAGCGATCTCAACATTGTAACATTTGCAATAGTAAGCAGTTGAACATTGATATTAAATATCACAGTAATAGCTAACATTTATGTAATTCTTGAAATGAGCTGCATACTGTTTTAAGGATAATAGCCATTAAAATAATGCATGAGACAGGAGCTGCTGTCACCCTATTTTACAGGTGTGGAAATTGAGGTCACTTATCCACACAGTTAGTGGGCATCTCAGACAGAATCCACACCCAGTCCCCATCCTGAGCAGGGAGGCAACACTGTAGATAGCTGTATAGGTTCCCTACTGCTGCTGTAACAAAATGCCACAAATTGAGTGACTTGAAACAGCACACGCTTTTTTGTCTCTGACATCTCACTGAGCTAAAGTGGAAGTATAGGCAGAGCTGTGTGTCTTCTGGAAGCTCAAGGGGAAAATCTGTTTCCCTGCTGTTTTCAGCTTCTAGAGGCTGCTCCTGTTCCAAGCTCTGCCTTCATCATTATGATGTCCCCTCTTTCATCATGTTGTCTCCCTCCTGTAGGGGCCTCGGTGATTTGAGCCTACCCTGATAATTCAGGATAATCTCTCATCTCAAGATCCCTAACTTAATCATACCTGCAGAGTCCCTCTCACCATGTAAGCTAACATGTTCACAGGTTTCAAGGATTAGGGCACGAGCATATTTTTTTGGTTGTAGGGGGATGCATTAGTCCATTCTCATGCTGCTAATAAAGACCTACCTGAAACTGGCAAATTTATAAAGGAAAGAGGTTTAATTGACTCAGTTCAGCATGGCTGGGGAGGCCTCAGGAAACTTACAACCATGGCAGAAGGGGAAGCAAACACGTTCTTCTTCACATGGTGGCGGGAAGGAGAAGTGCTGAGTAAAAGGGGGAAAAGCCCCTTATAAAACCATCAGATCTCCTGTGAACTCACTTACTATCGTGCGAACAGCAGCATGGGGGTAACTGCCACTATGATTAAATTATCTCCCATTGGGTCCCTCCCACAGCACGTGGGGAGTATGGGAACTGCAATTCAAGATGAAAAGTGGATGGAGACACGGCCAAATATATCAGGGAAGTATTATTCCATTTGCCACAATCATTAGGAACAAGTTGGGAATTTTCCAGTACTACAGAGGCTGTGTGGACATGGGACGACTTTGGAAGATGTAGAGAGCAGATTTCTGAACCCAGGAGGGCAGAGGAGGTTGGGATGGAAGGCCCAGGCCATGAGGGCAGATTCTTCCCTGTGGATTGGGATGTGCTTTCTAAAAACTTTCCCTGAGACCCTTACACAGTGTGATTCCCCCAGTGGATCTTCAGTCAATTTAGACAAAAGCAATGTGTTCATTTTCTCAATTTTACCAGGTCAGATTACTTGGTCTGGCTTCCCAGTGGGTTCTTATTCTAGAAGCCAGAAGGCAATTGAAATTGATGAAATTCTTGCATTCCAGTGCTTCAAAGACCTGGACTTTCATCAGTTTTAATCACAGGGATGGAGCCAATCAACAGAGCCACAGAGCTGGAAGACACTGGGTCTATCTCAGGTGCATGCAGACAGCAATTTGTTTTAAGGAGTTCTGAGGGGTAAAGCTCACAGGCACACCAGGGACGTAGACTCATGGTACACAGTGTTTGTGTTGTGAGTATCAAATTTTCTGCAGCTACTCCTGGAGCAAAACTTAATTGTTTAAGGACCCAGAAGGAAAATGTTTTCTGTGTTACCTACTTTTTTCAGATGGTGATATGGTTTGAATGTGTGTACTTTAATCTCATGTTGAAATGTGACCTCCAATGTGGGAGGTGGGATCTGATGGGAGACGTTTAGATCATGGAGGTGGATCCCTCATGAATGGCTTGGCTTGTTAATGAGTTACCATGAGATCTGACTGTCAAAAAGAGTCTGGGACCTCTTCTTCTCTCTCTTGCTCCCTCTCTCACCATGTGACATGTTGGCTCCCTCTTCACCTTCCACCATGAGGAAGAGCTTCCTGAGGCCTCACCAGAAGCTGAGCAGATGCTGGTACCATACTTGCACAGCTGGCAGAACTGTGTGCCAAATAAACCTCTTTTCTTTATAAATTACTCAGTCTCAGCTATTCCTTTATGGCAGTGCAAAATGGACTAACACAGATGGCTAATGTTAGAACTGTTTAGTATTTGAACCTTAAAACTCGTTTCATTGGAAGCCATTCTGAAGTCTCTGACACAGTACACTAAACCTTTGTGAGGAGAGCACACCAACAAATCACTTAACATTCTCTTACTTGGGGCCATTATTTTGCATACCTTGTGGTATGCTAAAGATGTAGATGTTGTTAGTTTGGGAATAAGTTATGACCCCAATCATGGACCTAGATTCAGCTTTCCCTAAAAAGTCTCTCAGGTCAGCAGTGATTATTTGCCATTTTCTCTTAAGGATGAAACTTCAAGACTCCCTAGTTGGTGTATCAACATCGCAGACATTCAAAGCTAAAATGGCACCTTGAAGACTGTCCTCATTTTGTAAATAAGCTACTTAAGCCCCCAAGACTAGCATCACTCATTTAAAGTCGCACAGATAGGACTTAAAGTCTTATTTCCCAATTTCCAATTCAGTGACCTTTTCAAAAATCCCAGTCCTAATTGCCACAGTGGTCTGATTGTAGGGATGCCATCTTGCAGAACGTATGAGTTTGCAGTGAGGTCACTTCTTCCCTTTTATCTTCTTGCCATCCAGGGAGAGAACATTCTTCACAGTTGCTGTGGTTGAGCACTGACTTATTCATATTCTTCAGTATACTATTGATTCTTTCAGAGTCTCTCAAGACCCTGTTATTTTCCTGCTACTCCTCTTTTTCTCATGAGTAGCAGGTGGTTAAGGAATGCATTTTTCTTTATTGTTCTATAATAATAGCTTCTACATATTGAAGACTAATAAACAATGTGTCAGGCACTAATTTTCATAGATTAACACGTCCAATGAAACAATCCTAGGAAGCAGTCTCTGTTAATACCCATAGTTGACAGATGAGAAAACTAAGAGAGAAGTCAAGGAAAGTTATTTCCCACTGGAAAATTGAGGCTGAAGGTGCCAAAGGCTTATGGCCATTAAGAGAAGAGATCTCTTGATGTTTCAAAAATGGTATCCTGCTACATTTGCCCTGTATGTATTTGTTCATGGGCTATGAAGTAACATCTGTCAGAATTTCAAGAATTTGTGCCATGCCACATGGGGAACACTTGACATCAAAGTCAATGTAGAAATTCCTCAGGAGATGGCATTTTGGCTGAAATGACACAAATCATAATTTCCCCAAAGCTCTCCATAAAGCCTTCTGTTGGACATAATTCAGGGCCCTAAAATGCTAAAATTACATCTTTAATGTCATAATTAAATTCAAAGGCCTGAGGTCACCTGAATAGTGTGTACAGGAAATCCTTGAGATAACAGAAAGTGGCCGGAAAGTATAAATACATTCTTGCACCATCAACTTACTTTATCAGTGTGAGCTCTATATCATCTTATCATAGAATTACCCTACTAATTTTTAAGGAACTGGATTGGTTTTGAAGTGATTTTTTTTTCAATAGGTACCAAAAGAATGTATAGCACAAACCAGAAAATAATGTACTGTTCTATTCATGTTTTAATCTGTGCTTTGTAATGTTGGGTATGTGGCATCCTTGAAAGCCTTGGAATATTTTCTTCAGTCATCAATGATTAGGTTTCAATCAGTAGAACTAGTTTGTGCAAGAATATTAAAGATACTTACACCTGAATGATTAAAATTTCCACAGCTAGTCAGATAGACATGGATGTGTATCATGAGAGAAGAATAATATTTGCAGCATAGACAATGACCACCTTCAGGCAAATACCTTGCATTATCCATTTAAATGGATAATGCAACAGGTGCATTATAGGGCCCAGCAACAGTACCTGGGCCATAATAACTACTAAAAGCATGAATGTTTGTTGAATGAATTTTAGACAGGTTTCTTAAGATATAGAGACCTGACTATCTTCAAGTCTTGAACCATGAAAGTCACAAAATTATTCTGCACTTTTGTTTGAGTCAAAATCCTAGAAAGAAATGGACAACATCTTCCAAGGGGTGATTGAAGAGATTTTGATGATGGGGCTGATTACAACGATATGGTCAGTGTTAAGGAACCTGACCCCAGGGTAGCAGGAGTGGTCAATAGTCACTACCATTTGACTGAAAAAGGTGGGAAAGAGAATGGGATACTGAGGCCAGAAGAGAGAGGCCACATTAGGAGAGGGGCCAGTCCATGGGAGCTGCAGCCATACACTGAAGAACATGGTTTCGGCCACAACAGCAACTAACAAGGAGATATGATCATTAAGACAAAGGCTCATTATTTTTAGGGTTCTTTAGAATGAAAGAAGGCCCAGGAGAAAAGTAGGTACTCCTCGAGCACAGTAGTGCCAGAGATGTTAATTACCAATGGAGAAGGGTCAATGCCATCTTAATAGTAGAACCTGCTTGCATTTTGCTAGATGACTTCATCTGTAGAAGACCTCATATTTCCTGCCAGCGCCTCCCACTGCCTGAACTCAGCCAGAAGCCAGAGGATGAGGAAGCCCAGTTGGTGCAGTCCATGGGGACCAGGCCTCTGAGGAATGAACGTGAATGCACAGAATATCCATCTCATTCATTGGGATGCATTTACCAAGTGCAGCTTTCTAAAGCAGCAACTCACTATACCTTGCCATAAAGGAATTTTGATTAGATACCATTATAGGTGTGACCCAGCAGTCCAGGAAATCCCATTTGTGTCCCCAGAAGAGGGTTATTCTTCTTCTGTTTTGTTAGAGAGAGACAGAAGAGAAGCTGAGGTAGGCCAGCGTGCATCCATCTGTTCTTGTCTTGCCTGGTGATCCACAGGCAAGAGTTGACGTCTCCTCTGTCTTTTTGGCCACAGCTCCCTCCATCCCCTCGCCTTGCCTTGGCTAGAGGCTCATCAGTTCATCAGGCGGTGGGAATTTTCCCCACCTGGACTCCACCCACACCTGTTTCCCTGAGCGTGAAGTTGGATGTGTGTTGAAGCGATTCTTGTTCTGAAAGGCTGCACAAGAATTGAAAGCAGAGCAGGGCAGGATGCAGGACTGGGACCCGGGAGCCGATATCCATAACCCACCCACCTCCTCACTATACCGCCTAAGAGTGAGCTGGGCTAGGGCAGAGGCCAGTCCTGTTCCTTTTTCCAGCTCAAAAACACTGCCCTTGGGCTGGAGCAGATGCTGATGGAGCTTTTGTCGTCTTCTTAAGAGGAATGGAACAGTCTCTGGCCCCATGATTTGGGGTAAGACTGTGAGAGTTTCTGTTCCAAGTAAATCTCCCTACCAGTTATGGCACCACCTCACTCCTTCTGGATCATTATACTCCTTCTGGATCATTATACTTCTGGGTATAATGTACGTGTAGAAGACACGTATTGTTTGTCTTCTACAGATAAAGTTATCTCGCAGAATGAAAGCAGGTTCTACTATTAAGATGGCATTGACCCTTCTCCTTTGGTAATTAACATCTCTGGTGCTACCGTGCTCAAGGAGTATTTGCTTCTGTCCTGGGCCGCCTTTTGTTATAAAAGGCCCTAAATCGCTGAGACTTGGTTTGAAAGAAAATGGGTCTGACTGAATCATTCAGGACAGCTGGCTCTATCTCCAAGAAGAGATCTATAGATTTCCAATTTCCTCCCCCAAAAGAGAGTGAAGTTTTACAGTGTGTCTTGCCACATGAATGTTTTCATGTCTTGCTACAGCGTGTTGGGGTTTTCTCCTTTTCTGCATCTCTGCAGTCTTTACTCAGGCTACACATCAAAGACTTGCTGTATGTTGTTGCATTCACACAACCAGCCTCTTTTGTTTTCCTTCCCCCCTCTTCCTTTCTTCCTTTTTTCCTTTTCTTTTTTCTTCCTCCCTTTTCTCTCTCCTCCCTTTTTCTTCTCCGTTTCTTTCGTCCTTCTTCTCTGTCTCCTTTTTTTCCCTCCTGCAACAGAGTCCACTCTATGTATTTGGAGGAAGGTGTGCACTGTGGAGGCAGCTAGTGATTATTTTCATTCCATTCATTATGCAGCAAGGAATAACATGGCCCCTTAAGTGTAGCAGGAAGATTTCTAATCTCATTGATTTTTTTCACCCTGGTATTTGGTAGAATATTATAGCTGAGACATTTAAAATAAGATTTTGAAAAACGAATGGAGGAGTCATTTAATCTCCTTAGCTTGTTCAGTAATGGCCAATCAATATGGTGCATTAGTGGCTACAGAACTGCTGTGGACTTTGTTGCATGATGAATGATCCTTATAAATTATCAGATGGCAACAGATTTTTAATTATAATTGTATTGGTTGCAGGTGAGTCTTTGTGGCATTGCCACAATGGATACAAACCAAAGAGTTGAACCATCAGTGAAAGCATGGTGCTCATTTTCACCCAAGAAATCAGATCCTGGGCAGCTATCCTGGGCCTCTGTGAGACCATAATGAGTATTTTGAATGTTAACTTTAGATAATTCCCATTACTGCTCTTTGTATTTTATTTGCTAAAACGTCTATATTTTGTTTATAGCAGACATTTCTAGGTCCTTTGCTTTTAGAGTGATGCTGCAAATTCAAATTTTATAGGGGCCAGAGATGGTCTGTACATGAGTGAATCAGGCAGGTGCAAAATGAAAAGGACAACATCAGCTGAGTGGTGAGTGGCAGTGGACACAGTTGTGGTGAGACAATAGGGAATGGTGTGGACGGTAGGAAATGAGAGGATGCATGCCCTTTCTAGGTGGGGCTAGGATTTGTGTCTAGCCAATTTATACAGCAGTGGAATGCAAGCCTGGAGATTCCTTATCTTTTGATAACCCAAGAGAGAGAAGAAATTAAGGTTTCAGTGTGAAATATTTCAAGTGTTCGATCTTGTCAACTAATTAGGAAACATTAAAACACCACCTGATTAAGCATTGGGAGGGCCAAACAATACTTCTTGTAGGTCAATGGTTGTCAACTGAGATTGTTACTTGGCAATGCCTGGAGACATTTTTGGTTATCACACCTGAAGGTGGGCTGGTGGCATTTGTGAGTAGAGGTCAGGAATGCTGCTAAACATCCTACAACATCAGGACAGCTCTCCACAACAAAGAATTCTCCAGTCTAAGATGCCAGTAGTGCTAGGTTAAGAAACCACATCATGGCTGGGTGCGGTGGCTCATGCCTGTAATCCCAGCACTTTGGGATGCTGAGGCAGGCGGATCATGAGGTCAGAAGTTGAGGAACAGCCTGGTCAACATGGTGAAACCTTGTCTCTACAAAAAATACAAAAATAGGCTGGCGTTGGTGGCACATGCCTGTAATCCCAGCTACTTGGGAGGCTGAGGCAGGAGAATCGCTTGAGCCCGGGTGGCAGAGGTTGCAGTGAGCCAAGACTGCACCATTGCACTCCAGCTCTGGGTGACAGAGGAAAACTCTGTCTCAGAAAAAAAAAAAAAAAAAAAGGCACCATCATAGGTTGACTTAATGCACGCATCACAGATATAATAATGTTCCTCTGAATATTTAGGCCTAAGATTGTCTTTCTCTCTTAAGAAGTACAAATTCATTTTTATGGGAGGCAATGAACAAGAGCATTTTTGTCTCTCCTAGAACATTTTTCTCTTAAAATTTATATGTGGCAAATTAGAAAGTTTTTTTTTCAATACTATAAAACATCATTGTTTTTCTTTAAAGTAGTAATTCCTCAAGAAGCCTTGTAGCTCCACGTTCAGCTGCCGACCTTCTGTCTCCCTGAACAGTGAGTGACTCCTGAATTACCAGGTCCCTTTTCATGTTAATTTCCTTGCAATCCCTGGAACATAGTATATTTGTTTCTGAATTATTTGACATTTTATTTTATGTGTAAGGTGCTTATAAAAATACTTGGTAAGAGCAATATTTCAGATACAAAATACATTTCTCTCCACGAGCTGTATTTCTATAGCCAGTAAAGTCATATTTACTTCTGTTTATGTGAAACCAACATCAAGAGAAAATAGTTCTATGTACCATAAAAAAGAAGTATCACACTGTTATAAATGAGAAATCTATAAAGAAGGAGACTTTTGTAGGGCATGTTCCTCTTTAGAGAAACAGCAATAAATACAATTTGTTTTTGAGATTGTCTATTACCTAAAAAAAGGAAACAATGGAAATGAAAGGAAAACACCATTGTAGAGTGGATATCTGGAGATGGGCGAGATGAGGATGTACATTCTCAGTGCAGGGAGAGGGAGGGGGAAGCAAAGTGTGTGACATCCATGGCCCAGGTTCCGTGGCCTAGGACAGGAGACAGTGGAGGTGGGCAGGTGTGCTGGACTGGGGGTGGTCAGCATCCTGTTGCTGCCCCTCATTCGTGCTTCAGCCATCTCCACCTTGCTTTGTGCCTCAGGAAGATGATCTTTATAGGTCTATAAGGACAATGGCATGGATAAATGGTTGCAAAGTCACATATTCATGGTCAAGAGATAGAATATCCTTGATACCCTCCCCTCACCCAATTCTAGTAACCACCCCTTGTTTTCAAAGATTACTGTTATTCTGACCATCCATTAGTTTTGCCAGTTTTTGAAGTTTATACAAGTGATGGCTTACAGCATTTGCTCTTTTTTTCTATGGCTTTTTACCTTTTTGCACTCTACGTTATTTTTAAAGAGTTTTATTTAGGCTGTTATGTCTATTTAGATCTTTGGCCTAAATTACTGTTTTCTATTTTGTTAATAATTTGTTCTTTCATACATGTTTATTTTCGTAAGTATATAGGGTCCTGTATTTTTGTTTCTAAAATATAGTATCATTTGTACATATATGTGTATTGAAAATATTCCCACACCATTACATGTTTTATGCTAATGTATAATTTGAACAGCTCCCTAATATACATAAGTACTGTACTTTATTCAACAATTATATATTGGATGGGAGCCTTTTAAATGCCAGGTGGTGTGTAGGATACCACCTTTTAAATGCCAGGTGGTGTGATAGGGAATAAATGTTGAGCAGGACAGGTGAAGTTATTGCCCTTTCAGTGTTCTGTTCCCAGATCATTAAGTAAGCAATCATGCAAAATGTGATCAAGACTGCGATACGGAATGTAACACAATTTCATTAACCAGTTTCTCATTGCTCTGTAATTAAGAGGTGTCCAAACAGTTGCTCTGAATTTTGTGTATTTTTTTAATTGTAATAGTTTAAATATTTAACTTTCAAATCTTTCTGGCCTTTAACTTTTAATTCTTTTTGTCGTCGTACTGTAAAATGGGCAATTCCTATTTATTTCTGCATCTAATGGACTATGGGAAGTAACATTGAATCTTGATCCTTTTTGTTTCTATGATTATCAGGTTACTTGCCTTTTATAGTTCCAGTTCCTTTGTTACTTGTCTTCTGATCTTTTCATGCTGTTACCACTGAGAAATAGGATATTTGTTTAAATTCAGAAATTTAATTTAGGGATGCTTTCAGTAGGAGGCTACTTCTCTGTGATTAAAGAAACCACCTTCTCCAATACTTTAGAGTTTAACCCTTTGCTTTTGTTTCCTGAAGCAATCATATAAACTGGAATTAATTTATTAATTTTTTAAATTAATTAAACAAACTTTCCATTTTTGTTAATATACATAAGTATTTTGATTATAATCAATGTGTCCAACTAATATAAGACCTCAGTTGGGCAAACTTGCTTTTGGTTGAATTTATGGGCTTATGGATTTGATAAAGTATTGCGTTACTCGAAGCAATGAGTAATCTAAACATAGTTCTATAGTAATAGAAGGAATACACATGGAACTCTGGCTAATTCCACAATGTACTGAACAAAGAATAATTGCTATAGAAGTTTAGAGAAAAACAGGGATGGTCAGAAAAAAAGTACTTCACTGAGGAGATGGCATTTGACCTGATTCTTAAAAGTAGAGTAGGATTTTGGTTAAAGGAGCAGAAAGTCACTTTGAGGAGCTGGAACACCAAAAACAATAGGGAAAAGGTTCTTTTGGACATCATGGTGGCCTCTGTAAGTACGTTCTCTTTGTTCATGACATCTTATACTTTCCTTAGGTCAAATACCAGGACAGAATGATTGGCATGGGCAAGACAGCTAATTCAGGCAATTAAGTATCAGGTTGTTTATTCCTCCAGAGGAATGGGTACAGCTCTCCCCTTGCTGGCCAAGATTGTCCTTTTTCAGTCTTGAGCAAACGAGGTTCTCAGTAGCAGCCTGTTTAAAGGACATCTTCTCTGATACTGGATTGCAGCTGTGGGAACGAAGGAGTCAGTGCTCCATTTCTTCATCTTCTAGTTCTTCCGTTGTACCTTGCAACGGAAGGAAGATACATCCAGAAGATGGAATTCAAGCTAAATCTCACAAAGACCAGCTTGTCTGCATCCGTGGGGAGCATGCCTCATGCGGCACATCTGATCCATCAGCAGATCCTGTTGGCTCTGCCTTTGAAACAGACCCAGGTTACGGCCCTTCCTCATCACCTGCCCAGCGACTGTGCCGGTCCAGGGCAGCGTCCTGTCTCACTGGAATTATCATGACAGCCTCCCGACCTGTCTTCCTTCTTCACTTTTCTTCCCCCACCCCCACCTCATCTCCATTTAGTAACCAGAGCGATTGTTTTCAACATGTCAGATCCCATCACTCTGGTCTAGTTATCTAATGCTACATAAACAACCATTCCCCAACATGGTGGCTGAAAACAGTAACAAAATCTATTAGACTCATGAATCTGTAATCTTGGCAGAGTGTGATGGGGGCAGCTTTTCTCTGCTCTCTTCAGTATGGGGTGGCATTGCTGGGAGAGTAGAGGCTGGAATTATCTGAAGTCTCATTCACCCGCGTGACTGGTGGTTGATTTTGGCCATAGATCAGGATCTTATCTGGGGCGATCAGGCTCTGAAAACTATTCTCTGTCACCAGCTGGGTGACCTACAATGCAATTTACTTCTGACACTAACTACCAAGAGTTAGCACTGACCCTACAGGCTAAGGGCAAATCTTTTCACAAGACCTCCCCAGTCTCAGATGGCAGCCACAGATTCAGGTGTGCCCAAGGCCCCCATACTCCCACTCAGCTGGCTACAATCTGGGCCTTCCCACACCCCTTCAGGTTTGATAATTCAGTAGGATGAAACTAGACGAGAAATTCACTAGGCACACAACTCAGGAAATGCTGTCCCTATGATCAAAATGTTATGGTAAAGGACACAGATCAGGACCCATCAAACCAAGAGTGTGAGGTCAGAGGGGTGGGTGACACAGAGCCTCTGTCTCTGTCCCCATGGGATCCATGATACCCAGCACAGCCATGTGTTTCCCAGATGGGACACTTCCTGGAGCCTTGGTGTCCAGAGATTTTATTGAGGTTTCATTACAGAGGCCTGATTGATTATGTCATTGGCCATGTGATTAAACTCAGTCTCCAGCCCAGCCCCCATCCCCTCCCTGGGTGTGGGCCTGGCCCCAGATTCCCATGCTGTAATCAAGGTCTTGATCTTTGTGTTAGGCCTTTCTCACATTGCTATAAAGAAATACCTGAAGCTAGATAATTTATAAGAAAGAGGTTTAATTGGCTCATGGTTCTGCAGGCTGTACAGAAAGCATAACACCAGCATTTGCTTCTGGGGAGGCCTCAGGGAGCATTTACACCTTGTGGAAGGGGAAGTGGGAGGGAGCAGGCATCTCACGTGGAGAAAGCAGGAGTAAGACAGCAAGGTGGAGGGAGGTGCCACACAATTTTACATGACCAGATCTGGCCATTTAACTTTACTCTTGTGAAGACAGCACCAAGCTCTGAGGCATCGGCCCCTCTGATTCAAACACCTCTCACCAGGTCATACCTCCAGCACTGGGGATGCCAATTCAACGTGAGGTTTGGGTGGGGACAAATGTTTAAACTATTTCAGTCATTCTGGTGACCAGCCCCATCCTAAAGCTCTCCTGGGGCCACCCTGAGCCACCTCATTAGCATAACAAAGACACTCCTATCACCCAGAAAATCCCAAAGGTTTTTAGTAGCTTTGTTCCAGGAACAGGGAAAAAGAACAGATATATTCTTTATAATACCACCAGCATTGTCACATGTGGCTTCCCCATGCGATCTGAGGAAGGGCAAGTGGCTGGGTTGGTGGTGGCTGGGTTCCCAGACAGCAGGTGCCATTTTGACAGCCTTGGGAGTTGGTCAGCATCATTTCTACAGGAGTCTACGAATTAGAAGCAAGCCACTAAGGCCGGCCTACACTCGATGGTAGCATCTGAAAACCCATGGGGCTGTTTTAAAACCATCATGAATTCCTATACTAAAAAAAATTTCTGGCCGGGCACGGTGGCTCACGCCTGTAATCCCAGCACTTTGGGAGGCCGAAGCAGGTGGTTCACAAGGTCAGGAGATCGAGACCATCCTGGCTCACACGGTGAAACCCTGTCTCTACTAAAAATACAAAAAATTAGCCGGGCGTGGTGGCGGGCGCCTGTAGTCCCAGCTACTTAGTAGGCTGAGGCAGGAGAATAGTGTGAACCCGGGAGGCGGAGCTTGCAGTGAGCCAAGATAGTGCCACTGCACTGTAGCCCGGGCGACAGAGCGAGACTCCGTCTCAAAAAAAAAAAAATTTCCAGTGGCTTCAAGTCTGAAAACATTCAATTTCCTTATATCGGCCCACTGCACCTTCAGTAACGTGTTGCATTCCCCTCTACTCTTCTTGCCACCCGGATCTCCTTGCTGTTATTCATACACACCTGGCAGGTCTTCAGTGTCCTCCCTGGATATGCCCTTGGTTACTTCCTCCCTTATTTTGGTCTCTCCTCAAATGCCATGTCCTCTGAATGGCCACTGCTAGCGACATTGGAGAAAATAGCATCCTCTTCCCCCTGTCCCCCATACCCTCTTATCTACATTACCTGCTTTTTCTCTTTTTACAGCACTTTGAGATACCTGAGATACTATGCATTTTTTTTTAAGTCTGCCTCTATAAGACAGTATGTTTCGAGAGGGCAGTAATCGTGTGTTTGGGTCATTGCTGAGTCTGGCACATAAGATATTCAGTCAGTGTGTGCTGAGTGAACGAATGAATGAGTGAATGGGCAGGAAGCCACAGTGTGATTCAGACCGTACAAAGCATTATATAAACCTTCTACCGTGGACTGAATGGTAAAGCTCTAAACCAATTGAAATAGCATCTGCCCTCAGAGAGCACACCCCTGGTGTATTAATCAGGGTTCTCTAGAGGGACAGAACCAATAGGATAGATGTATATATAAAGCGGATTTTATTAAGGAGTATTGACTCCCACAATCACAAAGTGAGGTCCCACGTAGGCTATCTGCTAGATGAGGAGCAAGGAAGCCAGTCCGAGTCCCAAAACCTCAAAAGTAGGGAAACCAACAGCACAGCCTTCAGTCTGTGGTTGAAGGTCCGAGAGCCCAAAAGCTGAAGAACTTGGAGTCTGATGTTTGAGGGCAGGAAGCATCCAGCACGGGAGAAAGATGGAGGCCAGGAGACTCAGCCAGTCTAGTCTTTCCAGGTTCCTCTGCCTGTTTTTATCCCAGCCGTGCTGGCAGCTGATTAGATGGTGCCCACCGAGAATGAGGGTGGGTCTGCTTTTCCCAGTCCACTGACTCAAATGTTAATCTCTTTTGGCAACACCCTCACGGACACACCCAGGAACGATACTTTGCATCCTTCAGTTCAATCAAGTTGACGCTCATTATTAACCAAGATATGCAATCAGTGTGTGCAGAGTGAATAAATGAATGAGTGAATGAGCAGGAAGCCAAGTTGTGATTCAGACCTTACAAAGCATTATATAAACCTTCTACCATGGTCTGAGTGATAGAAGGTTTATATAAAGCTCTTAACCAATTGAAACAGCATCCACCCTCAGGGAGCATACCCCTGGAGTGGGGATTTGTAAATGCATAATTACAATGGCAGAGTATATTTATAATATAAATTGAAGATCTCCTGGAGGTACAGCATACAAATTAATAACAGCATTAAAATAAAGTATACAAAAAAGACAAACTGTGAACAATTCATTGCCACCCTCTTTGTCCAGATTAGACTTTCGGCTCCTCAGAGAAATGAAGGACATAACTGAGAGACTAGGAGGGAAAAATATGACATTTCTTAATTGTTACTCACGTCCGTATAAGAGACCAGCTGAACAGGCTTAGTGTGAGCAACAAGGCTGTTTATTCACTTGGGTGCAAGTGGGCTGAGTCTGAGAAAGGAGTCAGCAAAGTGTGGTGGGCTTATCATTGGTTCTTAAGGGTTTGGGATAGGCCGTGGAGTTAGGAGCAATTTTTTGCGGGCAGGGGATGGACGTTACAAAGTACATTCACAAGGGCAGGGAATATCACAAAGTACATTATCACAAGGGCA
The DNA here is from genome assembly GCF_000001405.40 of Homo sapiens. Lineage (NCBI taxonomy): Eukaryota > Metazoa > Chordata > Mammalia > Primates > Hominidae > Homo > Homo sapiens. The sequence continues at coordinate 129,729,895 of NC_000012.12, read as the reverse complement.
GGGGAATGTCATGATAGCTTGACCATGGTGCGGCCAGCTCAGAGGACCTTACATTAATGTTTTGGCTTCCAAAGCATCAGGTTCTGGCGATTAAAACTACTTAAAATAATTTGAATGGCAATTTTGATCATATACAACATTCAGTGTACACCCTAACCAACTTCCTTGTAAACTGTAACACAACTCAAAGTCATAGCTCTACTCATGATCAAAGAAACAAACACTTTATGCCAGTAGAAAGATAAGCATTACAGAGGAAGGAATTCTGGAGGTGGGTTTTGAAGTATGACTAGGAGTTTTTCAGGCAGATGTCGCAGACTCAGAGCTGGAAAAAAAATGCAATCTTTGGCAAGAAAGAAAAAAAGGTATTCCAGTATGACTAGACCAGGGTTTTTTCATCTGGGAGTGATTTTGCTTTCTGGGGGCAACGTCTGGAGACATTTTGATTGTCATGACTGGGGTGCTACTAACATGTATTGACTAGAGGCCAAAGATGATGCTAAGTTTTCTGCAATGCATAGAACAGTACTGTCACAACAAATAATTATCTGGTCAAAAATGTCAGTAGCGTCAAGGTTGAGAAACCCTGGACTGAGTTATTAAGCATATACAAGGGAATAGAACTGTATTATATTGAGCTAAGTGTTTTTGCCAGTGACTCTATGGTCCAGAGATGTTTTAAAAATAAAATGTCTGTGGTGGAAAACAGGTAATACAAATGAGGCATAAGGGCTGGGTAGAGACTGTGGCAAATTAGTGAGTTCATGCCCTAAAGGGTGCTATTCTGTTGATTTTTGCAATATGGAAATGGATTGACAGATTTAACAAATCTTGAAATGTTTTAAATGAAAGCTTAAGTCAAGATTTTTACATAAAATCTTTTGTTTTATAAATACTGGCATTAAAAACGAATTATAAATTTAAATAACACCCCGCAAAGTCAGATAAAACAAGCTTTGGAGCCAGATTGAGCTCAGGGGCCTTCAGCTGGTAATATCTGCTGTGGGCAATGAGGACATTGTGAAAAAGGAGTACATGAAGACATGAGGGGCTGCCACAATCTACCTTGGTTTCTTCCGAAGCACTGAGTTTGGGCAATGTCTGTTTCCTCTTGGGATGGCCAAGAACCAGGGCTGCGTTTCTCCCTCTTCGCAACTACAGAAGCCCCTTTACCAGGTGAAGGAAACCCTGGGGTTTAATCATTAGAAGGTAAGACAAAGAAGGATTTGAAATGAAATATTTTTCCTTCCACATGGCCAGAGCCTGAACCTGGGGAAACGGAATTTACTCCCAAAATTAAAAGAGCCATTACTGCTCAGCCCTTGGAAATTCTAAATGAGACTCACGCCCTGCAGGCTGCTTTTTTGTTCATATTCCCCAGTTCCTTACTGAGTTGTGCTGTGTGGTTGAGTTCTCAAAAGAGAAAGTGGCTGATTGTTCTAGAAGAAAGAATTTCCAGGCAAAACTGAGTGGACACCCCATTAATTATAATTACTCAGATTAAGGAGTGAAAATATGCTGTTCTCACTCAGAAGCAAAATGTGTTGGCAAATGAATTTGGAAACAAGAAAAATAGATGTGAATTTCTGTCATTGATAAGGCATTAAATAAAATACAGTTTATTTTATTTCTGTCCTGGTTTTAAGGAACTTTCTGTGCTGATGGATTTCACCCCTGATTTATTATCCTATTGCATTCTTTATATTCAGTGTCTATATTCTGTTTCATGATGGATTGATGTGGGACATTCTTGAGGGACCCTCCTGCTCCCCCAACCCAGTACCGTCAATGGGGTCTCCATCCTTCTAGCTTCTCACTCTTTTTAAAAATATTTTTTAACATGCAATACAAAGAGATGCAAAAATAGAGACAGCATAATGGACCTGGTAGAGAAAAGCTGGATACAGCCGGTGATCAGAAAAGAACGTAATTTCCTGATTGAAAAGGATGGTAGTGGGAGGGTAGGGAGATTGTATAAACGTATGCAGGGTTAGCTGTCTGCAATGTTAATAGGGGTCTCTTTTTTCCTTGCTTTTGCTCAGTAAGCTTAGCATTTTTTTTTCATCATTCAAAATATATGTAAGGCTTTTAAGGTTGCTATTTCACATTTTCTTCCAGTGATACCTATTAATCCACCCACACTTCACATTCCACATTTGAATCATTAATTTGACTGTAAATCACCTCGGAAGAAAATTTCTCATGCTGGGTAACTGGATCTTAGCAATGAAAGTCATCAGGAAGCTCATGAGAGAGGGAGGAGAGACCCACTCTTCTTTCCAGCTCTCCCTCTTGCCCTCTCTCTGACCTGGGATATATGCCCTTTCTTCCTTTCTTTTTAGTGTTAATTTTGGTCATTTCTATGGTTTGAATATTTTCTACAAAATTCATGTCGAATTTTGTGACAGCATTAAGAGGTGGGACCTTTAAGAGGTGATTAGATCATGAGGGCTCTGCCTTCATGAATGGATTGGTACCATTGTCGTGAAAGTGGGTTAGTTATCTTGGGAACGGGCTCCTTACAGAAGGATGAAATCCAGCCCTCATTTTTCTCTCCACCTTGGTGCTCTCTTGCCCTTCCACCATGTTATGACACAGCACAGAGATCCTGGCAGGATGCCAGTGCCATGCTCTTGAACTTCCCAACCTCCGGAACCATAAGCCATATAAACTTCTATTCTTACAGATTCCCAGTGTATGGTATTCTATTATAGCAGCAGAAAATGGACTAAGACATTTGTCAAGTCACCAAAATAGGGACAATCATACATCAAAATAAAAAATCTACAATGGAACTTTAGAGATCATCTAATTCATGGGTGTCTGTCCTAACTATGCTTTAGAATCATCTGGGAATTTTTAAAAATTCTGGTGTTTGGACCATGCCCATAGCACCCATAGCAAATAAATCCACACTGAGGTGGGGAGGCACTAGTATTTCTTTATAACTGTCCAGCACACAGCCACAGTTGAGTATCCCTGCTATAGCTCACTCCTCTCACTTGATAGACAGGGAAGCTGCTATTCAGGGCCAGAGTTGGGAACAGAACTCCTGTTCTTAGCAGGTGTATCAGCTAAGAGAGCTTCTCAGACCTGCTTCTGTGAACTTGCTACAGTTGGTGACTTATCACCCCCAGGACTCCATGCTAACTCTTGCTACTGGTAGCACTCACTTGGATTCATTACTGCAGTTGCCTCCTAACTGTGCTCCCCACTTTACCCTCACCCCTCTGTCTACCGTCCTGCACACAGCAGCAAGACAATCTTTCAAGTCATAAATTCAATCCCTTCACTCTCTGGCTCTATAATCACATGTAGATTAAAGCCCAGCGTCTTCACCATGGTCCACAGACCCTTTGTGATCTGGCCCATGACCATGTCTCTGACCCCATCTCCCCTCTTCTTTTCCCTCCACACACATTCTCTTTTTACCATGCCTTTCATGAGCTGAGGCTGTTCCTGCCTCAGGACCTTTGCTCTTGCTGTTCCCCCAATCCAAATGCACCTCCTGCAGTATTTACATGGCCACCTCCTAGCTTTATCTGGGTCCCTTTTCAAATGTTACCTCCTCAGGGACACTGTGTCCAGGGTCCCAAGTCCACCCTCAGCTTTGGGGATTCATTGGAAGGACTCCTGGGGCCGTACTCATGGCTGTGATTTATTACAGTGAAAGGATTTAAGCACAGTCAGCAAGGGGAAAAGGTGCATGGGGGATCCATGGGAAACCAGGCCCAAGCTCCCAAGAGTCTCTTCCCATGGAGCCACACAGGAGGCCTTTAATTCTTCCAGCAATGAGTTGAGACAGCACCTATGAAGTGTTGTCTATCAGGGAAGCTCATCAGAGGCTCAGCACCCAAGTTTTTACTAGGGACTGGTGACATGCATATCCTCTACCTGGTAAGTATCAAAATCCCAGACTCTGAGAAGGCAAGTGTATGTCTGGACCTGCGTCTGCATAGAAAATATTGTGCAAAAAGCCTGTGCACATTGAGAACCACTCTTATCATTTAGGGAAATTTTTTATTAACATAGAAAACCACTTACCAGCCAGGTTCCCAGACGTCAGCCAAGGGCCAACCTTGCAAGGAGCCTTTCCAAGGAAAGCAGTCTCTGGTCTGCTGTGTTAACTTTTCTGTGCAGATGCCTGCCTTATCCATTGGAAATAAAATAGTGGTTCTCCATTTCTCTTTATCTCCCCAAATCTTGTCCTTACCACTCTTACTATTGCCTGTTATGTGTGCATGTGTTTATACATATATTGGCACACATACGTACACTGTGAAACTATTTGCCTTGTAACACCTTCTCTGCAGTGTAAGTCCCATGAAGGTGAGGGTTGAGTTTGCTCACTGCTGTATTCCCAACACCTAGCACTTAATAGATAGGCTGGGGAGAGCTTATCATGGCATGAGAGCCAATGGTGTGCCTTTCTTGCCAAATCCAAGTTCGGTGGCATCACCAGCATTGACTGAAACAAGTCACAGTGATGGTATTTATACTACAGAACTTGGAAAATGCTACAAATTAGCGAGCTTTTATTTTTTATTTTTTGTTTCCAGATAGCAGGCTTATTAGCACACTATCTGTAGGCATATAGAAATACATAGTGAATGATGGACTCGTTGTACCATTATTTACTTTGTTTCCTTAAATTGACTTTTTAACTGCAATGAGCTTATTAAACGATACTTGTGCCTTTACACCACAGTAAATGAAAAGCCACGTCTCTTGCCAATGATGCATATCTAATCATGGTCGATTCCACAGAAACATTCAGGGACCCAGGCTGATGAAGCCTCCACTGTCTTGGGCACACTTATCTCAAATGTGGATTCTGTGCTTACTGGAGTAGGGAAGAGACAACCAGAGGGTAGCCCAGGGGCTCTGGGGCCAGGCCTGGAAGTAGTTTCTATCAGTTTCATCAATAGCTCATTGATTAGAAGTGAGGCACATGATCCCCAACCTAGCTGGAGGGGAGACTTCACAATGCTATCTTCCCGTGTGCCTAGCTGTATAATTTCCTATTGCCGCTGTAAGAAATTGCCACAAACTTAGTAGCTTAAAACAGCACAAGGCCAGGCACGGTGGCTCATGCCTGTAATCCCAGCACTTTAGGAGGCCAAGGCAGGCAGATCATCTGAGGTCAGGAGTTCGAGAGCAGCCTGGCCAACATGGCAAAACCCCGTCTCTACTAAAAGTACAAAAATTAGCCAGGCACGGTGATGGGTGCTTGCAATCCCAGCTACTCAGGAGGCTGAGGCAGGAGAATCGCTCGAACCAGGGAGGCGGGGGTTGCGGTGAGCCGAGATCACGCCACTGTACTCCAACCTGGGCGACAAGAGCGAGACTCCATCTCAAAACAAAAACAAAAACAGAAACAAAAAACAAAAAAATAGCACAAATGTATTACCTTACAGTTCTGCAAGCCAAAAGTCCAAAGCCACTCTCCCTGGGATAAAGTACAGGTGTCAAATGGATTGTGTCTTTCTAGCATCTTTAGGGGAGAATCTGTTTCCTTCTTTTCTTCCAGCCTTTAAAGCCACCCATGTTCTATGTCTCCTGTTTCTTTCTTCCATCTTCAGTACCTGTAGCATTCGTCTTCAAATCTCTCTCATGGGATGGGCTTCCAACCTTCGTCATCAAGGATAGTTGTACCACAGCAAATGAAGAGCAGTGTTGCTTGCTCAAGGTGCATATCTAATGATAGTCGGCTCTACAGAAACATTCAGGGACCCAGGCTGATGAAGCCCCCGCTGTCTTGGGCATAGTCATCTCAAATGTGCCTTCTACTCAAACGTGGCATCTCCTCCTCTGACTCTGACTTTCCTGTCTCCTTCTTATAAAGTCCCTGGTGATGTTATTGGACCCACCCAGATAATACAGAGTAATCTCCCCCGTCTTGACATAATCACATCTGCAAAGTTCCATTTAAGGGGTAAGTGACATAGTCACCGGTTCTGGAATTCATTAGAATATGGACATCTTGGTAGTGGAGGGCAGGCGTTATGCAGCTTGGCACACTTGGAAAAGGAAAACCACATTGTATTTTGTGTCTCTGTCCACCTTTGTCATCAAGGGATGGTAACTCCATTGTGCTGGCTCCTGGCATGGACAGAACTGACCACAGCTTCAATAAAAGGGCTACTTTGAGAGACGAGATGTTGACAGGATTAAAGAAGATAAGAAGGACTGTGAGGTATCCAGAGACCAGCAACAAGAGGGGCTGTTAGCCCTGTGAGCAAGGGTCGGGACAAGGTCAGGGAGCTGCATCACAGACCCCAGTGAGGACAGAGCCATGGAGGAAGGACTGTTGGCAGCAGCTGAGATTTCTGGGGTCTGCAATGGTGGCCAAAACCTCAGGAGGGGAGAGAAATATCCGACCTCTTTGTCCGCTAGTCCTGTGACAGCCTGCTGGTTCCTCTCATTGGCCACACCCAACTGGAAGCCAGAGAGCAAAGGGCCTGGGTGATGCATCAATAGAGGACGGCTTCCTGGGTGCAGAGCAGGGCGGAGGAGGGGCAGAGAGAGCGACTGCATGGACAGACAGAGCTACCAACATGGTCACTGAAAACCAGTCCCAGAACGCAGAGGTACTAAAGAGCTGGCTGCTATTGTCTAGACAAAATGCCGAGCTTCTCCATCTTCTGTTATATGAAAGATTAGCAAATGTCGGGGAAGCATTAAAAACATATTAGCACGAAACTGTAACGTTCTCCTAGACTTAAACAGAGTGACGGAAAAGTAATTGAAAAGGGATTTTTATTTCCTATCAGTCCATGTTAAGCCGTTTCCAGAGACCACTTAAATTCATCTCACTTACCTGGCACAGAGGGTCATTGGAAATAGCCAGGATCGGCCGGGCACAGTGGCTTACACCTGTAATCTCAGCACTTTGGGAGGCTGAGGTGGGCGGATCACTTGAGGTCAGGAGTTCAAGACCAGCCTAGCCAACATGGTGAAACCCCATCTCTACTAAAAATACAAAAAAATTAGCTGGATGTGGTGTCATATGCCTGTAGTCTCAGATACTCGGGAGGCTGAGGCAGGAGAATCTCTTGAATCTGAGAAGCAGAGGTTGCAGTGAACTGAGATCACACCACTGCACTCCAGGCTGAGTGACAGAGCAAGACCCCATCTCAAAAAAAAAAAAAAAGAAAAAAAGAAAAAGGAGCCAGGATTGATGAAAACAACCAGGAATATGGTCATCACTCTGGTTCTCCAGCAGGACCATGATTCACAGAGCCACAGTGCTCACCTTGGGGACCCAGCAGGTTTGACATTGAGAAAGGCCGACGGAGCCTGGATAGAAGCCAGTTACACCTAACACAACTGGGAGAAGCAGCTTAGGTCTGTGTCCTGGTGTCCAGAATCCCAATCCAGAGACAGAGGACTAGGCCTTTCTGTAATCTCCAAGAAGATGTTCAGTGTTCTTCGCCTTCTCCCATCTTAGAATTCCAGTGCTGGGGTTCGATTTGGGAAAGCCGTGGGAATTTCACACCGATGTGACGGGGGCTTGCAGCAGGCCCAGGTTGGGGTGGCACCAGCTAGGGGAAGAGTGACAGGCAGTCGGCATTTCGACTTGTACCAGAGGCACAGCCACGAGCCAGTGGCTCCCTTGGCCCAACCCGGATAGGTTCTGACAACAGATTGTGTGTCTGCAGCAGCCTGCGCTTCAGGAGCCCACAGTTTCTCATTGGAAAGGAGGAGTTAGGAAACTAATGGCTTATTGATATGGGAGAAGGGAAAATTGATAAGATTAGTGACAGGAAAAGCAGCGTGGGACCTAAGTAGGTTTTCTGTCATATGGGCTCTTGGGCACTCCACCTCCAACACACCCACCATTTAGCTGGCCACAGCAGTGAGGCAGGGAACTGCAAAGTGACTGAAATTAAGTTTACTCCATGCTGCAGGATTAAAATTTACATGGGCAATTAAGTTGTGGTTATAGACAAATTAAGAAGATTGGGTTTCCCGGGACCCACATCTGAGAAGTAGGCTTTATACCTTCTGCATAGGAGGTATGGCCAACTGGCTGGTGATGGGTGGGAGAGCCCGCTTGGAAGCTGGCTGGCCGGATGTGCTCTCTAATGGGATGGATTTGCTGGGGTCGGTTCTCTGGGATTAGGCCCATGGGTGATACCCCCAGGACTCTGTTCAGAGGGTCCGTACATGCAGGATCCACATGGGGCAGAGCTTCTGCTTGTCTGCCTCCCATGCCCCTATGGTCATCTGTCATTGAAGCCCCCAGCAGGCAGTCCTGGACCCCAGGTTCTCAGAGGAGATCAACGGGAAGGCTCAGGGAGAGGACGGGCTTGGTGAGGACGGGCTGCTCACCTAGAGCGCCAGCAGCACATCCTCTGCCCACTGGCCCCTCCCAGGTGACCCCGGGAGCTAGTTTCAAGGACCTTCTAGCATTGGTGAAGCTTCCCCGTTCTGGGCAGGAGCATAATTAGGTTCTTGTTTGTATCACCACAATGTGGGTATTTCTGGGCACCAAGAGAAAGACCCCGTTAAGGCATCCCACCCTTTTTTGCATCCCATAAAATTCAGCACAAAGCACATCCAGATAGGACCCTCTTGTGGTTGGATTCCTTGGTGGACAGGCAGTCCTGGACGTGGATCTGATGACTTGGTGATGAGAGGGAACACCGGGCCAGCCTCCTGAAGTCACGAGTGGCTATCCTTTGTAACGGTACAAGTAGGATGAAAACACACGTGCCCACCTTCCCTCATGGCCCCATGTCCCTGAACTCTACCCCTTTACTCACTTATCACCCTCAAAAACCCCTCCCCAATACCTATCCTAACTGAATGCCAATGTCCGGCTCAAATGCCATGTCCTCAGGGGACTTCTCTGCACCTGTGGTCCCTCCACACGCAGATGCGGCCCCATCTTCCCCTGCAGTGATTCCTCACCTCTGAAGCCATGACCTGGCTGTCAGCTCCTGGAGGGCAGTGCCCATGGTGTAGAATACCTTTCTACCTCCTTCAGCTGGGCAGACTGCCTTCCCTCAGGCTGGGAGGCCACTCAGTTCATCTCTGTTAGATGAGTTGATTATTGATTTATAGGTGATTAATGATTATTGATTATTGATACGTTGATTATCATCTCTGTGGAATCCCAGATCTAGAAGTGAGAAAGCATCACAGTGCTTTGTTAAGCAGATTCTCTCTGTTCATTGCTGGCAGAAATTCGGAGACGATGACTGGGGAGGTGTGTCTGGAGTGGAGGTCTAATGTAGGAGGTACATCTGCAGCCCCTTTCTGTAAACCAGATTGTGCCAACGTCTCCCTAGACGGCCCAGCCACGGCACTGTCATCATTTCAGAGCAAGCATAGGTAACCTCCGTATCTTAACATTCACAAAATGATGAACAGGCTGCCTTTGAAAGTAATTCAATCAGAAGAATTTTTCAGCTTTTTAAGACTTTGGCAAATTGTTGGCATTACTTATATTCATTTTTTCCAGTATTTACTGAAGAAAATGCTCCAACCAAGCAATACTGGGCAGGTTCTAGAATCCTTAAGTGAGTGAGTGCAAATGTTGAATATTTAGGAATCAGTCAGAATGGGAATGTTCTGCCTCTCCGTGAATTTCTTGAGTAATGACTGAAAGGTAGAGTGTATAAGAATAACACATTTTCTGGTCCATCCGTGTGAGTTACTAGGAATGTTGCTGTGTCACTCCAGTATTTTATTTGAGTTTAGAACTTTGTTGTAATTAGCCTGACACCAGGGAAAGACACCATTCCTGCGTGCAAGGTTTTATTGATTATTTAGAAACCACATTTCTAAATAATGGTGTGTTGTGTGTCTGACATGAATCCCTTCCACGCTTAGGGCAACTCCGAGACTTGGTTCTATCAGAACGTTTACTGTATTCTTGATCTTGAGTCTTTAATGGCCCGCTTGAGATTTTTATTTTAAAGCGGAATAAGGCACCCAGATCACTCATAAAATTTGAATGGCAAATTCCAGCCGTTAAATAGCTTTGAAGAAGTCAGTAAACAAACAAGTGAGCCACAAAAGCCCTATTTTTAAGAGACTCTCCTAAGCTTAGAACCAGATATTTTCTCTGTCAGGGTGAAATAAACTTGTCACAGAGAGGCATAACATTTAATCAAAAGTTTAAGGTGATGATGGTTACTGTCTAAAGCAAATGCTTCACTGCGGAGCTGAAGGCCCTGAAATAGGCACTTTCTGGTCGAATAACTAATTTACTGACTCATTTTCAAAGTGTCTCAGCTACCTGATGTTTATGGAATTCAGCACTTACAGAAGAGTTTTCCATATGGGAAACAATTGGCCATTTCTCAAGGCCAGAAATGTGTCCCGTGTGATTCAGTGTCTCCCTAGAAAAATAAACAGGGTTTCCCTGCATCTGTCACTCATATGAATTCAGAACTTTATAGACAGGAGCTACTGACAGATAAATCATTTTCTTATTGTGCTGTACAAGCACAGTATGCCTCTAGTTCTGTTGTATTTAGATTCCAGAATATTTTTTTCCATTCAAGGAAATGTATTTTTATATTACTGAGCTGAATTGGATGTAACAATTTTCACCTCTTTATTTTTTAGGTTACCTCTGGAGTATGCAGGCAGCTTTGGATAGGTTTGTTTTGTTTTGTTTTTTTGAGACAGGGTCTCACTCTGTCACCCAGGCTGTAGTGTAGTCGTGCGATCTCGGCTCACTGCAGCCTCCACCTCCTGGGCTCAAGTGATTCTCCCACTCAGCCCCCCAAGTAGCTGGGACTACAGGTACAGGAATGCGCCACTACACCCAGCTTTTTTTCTTTTTTTTTTTTTTTTCATTTTTTTTGTAGAGAGGAGGTCTCGCCATGTTTCCCAGGCTGGTCTCAAACTCCTGGGATCAAGCAATCTGTCTGCCTTGGCTTCCCAATGTGCTGGGATTACAGGCATGAGCCACCATACCCCGCCCATGGGTGGCTTTCTTATTAAGATAGATGATCATTTCTGAAAATATTAGTATTAATAATATACTAACTAAAACGTATTGAGCATCACATGGAATAACTTGTGTAATTCTTCCAACAACTGTGTGAGGCAGCTACTGTTGTTATCCCCATATTATAAATGAAGAAATTGAGGATAAAAATGGTTAAATGATTTGCCCAAGCTACACAGCTAGTAAGAGGGAAAGCCGGCAAATGGCTCTGCTGGGTTATCATTTTTTTAACCTATAAAATGAGGATAATAAAACACCACAGTATCATGGTGAGCATTGAATAACATAATAAATCAAAGTGTCTGACATTTGCAAAAACCCAGTAAATATCACTTTCTTCCTTTTTCTCCCCACTTTCTCCATAAAAGGCCTTCATAAGTAAACCAATTTCCAAAAAGACCAAAATATAAACGTGTGAAGCTACATCAGAAAGAATAAAATAAGGACAACTGGCCAGTAAAGGTTTTATTGACTTTAACTGGGAAGAAAGCTTTCATGGTAACATGGGCACCAGACGTGAATGTTTTGTTAGGCGTCAGCTCGTTCCTCCATGTCCTCTGGGGAGCCCCCTTCCCCTCCCCTCCCTGGACCCTGCAGTGGTCCAGGGACATGGGTGAGACTGAGTCCATCCCCAGGGTCAGGTGGGCATGTGACCCAGCCTTGGTGACCCAGCCTGGCCACTTTGCCTGTTCCATCTCCCTGACCACTGCAATTGGCTTAATATTGCACACAGGACCCAGTTTGGGCTAATGATCATCAGCCCCCAGATCTGAATCTCTTTAAGGGAAAGAAGACTTCGTTTTCACTGGACTTGTCCTTGGCAGGGGCAGGGGATCAACCTGGAGCTGCTCAGGGGCCCTAGCAGGAGTGAGCTACCCTCATAAGAAATCCATTGATTTTGAAGGAAATCTCTGCAGCTAACACACAACGCACCTTCGTGTTGATTAGAAATAATTGTCCTTGTATCCAGGCCAGTGCAGTCTCATGGCGACCAGCACGGCTCACTGACCGGAATGTAGACTGGACTTCAGCTCCACCAGCACGAGCGCACTTGAGACATTCACAACTTGAACAACCGTACATGACAGCCCTGCGAGGGCCACAAGAGATGGCATTGCTAGAGTTCTTGGATCCTAAGTTTTGACACCTCTGGGTCTTTTAGATTTTGATAAAACCAACAATTTTATTAAATATTTTATTTTATTAAATATGTTAACTATTTTATTATTTTAATTTAATAAAATATTAAAATTTAAAAAATTATTTTTCCAGGGAGACATTGAATCACACTGGACACATTTCTGTGGGCCTCATATTCTGTGTTTCCCATATTCTGTGTTTCCCATATTCTGTGTTTCCCATACGGAAATATTTATTAAATATTTTATCAAAATATGATTTTATTAAATATATTATTAATGTTAAATATTTTTATTAATTTTATTAAAATTTTATTAAATAAATTTCTAATTTTTAAATTGCTTAGATTTTCTGCCAGTTTTTACCCAAAAAAAGGCAAATGAAGTAGCAACATTTATGAAATACTTGGAATGTCATTTCTGTGTAACTTCAGTGCAGACTTTTAAAGAGACACATGAAGAATCCATGTGTCAAATATGAAAGAGAGCACAGAATGACGATGTCACATCACTTAAGAAGCAGAACACACCCTTCTTTTTAGAATGTAGATTAAATTTCTTCATCTGTACACAGAGAAATGGCCTTCCTGGATTAAGACGGGTGTGCTTCCCTTGCAGGGCTGTCGTGTACGGTTGTTCAGGTTGTGCATGCCTCAAGTGCGCTTTGTGCTGGTGGAGCTGAGGGCCAGTCTACATTCTGGTCAGGGAGCTGTGCTGGTCGCCATGAGACTGCACTGGCCTGGATACAAGGACACTTATTTCTAATCAACATGAAGGTGGGTTGCATGTTAGCCACAGGCCTGGCACAACTCCACCTCAGCGTTGGCCTGCACCATTTCTACCTACAGACGCTAAATGTGTTTCCCCACAAATTCCTATGACCATGAAGATGGGTGCCACTGTTCGTTTATAGTTGTCTTCTAGATTCGTTTTCTATTGGTTCTGTAGCAAATCACCACAAACTTAGTGGTTTAACCCAACCCACATTTTTTATCTCATAGCTTTGTAGGTCCCGGCTCCACTCCTACCTCCCTCTTCCACTCTTAAGCACCCTTGCAGATTACAATGAGCCCACCTAGATAATCCAGGATAATCCTCTTGTTTTATTTTCCTGACTTAGTCCCATCTGCAAAGTCCCCTTTGCCATACAGGATAACTTACCCACAGGTTCCTGGGATTAGGACGTGGATGTCTTTGAGGGACCCTTATTCTACCTACCACACCACTCTTAGGAAATCTGGTCAATTATATTAGGATTCATTTTGGCGTTTCTAATTTCTGGGCTAAATTCAGTGCACCTTGTAGGTCAGCTGTGGTTTCCAAAGAGACGCATGTTCTAATTTAACTACTTGTTCAGAGAGAGTTGCCCTGACCCTCACAGGCGTTCCCACGTGTTCTCTTGACTTCTGAAGCCCTTTTCACAGGCTGTTTGCTGATGGGAACCTCATTGACCTTTCCAAGGAACTGAGCCAGAGCATGTGCCTGAGCAGATCTGATCCATCATCGGGGACTCCCTTGCATACAGGAGATTGGGCCATTTCCCAGGCGGCATTGTTTTCCTTCTGTCCAAGTTTCATCTCTTTAAAATTGCACTCAAACCACACTTCAGACTGCAAGTCTGAAGCTACTCAGAATAGAAAAGCAGTTCCTGAAATTCCCCCAGATTCTGCCTTTCTCTGGAGTTAGGAGACTTTAGGACGATGCACGTGAAAAAGTGAGATTTATCTACCGCTTTCTACCTGGACGCCTATTGGTCCAGTTTTTCAGAGGACTTTTGTTTAGGTTGATCGTCTACAGCCTCCTGCAGTCGCTAGCCTCGTGACCCTCTCTGCGTGGCAATGCGTGTGGCCTTAACTGCAGGTCCCTGATGGGCCCCAGTGGGTAATTCAGTGACGTGCAGCCGTGCCTGGCAGGAGAGAGCTCAGTGAGACTCCTAGCGTCATAGCCTAGGCTTGGACACTTGAAGATGCCACCAGCGTCTCCTCTTCCTCTTTGCTAAAAGATGATATTCACAAAAAGGTAAAATCATGAATCTCATATAGATGTAAATAAGCATATGTGAACTTTGTTATTTAACTCATTAATCGAGGACATCAGACAGATGTTATAACATATTCAAAGGAGAAGTCGAAGAGGCACAGATTTCCGTGGAGTAAAGGAACGTTGAATTGCACATGTGCAGGTTGATCCCACCCTGTACAGGTGGGTTATCCCTGTACCAGATAGAAATGATTTGCATGACTATAGGCAAGAATCACTTTGAATTGGTATCGGTTATCTACAGAGTCTTAACTCCCATACAATCAGAACTGGAAAACTTAGAAAGGTGTGCATCAGTTTTCACTGAAGCACAGATTTTTCCTTCATTCTCTCCTGGTAAATAAACTCTCCTCTGAACCACCCGTGAAACGATAAGGCACCTCTGACCTTTTTCCTGATCCTGAGTTGGCCTTGGACCTCAGCATGAACTTGGCCTGGGGAAGGTAGCTGCTTGGTATCATTTCCGTTGTGTGATTTGTCCCTTCTCTCTCCTCCTGCTCATGCTCCTCTTCCTCCTCCCCTTACCTTTCTCTGTCTCTCTTACATTTGTTCAGGAACTATGGCATATTGATTGCATCCCTCAAAATGACTTTGCCCTTAGAAAATGGGGAAGGAAAAAAGTTGTTTTGTGGATTTCTTTAAGCTGTTAAATCCCTAAACAAATTAAACATTAATATAAACCATTTTTAAAAAATTATGAGATGTAACACTCTACTAGTTTTAATATAAAACAGCTTAATGAAGTTCTTTCCCTGCATACTGATTGCCTGATGGGGGTGAGGATGGGGAGCGGCTTACGCATTGTTAGGCTGGAGACGAGATAAAGTCAGCGCTCTGTGTCCAAACTGCACCCTCCTCACTAGACTTTGTCTCAATGGGCTTTCAGGGAGATTCCGCATTGGTGACATTCCCAAGGGCAGGCCTGTGGGCTTCCGACCGTGAGACAGAACTCTGAGTTATTTTCTTCAATGACTTTTCCTTTATCCATTCATTTCTAAAATTTCTTTCCCGGATTTATTGAGTTATAATTAGCCTCAATAAAATAAAAATTGTATATATTTACAATGTACAGTGTGATGTTTTAGTATGCATATACACTGTGAAATATTACCAAAATCAAGCTGATTATTATGATCTGATACTTTAGCAGATGGCAAGTATATGATACATGTTAGTCTGTCTACTGCAGTCTCTATGCTGTACATTAGCGGTCCAGGACTGTTTCCTCCTGCATGGCTGGAAGCTTGTACTGTTTGACCAACACCTCCCCACTTTCCCACCTGTGTTGTTCAAACCCTGGCCCAGTGTCCATCTGTGCCCTGGCATTGTCCTGCAGCCCGAATGACAGTCTTGAATGAGGCAATTCAAATCTCTGCTTCCACTGACCCGTTAAAGGGGGGTCTGCAGATTTTACTCAAGAAAAAAATAGAAAATACCATTTCAGATGTGAATAAACTAACCAGGGCATATGGCAGAAGGAGGAAGGGTTACTTCAGTGGTCATGGAGTGCTGCTCTGGGGAGGGGCCATTTGTGTTGAGACTGGATGAGGTGAAAGAGCTCAAGCTGCAAGGGGCCTGGGGATGGGCACTCCAGGTGCAGGAAACAGCCAGTGCAAAGGCCCCGGGGGCAGGACTGAGTTCAGTGCACGTGAGGAAGAGGATGAAGAGCAGTGTGGTTGGAGGGAGGTAGGCAAGGGCAGGATGCCACAGTCAGAGGTGCTTCCTCCCGTGGACTTTGTCTATCACCTTACCTGGGGTCCCAAAGGTGCCACTAAATCCATCTATGTTCTCTCAACAGTTTCGAGGTGAGTTTCTAGACCTAGGAATGCATTAGGACTTGATTCTCAAAGCAGGGTCCCTGGACCAGCCACATCGGCATCACTTGTTAGAATGCAAATTCTTGAGTTCCACCCAAACCTGCTGAACAGAAGCTCTGGGGGTGGGGCCCAGCCACGGCAAGCCTGCTGGGTAGATGAGTCACATGTAGGCCAATGTTGGAGAAGCACTGAACTCAGTGGAGACCAGAAGGTTTTTGTCTCTGTGTTTGTTTCTTTGCAATCTCACAGATGGTGGCTGGGACTCACACACCTGCCTCTCACCCACAGTTACCAGCTGAGTTCATCAGTGCAGCTGTGAAATCTGTAGGTAAAAGCTCAAGCAAGACACACAAGGTGAGGATGAGACCAAAGCTGCTCATCAGATTGTCTGCTGTGTCTGGCTGGTTATGGTTTAAGAAAAAAAAGTTGCCTTGGATTTGTTTTCCCTCCTCCTTCCCAAAACACACAAAGCTCCTTTGCATACACTACTTGAGGTAATCTTGCAATTTTTATTAAAAAAAAAAACAACAAAAAACCAAAAATCTGAGATCAGAGAGACCTACATTTAAGCAACAAAAACATTCTTCTGCAAATGGATTTTTATATATTTGTGCAGTCAGGTATCCATGTTTACATACTACTCTGTACAGAAATTGGCTTGAATAGTGTTTCTCACACTTGAGCACATATCAGACTCTTGGGATATTGTTAAAGCAAATATTTTGGAGGTTGGGCCCCTAGAGCATCTGAATCAGTGGGTCTGGGGAGGGGCCTGAGAATGTGCATCCTAGCGCGTTCCCAGGTGCTGCTGCTACTTGTGTGAAGGTCACACACGAAGATCTCGTGGCTTGAACATAGTTCCCCAAAATAGGACTCTGTCTTAAAGTCAGGGTTAGGCTCAGCTGTGAGTGACGAGGCTGCTAAGTAACAGTGGCTAAATCGGAGTAGAAATTCCTTCTCTCACGTAAGCATCCAGGCTCCCATGATGGCACTAAGGTCACTTGGGTTGGCAGCCCCTTTCTGTCTTATCACTCTTCTTTTCTCAACATAAGCCTCCCTCCTCAAAGTCTGAGACGTTCCTTCTGGCTGCAGCTGTCCAGTCTGCTTCCTACACAGCAGGAAGGAAGAAAGCGAAGGAGAGGACGCAGCCCACAGCTATCCCACCCACTCGCTTTTCAGATCTTCCAGACACCATGCTGCCCACATCCCATTGACTAGAGACGTCCAGTATGGTAGCCACTGGTCATATGTGGCTCTTCAAATTCAAGCTTGAATTAATTGAAATTTAAAAGTCAGTTTCTTGGTAGCGCCAGCCATACTTTCAGTGCCCAGTAACCACTGGTGGTGCGTGGCCCCGTTCCACTGCACTGCACAAAGACATTTCAGGAGCGCAGCAAGCTCCACCAGGCAGTGATGGAGGTGGCCACTCCCACCTGCAAGGGAGACTTGGAAATGTAGCTCTTCCCCTAATTAAAACTTGAGTTCTATTGTTAAGAAGAAAGATAAAGATCGGTTGCAGTGGCTCACGCCGGTAATCCCAGCACTTTGGGAGGCTGAGGCGGGCAGATCACGAGCTCAGGAGATCGAGACCATCCTGGCTAACATGGTGAAACCCCGTTTCTACTAAAAATACAAAAAATTAGCCAGGCATGGAGGTGTGAGCCTGTAATTTCAGCTACTTGGGAGGCTGAGGCAGGAGAATCGCTTGAACCTGGGAGGCAGATGTTGCAGTGAGCCGAGATCACGCCATTGCACTCCACTCTGGGTGACAGAGTGAGACTCCATCTCAAAAAAATAATAATAACAATAATGATAATAAAATAATAAAGATGAAAACATATTGTGCGGAGTAGCTTTTTGTTCCTGCCACAGAGCCCTGCCAAGGGTATTTACTAAATAAGAAATAACCTGAGGATGTACTGGAGACTTTCCCAGATGCTCCACAAGGTGGTTTCCAACTCTGGGGCTCAACATTCAGGAAGCCCTCGACTTCTCTCACTTTTAGCACAACCCTGGGACTTTGATCCAAAGGACACTATCAACTTTTACCTGTTATAGTCCTATTTTCATTCATTATACACATGGATTTTTTATAATCCTTTATATAATAT
Organism: Homo sapiens; assembly: GCF_000001405.40. NCBI lineage: Eukaryota > Metazoa > Chordata > Mammalia > Primates > Hominidae > Homo > Homo sapiens. Next base: position 129,711,819 of record NC_000012.12, on the reverse strand, counting down.
ATAATGTAAATATATAATATATATTTATAATATGAATATATAATAATCCCACATCCTTTATATAATCCCATCCTTTTTTTTTTTTTTTTTTGGAGATGGAATTTCGCTCTTGTTGCCAAGGCTGGAGTGCAATGGCGCGATCTCGGCTCACTCCAACCTCCACTTCCCGGGTTGAAGTGATTCTCCTGCCTCAGCCTCCTAAGTAGCTGGGATTACAGGCCTGCGCCACCATGCCCGGCTAATTTTTTGTATTTTTAGTAGCTATGGGGTTTCACCATGTTGATCAGGCTGGTCTCGAACACCTGACCTCAGGTGATCCACCCGCCATGGCCTCCCAAAGTGCTGGGATTACAGGCGTGAGCCACTGTGCCTGGCCTATATAATCCCATGTTTAAACAACCGCCCATTTGAGCAGGCTGAGTGCTTTCCACCTGGAACCTGATTGATAGCGCTGCTGGGAGCGGAGAGGAGTTCAGATTCTAGATATATTTATCACATAGAGCCAAGAGCTTATGTTGTGGATTGTACACAGATGTGAAACGCAGAGAGGAGCCATGCATGGCGCCAAGGTTTTGGCATGTGATACCGGAACAACGGAAGTTGCATTTTCTGAGCTGGGACATCGGTGAGAAGAGAGGTTTTAGGGGGACCAATGCAAGTGTATTTAGGGGGCCAATGAAGCGTTACATTTCAAGTTTTGGATGCTTGTGAGATCTCTGAGGGAAGGTGCTGAGAAGGACGAGGGATTTTTTAGTGGAGGTTGAGGAAGAGTTCCAGTCTGGAGATGCAAATCGAAGCCTAGAGAGTGGATATGGTTACCCAGGGAATGCGCGTGGGTAGGGGAGAGGCAGCGTGCACACCGAGGCTAAACACAGCCGGGGAATGCGCGTGGGTAGGGGAGAGGCAGCGTGCGCACTGAGGCTGAACACAGCCGGGGAATGCGCGTGGGTATGGGAGAGGCAGCGTGCGCACTAAGGCTGAACACACTGACATTGAGAGGAGGCGGCGGAAGGGAAGAATACCAAGGTGCGAAGCCTGAGGGGAGAGGAGCATGGCTGCGGGCTTTCAAGTGTTCGCCTCTTTCTGGACCTAGTTTGTCTTACATTCAAGTTTTAAAAGTGATCCTAAGAAAGACACTCCGAAATGCCTTAAGTGTTTGCAATAAAATAGATAAAATAAATAGGCAAGAGATATTTTGCATAATGTTTTTCCAATTAAATAATCGGCGGGGCACGGTGCTCATGCCTGTAATCCCAGCAGCTTAGGAAGCCGAGGTGGGTGGATCACCTGAGGTCGGGAGTTCGAGACCAGCCTGGCCAACATGGCAAAACCCCGTCTCTACTAAAAATACAAAAAATTAGCCAGGTGTGGTGGCAGGCACCTGTAATCCCAGCTACTTGGGAGGCTGAGGCAGGAGAATCACTTGAACACGGGAGGTGGAGGTTGCAGTGAGCCGAGATTGCACCATTGCCCTCCAGCCTGGGTGACACAGTGAGACTCTGTCTCAAAAATAAATAAATAAATAAATAAATAAAAATTAATAATGACCATTAGCGATAATGGGAAAATTTAAAGGAAAACACAACACTTAGGAAGAAAATTAACACCCCAAATCCCACCAGGTGGATACAACTATTATTCATGGTTGCTATACTTCTCTTCAGTTTTTCCTTTATGTGGGTATACTGTATACATTTCATTGATTCTGAGACTTTCTTTTCATACGTGCTATCTCTGAAATGAGAATATGTCTTAAAATTTATGATCTTTTCACATTTCTTTTGTCCTGAAATTACTTGGGATTCAGTTCATTTGCTAGGGCTGGTCATAAATGTTCATGTCTTAAGCACTTCTATATGTAAATGCTTTTAAAATAAATTTTCAATGAGTATAAAGTAAAAATTCTAAGAGATTACAATTTTTGTGTCATAGCTCAGCCTCTTAGTGGTACATAAAATAATGGTTTACTTTAAAATTAATAGGATCTGAGATTCTATGAAATATGATATACATTTTTGTGTTATAAGCTAAACATCCTCTTTCTTTATTCAGTCAATAATAATTTATGTGATATCTGCTTCAGGCCACTAGGTCAAACCTCCTACTGAGAACAAGTAGAAAAGCTGAAGAATACGACAACAAAAAAACATGCATTAAAGGCATTAGAGAGCTTTGGAGGCACACAGGATATTAAAAATCCAAGACGTCAGGAGGAAGGAGGCACACTCCGGTGAATCCAACATTCTGAGATGTTTTCCTTTGGGAACCTTTTGCTTCTACTTCTTTGGTGCGAAGCAAAGAAATTCAGAATCTGAGGAGAAGGTGGTAGTTAAGAGGATGCTGAACAGAGTTTTTTACAGTCTCATAAGACAAAAATTGTAGTTTATTTTCTACCAAGAAATAGATTTCCTTGTCTATTCTAATAAATAGTTACATATCCTTTCTTTGGATCTATAGTTTGTAGCTGATTTTTCAGCTTTATGGCTGGCACTGCACTCAACATTCTTATAAATTTTTCAGAGTATTTCTGTATTTCCTCACAATGGATTCTTAGATATACAATGAATGGGGCAGAGAGACAGGAAATTTCAAGCCTCTTTTAGGCATTGTCAAATCATCTCCCAGAAATTTGACCCCGACCATGATTCTTCTTGAGTTCCATATGAGAGCATTGCTGTTATGAAACTTGCAGCAGCTCAGTCCATTACCATTAAAAAACTCTTGGTCAATTTTTAAGGAAAAAATATATCACTCTGAGCTTGGCTTGACGTTTCTTTCTATCTTGAGAGTCTGGTGTAATAGCGCCTGATGTCCATGGTCTCATCTGAGTAGGTCTTCCACACTCACTCTGGAAAGTTCTGATACAGTCGTTCCCTGTCTAATCTGCATGGTTAGGACATGTGATGTGGTTTTTCAACGTATTATCTATGATGTACCATCTAGGTATGTACTGTCTCCTCAACTGTAAAGCTGAAGCACCAGCTCTCCAACTGGAGTGGTTTTCTCCCTAAGTTGGGTTGCCAGATGTAGCAAATAAAGTACATGGTGTCCTGTAAAATGTGATTTTTAGACAAAAAATAATGTTCTCTGGAATATTGGGGACTAACACTACAAAGTATTCATTTTTTTTTTTTTCTGGAATTCCTAGTTAAATGAGTGCACTGTGTGTGTGTGTGTGTGTGTGTGTGTTTTTTTTTTTTTTTTTTTTTACCTGAGCCTCTACTTGGAGTGGACACTTGGTAAGGTCTGGAGACATTTGTGGTTGTGACAGCTGGGCTGGGGGTGGCAGCTGCTGGCACCTAGGCAGGGGTCAGGGAGACCGATAGGCATTCAGCAAGGCACAGGACGCCCCCATGACCAAGGCTGGTCTTCAGCAGTGCTGAGGTTGAGAATCCCTCACAGAGGGTGTGTGGTTTCCACTTTAATTTCCAGGCTTTGTATTTAGCTGGTGAAGGGTCAGGACTCACAAAGGCTAAATAGGATTAGTGTGTTTGGGAATATATCACTCCCCTCTTCCTGTCTCAAGTTGGTCTTCAGCTTATTTGATTGGCTAGATAACTTTTTATCCTCTCACCCTGTTTTCTTTTTCTTTTTTCTGTTTTTGAGACGAGGTCTTGCTCTGTCATCCAAGCTGGAGTGCACTGGTGCGATCTCAGCTCACTGCAACCTCTGCCTCCTGGGTTCAAGCCATTCTCCCACCTCAGCCTCCTGACTAGCTGGGATTACAGGTGCATGCCACCACGCCCAGCTGATCTTTGTGTTTTTAGTAGAGACAGGCTTTCACCATGTTGGCCAAGCTGGTCTCGAACTCTGGACCTCAAGTGATCTGCTTGCTTTGGCCTCCCAAAGTGCTGGGATTACGGGTGTGAACCACCGCGCCTGGCCCTGTTTTATTTCATACTTACAGTTTTATGAAATTATATGACAGGTGTTTATTTTTTTCTTGATATTTAATCAGTCCCCCTCACTCCAATGCCAGCCTCATGAGGATAGCGATCTGGCTCTTCCTGTTGAATTCTGTTTCCCCTGCACCCAGCACTGCGTCCAGCGCAAATATCTGTGTTGGGAATGATACCATGAATTGATAAAGACAGAAATGTATCTTGCTCTTAAGATACCTTCATGGTCTCCAAATGTAATGGTGAAGATACTTGTATACTGTCCAACATATTGATGGCACATATGAGTCAACTGTTTCAAATACAAGAACTTTACCTTTCCAAAAGTATTGGGGACAGCTTCAACACATTCTTTTTCTCAGAAACTGATAAAGCAGACAAAAATAAGATATTCTATAGAAAAATTGAGAGCGCAGTTACCAGACAGCCCCTCTATGCTACTGTGTGTCTTTTAGAATTTCATACCAATCTTTGGATTTTAACTTTTACTTGCTTTCTAGAATTACACAAGCTTTTTCTTTCCCTTCCTTTTTGTTTATTTTATGGAAATTTTTGTATGAGAGACTATATAAATGCATGATTTGTTCATTTTTAACAATCTATTACTATAAATGTATGATTTGTTCATTTTTTAACAATCTATCACATATATAAACATATATATTATATACACATATATACATGTATTATATACATATATAATATATACTATTATATATTATATTACAATGTTATTATAGATATAGTATATATTATATATATATATATTTTTCCTAATGCAACACCTCTTTGATTTAATTCTCAATTTTGTTGTCTTACATTGTTATTTTCCTACTTTTGTTTTTATTAATGCTTCTTTAGAGCTCTTCATTTAGATTTTGTTTTGGGTTTCTCATTTTGAGTGTTTAGTTGATCAATTTTATTTCGTTTAATAATGATACTATTGAAGACTATGAATTTGCTTTTGACTGCATCTTTGGCTGCTTCACATATGTTTTGATGTGTAGTAGTATTGCCATTATTAGCAGCTTGTAAATATAGTATAATGGAAAGGTTTATTTTGATTTTGATTCAAGAACTGTTAAGTAGTTGGGTTTCTCTTATTCAACTATGAATATAAATTCATAGTTTTTATGAAATTATATTCTCGTGTATATGATCATGGAATATCATTTAAATTATTTCTGTATTTTATTATTATTATTGTCTCCTTGTAGCCTTATATATGATTAGTTTATGGGAAGGTCCCATGAACACTTTAAGTGAGTGTATTCTCCATAGAGATTATAATAGCATTAGTTATTTATATCTTCATGTCATTATTTACTTTTCTATACTTCATAAGTCAGAGACCGGAAAAGGAGGTATGTAACATTTAAGCAAATTTTAGTTACTATCAATTTCTACTTGTAATTTTAAGAGATTTTTGTTACATTAATTTGGGGGCTGTATATACTTGCATAAAATATCTACAACTATTTATGCATTGTGAATTGTGTCTTTTATTAAAATTAAGACCTTTAATTCAGTTACTTATTTTTATCTTGAATTTTACTTTTTTTGTATTAAAGTTGTGACCCCAGTTTTCTTTCTCTATAGAATATCTATGCCTATTCTTTTTGTTGTTTATTTATTCATTAATTTTTAAAATACCTCAGTCAACTTATTTAAGTTCTCCTGGAGACAATTTATAGCTTAACTTTTTTTTCTTTTAACTTTTGAGCCAGCTCGAGAATCTTAGTCTTTTAATGGAATAATCTAAGCCACTTATATATAATATCATAACTCATAAATTTGTTCTTCTGTCATATTTTGTTTTCTATTTTTGTTTATCTGTGCATTCAATAGATTATTCAGTAAACTGTTTCTGTCCTCTCTCCTCAGTTCTTCCCACTAATCTATAAGCATAGAAACCAAAATTTAAGTTATCAGAAAAGTATAGTTGGACATATTTTTATTTGGTTGTCATTGACTAAAATAAAGCCATATCTACTGATATCTCTTATGAAGATACAAATTTAGTCCACTTTAACTTTCTTTTGTTCCCTAAGTCTATTGGCATTTTTAAGTTTATAAATTTTAAATTACTTATAGTGTTTGGATTCTGAATTTTTTATTACTATTTTCAATGTGTGGGGTTTTGCCTGTATTTGAAACTCTCTATCTGAATGTATTCTACACGTAAATGTTTTCAGTGCTTATCTGGTTCTCATTTAACATGATTTTCCTATTCTTGAGTACTGCACTTTGATTAACCTTCTGGTGTCCCAGATAATAAGCTTCAGTGTTCTTTTCAGCAACAGAAGATATGGTATACATTTGTTTCTTTCTGTTGCCCTCACAATTACCAGAAAAATCCTGAGGGCAAATAATTGTTCAATTAGATAATTGTTCAGTTAGAACATCCTTCATCATATTTCTGTGAATATTTATCATTATTTTTTAATATCTAATTTTGTACAGTGGATGCAAATGAAGACAATCTGATTTTTTTTCTTAGTTTTTAGTTTTTAAAATTTTACTTTTAACTAAATGCTTATAGAATTACTCTTTACCCTTGATGCAACTGTGTTTTTTAGAAATACCTAAAAGGTGGTGTTTTCGGTTTTCTCTGGAATCAGGGAAATGTAAAGATCTACTTTGAATTTGTATATGTATATAAACCCGGGAATGTTTTCGTTTCTTTTTTTGCCTTTTAATGCTGCTGCTTTTGCATTTTCCTGGTGTCTTCATTAGGAGCTCCATCATCTGAATATTGAACATCTAATGTGCATCTCACATGGTTACAGCCTCTTACTGATCATTTCCATTGCTTCGCCTTTTCTATTTAGCTGTAGGGAAAGCTTCAAAAGCTCCCATTCTCATATGATAAATTCAATTTTCTGCATTTTTCAAATCTGTGTTATTGCATCTGAAACCATTTTAAATTCCTTACTTTTAATACTTCAGGATCTTCTTCCATCTCAGTCTTATTTCCTTACAAAACAACAAAGGCTCTGCTTTTCTTGATGATTGTGAGCTCCGAAGTCATTTTGTATAAAAGGTACTTCAATATTCTATGGTAAATACTCTTCAAAGGTATGTTATTCCTCTACTTCTTGAATGTCTTTCTGAATTTCCTTCGTTACTCTGCAGCTTTTATTGGTAGGTCCTGTTCTCCTTCTGTTTTTGTTTATTTACATATCCTTCACCGAGGGCAGCCTTGTTTACATTGGCGTTGCATGTTACCATATGACCCGGCATCCCTGGGGGGACGGTGAGGATGCTCTGGGGTGTTGACATGCCCAGCAGGGGAGATCCCTTGCTCCAAGGTGCCTTCTGTGAGTTGGGTGCAGGGGCCACATGGGCACTGGTTTCCTGTAAGTGATTTTAGGTTTGGACTCATTCCAGGAGCAGTGTGGCTATGTCAAACCTCCTGCCCCCATCACTGTCTCTGTTAGGGAAGAACAGCATCAGCAAGACGCCTTGATGTTTTAGGGCTTTCTGTGCAGCGCGGCGCCCCCTATGCTTGGGTCTCTGATTCAGCTGATGGCAAAGCTGGTTGCCTCCCAGCATTGGGAATATTGTCAGGTGCGGGAGCACCCACATGGCCCATGGCCTTTGCTCTTGCAGATATCAGGGTAGATTTGTCAGCTGCCTAGATATCAGATATCTTACAGCTATCTACTCAGCGGACAACTATTTTCTTTCTATGACAATACCATGCTGAGGATTGCCAGATTTGGGAAATAAAACACAAGATGTCTAGCTACATTTGAATTTCAGAAAAACACCATTTAAAAATATTTATTGTTAATTATAAGCATGCCCTATGGAATATTTCTGTTTATTGGAAATCAAAACATAATTAGGTGTTTGTGTTTTATCTGGCTGCCCTAATCATTCTGTTTTCTATGTGAGGTATTTGAGTCCCTTGTGAGTCCCAGTAATTCTTGCAGTCTATGGCATGCAGATTGTACCTAATTTTCAGCATGGATGTAGATTTTTTTTTTTTTTGCCTATTACCGTATTCGATTAGTTATTGCTTTTGAGTCCACATAGGGGAAAACTGAGAGTCTTGTGCTCAAATTGCCTTCCTCCCATATTTTTTAAAAAAGTATTATTCAGGGAAAAATGATCCTTTCAAAAATGTTAAAATTAATACAAAATCTCTCCCAGACCACTGAGTTGCTTCAAGATGCGAACATGTCACTCTCCTTCAAGTAAGAATTACAGCCACGGAACCCAATCAAAAAGTAATTTTTGTCCTTAGCGAATTATTAGCTGAGATTTACTGTGTATAGCTTCTTTGTAATTTAACACTTTGCTAATTTTTATGTTAAATAAAAATCATGTCCTTTAGTGACAGTAACCATTCCTGTAAGGATGAGAGGATAATGAGTTTTACTTCGTTCATTCTGTGCATCGTGGACCATAATTGGCATTATTTTTGTAGTATTAGTTAAAAAAAAAAAAGAAAGGAAGTGACACTAGCTTTAGGTCAAAATGGAGCAATTTTAAGCAATAAACATTTAGGTCAGATACCAGGCAAAATGACTAATAGACCATTTGTGGAATAAAGCTAAGAAGTTACTTCCCTTCAAATGATGTTCACAGTGACCCCGATTGCCTTATTGCTTTCCTGAATAAAATCATAGGACCCGATGTCATTGCCCTTGGAAGGTGTAATTAGCTGCACAGTTAGGTTTCATGTCCTCAAGTAGTCGGGGTCAGATGTTCAACAGGGAAGTTCACGGAGCCTTGGTGTCTGGCATTAACATTTAAGCATCTGTAATTTGGTTGTCTGGCTTTGGCTGTTTCTAGCACGAATGGCAAAAGAGTGCTGAGGCAGCTCAAGGTACTTGTTCTGAGTGGTGCCAAGATGTGTTTTTAACAATAGGGGACACTGTATCAACTGATGTAGGTCTTATAGGAGTCTCATTACATGGAGAGGCCCATCTTCCTTAGTCCCGTATCACCAGGATTACACGGAGCTCTTAATGGGATAAAAGGATCCAGGATTCCGATTACAGTGATGGAAGCCAAGAGGACAGTGAATAACATCCTAGTGTAAAAACAGAATCTGCTCTTTGTGACATAAAAAGCATAATCCACATGTTGATTTATTCATTCACGTGTTTATCAAATATTTATTGAGTACCTGACATTTACCAGGCACTCTCTTAAAGACTGTGAATACAGCAGAGAAAAAAGCCTTGCGTGTCATTTCTGCTCCCTGGCATATCACACACTGGAGTGCATAGAGAATCACAGCAAAGCATAACGTGTTTTGATGCAGGAAGCTGGGGATGCTACAGAAAAACCCAGATGGAGACCATAACCCAGAATCATACAGTCAAGGAAAGGATCCCAGCAAGGTGACTTTGATAATGCAGCCAGAGAGGTCACAGAACTGTGGCTAGGCAAATGGGGAGAGGGTGCCCAGAGAGGGGCTGAAATATTCTTTGTCTCTTCTTTGTTTTTACTATAACTCACATGTGAAGATACAAGTTTAGAGATAATATCAATCAGGAGTTATTTCTATAAAGTTAAAACATGTAATCTTTTTAAGGCATGGAGTCCCTTTTTATATCTATGATATTTTGATTTTTGAAAACAATCCATATTTATGACGTTGAACCCTAGGAAATTGTCATTTGGGTGGATGCAGACTGCTCACTTATAAGCAGTCTCAAATGGTTCAGTCCAAGACAAGCCTTAGTTGTTTATATGGAAGCTCAGCCTGCTCTGAGTTTGGTCATGCCGATGATTGGAGAGATTTTTTCATCCAGGGCTTTCTGTAAACTCGGGTTGAATACATGCGTTGAACTTCTTGTCTAGAAGTTAAACTGGATGCAGCCTGACACCCTGTGTTATCACAGCTGGGCTGAGGCTACAGTGCTGCAGTCAGCCCCCTCATGCTACCAATGGGTCCATGGGAAACAACGAGGGTCAGTGACCTGCTCATCGTCTCACAAAGCCGGGAGCAGGACCCCTGCCTCCGAGCTCTTGGCTCTCTCAGCTGCTGGCGGATGACTGCCAAGAAGGGTCCTGACTCGGGAAGGCATCAGGCTTCCAGATGTGTGTTTGCGTGGGCCTTTGAGAAAGGTGGAGCCATGAGTGTCCGAGTAATCAAAGATAATTACATGGTGACTGACGAGAAGGGCTTCAGCATAACTTGTGGAGCTTTGCCTAGAAAGTCAGTGTTCCCAGCCAATAGTTTACATTTCTAAAACTCCTTAAATTGGTTCTTTGGATTATGCAATTGCTCTGCCTGCATTTTTCTTACAGAATGTAAGGCAACTTGTGAAAATAACATTTTGGATTTTTCTCCCCCTGAGGGAGAGATACGTTCAGTGCGGAAAAATGAACAATGGATTTTGTTCGTTGGTGACGGCGTAGTGTCCACAGGATGTGGCTGGCATGGAAGCGAGGTGCTGCCCTTCCCGTGCTTCTTAGGTTCAGGGTCCAGTGTTTCATAGATGACTTGGAGCATTGCTTTGTACGCCCGGCCCTGACACATTGGTGTCGTGGTCACCTCATCTCATCTATTTCTAGAGGGCCCCTCCCAATATATCCTTCCAAGGTATTTTCTCTGCATCTCTCCCCTTAACTCCAACTGGGGGCGGGTGTCCACTGTCCATGTGATTTATGATTGTGCATCTGCGTCTATTTTTGCCCCAAGTCTGTTAGCATTTCCCATTGGACATGTGCGTATATGCAGAACGTGCATATGAGTGGAACACAAAGGAATATGTATCAGGTGGAATGTGGACGTGGCATCAATCCATGTGTTGAGGAAGTCATTCCTGTTTCCAATCTCAGTCTGTGTTGAGTCAATGGGACGGTGCCTCTCTGTCGATGGTAGCTTGTCTGTGACAGCTTTCTAACACTTGCTAATCTCTCCTTTGATCAAAAAAAGAGCAAGTCTTTACCATAACCCCATAAAAACACCATTATCACGAGTGGAAATTTTAAAACTGTATTTGAATTGTATTTATTTGCATGCTCAACTTTTTTATAGGTTAAATGATACTGGTTTTCTACTTAGGTTGGTGGCATTTATTTCTTCTGAAACAAATAATATGAAGCGAGTAGATTGGATTAAGAGGTTTGGATAAGGAATTGCATAATTGGCGCGAAGACAGGGTCCTCTGTTATGAAGGGGGCACGCAGATGTCTGAAATGCTGGTAACAGGACCTTAGCATTACTAACGCCTGCACTGCGATTCCCTCCCCACAGTGACGGAAGGTCGAGGGATCCTTGAGAGCATCCAGAGGTTTTCCTTGCTGCCCACCTACCTCCCCGTGACCTACCACATCAACAACGCGGACGTCTCCTTCTTCCTGAAGGAGGCCAACCAGGATATCATGAGGAACTCCAGCCTGCAGTCCCGGGTGGAGTCATTTCTGATTTACAAATCCAGGAGGCTGCCTGTCCTCAATGCCAGCTACGGGCCTTTCTCCATCGAGCAAGTGGTGCCCCAGGATTTAATGCTACCTTCCAACCCATTTGGATTCACCAACAAATTTTCTCTTAACTGGAAACTAAAAGCCCACATCCTGCGGGACAAAGTCTACCTGAGCCGGCCCAAAGTGCAGGTTCTGTTCCACATCATGGGCAGAGACTGGGACGACCGCAGCGCCGGGGAGAAGCTGCCGTGCCTGAGGGTCTTTGCTTTCCGAGAGACCCGAGAGGTGCGGGGCAGCTGCCGGCTGCAGGGGGACCTGGGGCTGTGCGTGGCCGAGCTGGAGCTCCTGTCCAGCTGGTTCAGCCCCCCCACGGTGGTTGCCGGGAGGAGGAAGTCCGTGGACCAGCCGGAGGGGACCCCCGTGGAGCTCTACTACACCGTGCACCCAGGGGGTGAGAGAGGGGACTGCGTCAGGGAAGACGCGAGGAGAAGCAATGGGATCCGGACAGGCCACAGTGACATCGATGAGTCCGGGCCCCCCTTGCAGAGGATCGGGAGCATCTTCCTTTATCAGACACACAGGAAACCCTCCCTGAGAGAACTGCGTCTGGACAACAGCGTGGCCATCCACTATATACCAAAGACCGTGAGGAAAGGAGACGTGCTGACTTTTCCTGTTTCCATCTCCAGAAATTCCACTGAAGATCGCTTCACGTTGAGGTAAGTCGTTTCCCAATGTCTGTCTGTACCCGCCCGTCGATCAGGTGGTGTTTTCCAGAAGCTGTTTGACCAGAAAAGCTGTGTTATCGCTCACCGAAGTAGAGCCGGCCTTCCCGTTCTTACAAACTCCATCTGCACCGTGGAATACAGAGACCAGTCTGATCGTTCCGGGTTGGCAATTGGGTTGTGAGAATATTCGTCTTAATAGATTTTCCAAGCCATTGATAGGGCAGCCGGGGGGCTGCTGATGGTACGCCTTTTCCCTTAGCTTAGGGTATTATCAGCAAGTTTTGGGAATGCTAAAATTATCCAAGAAGGCTTTTCAAAATTGGGAGAGTTAAATGCCTCACAGCTGAAATGAGACTGCAAATGAAATGGCAACAGTTGTCAGAAAGGACAGGGAACACGGTTTTGCCAACTCAAAATCTATTCCAGATATGTAAGTTCTAAGTATAATATGGTACCAACCTCAAAGTTACCATTTTGTTTCTCCCTGGAAATAGAACTTAGTGTTCAAAAAAATAAATGAGCATAACGTGTGAAGAATATACAGTAGAATTTGTTGAGTTTCTTATATAAGAATATACCAAAGAGAAGACATTGAAAATAAGCTCTGTGTACTTTAGAATAAATATAGGCTGGTTTTCACTGTGGAATATAACGTATGAGAGAAGCTACTTGCCTAGGCTTGTTTGTATTTTCATTATATAGTTTTAGTTTTATTTTCAACACAGGCAAGTTTGATTACAACAGCTGTTTAGTAGAAGTGTTTTTGGGTTATTAAAAATGTCCTAGCACTGCTACATAACTCAACAATTTGACCTGATGTGCAATGTAATAAAATGTGTGTTATGACTCCTGAAATGAGGAGTGTAACTGTATGTAAGACATGTTTCATATGTGGGCTTATAAACTTCATCCAATGATGACCAGCTCTCTATCCCCCTTCATATGGGATTTATGGCTGCTTTTTCTAGCTTTTCTTTTCTTCTTTTCTTTTTTCTATTCTTTTCTTTCTCCCTCTCTTTCTCCCTCTCTCTTTCTCCCTCCCCTCTCCTCTTCCCCCTCCCCTCCCTTCTCCCCTCTCCCCTCCCCTTTCCTCCCCTTTCTCCTCCCCCTCCCCTCCCCATCTCCTCCCCCTCCCCTCCCCTCCCCCTCCCCCTCCCCTCCCCTCTCCCCTCCCCTCCATGCCGTCTCCCCTCCCCTCCCTCCCCTCCCCCCTCCCCTCTCCCCTCCCTTCTCCCCTCCCTTCTCCCCTCCCCTCCCCTCCCTTCCCCTCTCCCCTCCCCTTTTTTCCTTTATGTTTAAAGGGTGGATGAGTTTAAGAAAATAAATCACCGTTTTGATTCTACCTTGCACATTTAAGTTTATTTGATTGTGACCTAGTATTAGAAATGCCTATTTTAACTAAAGAAACAGAACCTAATGGACATGCATCTAATGACTGAACTTGGCTAAGTCCTGGAAGGTAAAAACCTTTGGCCTGGCTGGACGTGCCATTCGCGGAATAGCCGCAGGGATTTAGGGTACAGGAACACATCTGCGCTGGCCAAGCCTTCATTAGCGTTCCCTTCCGTCCTTCTGGAAATCGGATCTAGATCCAGCTGGCCACAGGTCCTCAATGAGGTCTGCTAGCTTTGTGTTTTACTTTTCTGGGTTCAACAGTCTTACATAGTATTCTTTGTGAGGATGGCTGCTTACGTAGAGAAATATTTTGGTGGTGGAAACAAAAAGTTTGAATAGGGGAGCTTTGATCTTACACCGTTTCATACCGTCTGCCATTTTTTAGGTCCGCCAACGACTGACTTGATTTTCTGAACGCAGGATTAAACACTGCAATCCCCTGAAGCTTTGACTCTCAGGAGATGAGAGCCACATGCAGCTTGTGTGTGTGTGTGTGTGTGTGTAAGCAGTGATGTGTGTAGCACTGAATTTCACAAAAAGCTTTGTGTCTCATGACTTTATGACACACTAAACATATCCATTAGGGTCCAAGGGTGGCTTTTATCTTTGGCAGTCTGTAACAAAACCAAGAGAAATTCACTATGTGTGGCTGCACAATATGAGGCTCCAAGTCTTGGCAAATTCACAAGCAAATGCATTTGAAGCTTCTAAATTTGGTGGCTCCACTCACAGGTCAAAGTTTGGAAAATTTGAGAAGTACAGCAAAAGTATATTTGTTCAGAGCCCATCAATTAGAAATGTCAATTCAATTTGAAAAATCAGTTTTACAGATGAGACAACAATGAAGGAAATGTTTCATGAATGTCTGTTTACCTCGGTACGATGCTACACTGTTTCTTTAAGAGGTTGCATTAATAATGTGCTTGCTGCATACTTAAAACGCTCTGATTATGGATGAGTCTCATGTGTTTATGTAAACAGCTGGAGGTTAACTTGGACCTGGCAAGATTATTATCCTTTAGCTTGAATCCCTATAATTAGAAAATAATAAAACTGTATATCTTTTTAAATGAAGTCAATTTGACACTAATTTAGCATAGCTTCCAAATATTTAGAATTGGTGTGCGTCTGTTCTCTCTGGCCATCTGCTATAAATAACCCTCAAGGATCCAGCCAAGTATCCTTGGGCGCTTTTCTCCAAACTGTGACTGTGCAAATATGCATCATGCACATTTGCAAATCATGGACTGACGCAGCAGCTACGGTTTGAGTTCTTTGTTGATAGCGACTGACCACCCACTGTACACCTCCCCGGCGGCGTGCCTGTGATCTCAGGGGCACTCAGGGGCATGCGACGGCTGAAGCACAGGAGTTAGCTTCTTTCTGTGTGTGTATTTGTATGCGTGTATATATGCATGTGTGTTTCACTCTTTAAGAACAAGAAAACCCAGGTGGGGCTTTTTGTCATCTTACAACCTCTGTTCTACCCTGCTGCTTCTATCTTCTGAAGGTGACATCTGCAGGAAAAGAAAAGCAAAACGCTTTCTTTCATTCCTGAGACATCTAACGATCTCATTCAATCCCAGAAAATGTTTTCCTTCAAGTGAACAGCTAAAGCATCCCACAGCACTGGAACCTTTTCTTCTATATTCTTCTAGCCACACATTCTCCTGTGTCCCTCCCCCACTGAGAGCAAGGCTCAGACGCATCCCAGTCTCTACTTACCTGCCATGGGCCTGGAGGAAGATAAGAACTGGGGCTCTTCTTTCACACCCTCACCAGTTATTCTTTCGTTGCTTTTCACCACAGGGAGTCCGTTTCCAAAGAGCTCTGGTCTTCAGATCCGAATGGAAGGCTGGAACCCAGTAAAGGTGTAGCATTCCCTTGGTTACCTAACAGCCCACAACAGTCAGCCGGGGGGCCTAGAACAGTGGAACAAGCTCAGAGAAGGGGCTGTTCTTAAAGGCAGAGACATCCTTAGATTTCTTGAATGAATGAATGAATTGCTGATTATTAACAAATATGTGCACTTTGCTGAGGTCTCTGCAGTTTTAAATGCTCAAGAATTTGTTAAGTGCCATATGCCTAGCACTGTGATTGGCTTTAAGACCAGGTTGGAATGAGACATTACTAAGGAGATACTCTTGCAAAGGTGAGGCTTAGAAAGGAGATAGCAAGAGAATAAAATACAAGTGTTTGACAAAGGGCAGAAGTGAGCCTGGCATTGATGAGGCTCAGACGATATTCTTTGGTGGTTTTGGTAGCCAGATATGCCGAAGACTTAAAGCTTATTAGGAAATAATATGGTGGTTTGAAATTGACCCTGTGAGCTTAATTCACTTGAATGATGTAACCTTTGAACCTGTGTTGGCCCAGAATAGGATTTCTTCTTATTCTATTTCAGGTAAAATGTGCCCTGGTGTATCCAGTGATATTCTAAGTTGCAGGTCATAAATCACACTCCAGCTAATTTAAGAAAAAATAATAAATAAAAGGGTTTACTGGATGGATATCATGGGACCCAGCTTGGCCATGCAGATTCTGATGGAGGTTGGTGGCTGCGTGTGGACACAGCAGCCTCTCAGCAACTCTCTCCCGCCCTCACAGTGAATTCCTTCAATAGTTCCTCTCGTTATCCGCACATAAGCTGCAGAGACCTCCATGCAGCCCCTGCTGAATCACCTGTCTACTAGCTGGCTGTGCCAGGGGTAGGAGAGGGACCAGATGCAGCTTCCATGAAGTAAAATGGTTCCTCGAATTACCCTTCATTAAGAATACATCCCATGAGATGAGGCATTTTCCTCTTGTGAAGACTGGGGCACTGTTAACAAAGAGGACAGATGTTGGTGTATTCAAATTATACCAATGTCCAGTGACATGTGGTCTGTACCTGGGATTGTACATCCCGTTGTTACCCTAGTGGGGATTGATAGAGCTGCTTGAAATAGAAGAGTGAGAGGCGGACAGGCTTTTAATTTCAGAACTGATATGACTTAACAAAAAACTTGTGAACTTATTGCAGTGTTCCCATATGTCCCCGCTAGTTTCCTCTTTTATTAATACCTTACAATTGTGTGCTGCATTTGTCCCAATTCACCAATATTGACACATGATTATTAGCTAAAGTCCATACTTCATTCAAATTTCCTTAGTTTTTATCTGCTGCCCCCCTTGGCTGTCCCTGGATCCCATCCAGGAGACTGCATTACATATAGGGGTCATGTCTCCTGGAACTCCTGTTCAAAGGAAAACTTCAGCTGAATTAAATTCAATGGAGTTTAATTGAGCAATGAATGATTTGTGAATCAGGCAGCTCCCAGAATCAGCAGATTCAGAGAGACTGCAGGGGTGCCTCGTGGTCAGAACACATTATTTATTTATTTATTTTTTATTTTTTTGAGACGGAGTCTCACTCTGTCACCCAGGGTGGAGTGCAATGGCGTGGTCTCGGCTCACTGCAACCTCTGCCTCCCAGGTTCAAGCGATTCTCCTGCCCCAGCCTCCAAAGTAGCTGGGATTAAAGGCTCACATCGCCATGCCTGGCTAATTTTTTGTATTTTTAGTAGAGACGGGGTTTCACCTTGTTAGCCAGGATGGTCTCGATCTCCTGACCTCGTGAGCTGCCCGCCTCAGCCTCCCAAAGTGCTGGGATTACAGGCGTGAGCCACTGTGCCCGGCCCAGAACACATTTATAGACCAAAAAAGTAAAGTGATGTACAGAAACCGGAAGTGAGGTGCTGAAACAGCTGGATTGGTTACAGCTCAGTGTTTGCCTTATTTGAACACAGTTTGAACACTCAGCAGTCTATGACTGGTTGAAGTATGGCCACTGGGATTGGCCAAGACTCAGCCACTGTTACAGGCGCATACTCCGAAGTTAGGTTTTCAATCTTGTCTGCCTATTAAGCTAGGTTGCAGTTCATCCACAAGGACTCAAACATGGAAATAGAGTCCTTCTCAGGCCATATTTATTTTGCTTTAACACTCCTGTAGCTGTGACCATTTCTTAGACTTTCTTTGGTTTTGGTGGCTTTGACCATTTTGAGACTTACTGGTCAGCTGTTTTGAGGAATGTCCTTCAATTGGGATTTGTCTGATGCTCTTTCTCCTGATTGCACTGGGATCATGGGTTTGGGGGAGGAAAACCACAGAGGCAAAGTGCCATGTTTATCACATCGAGGGTGCGTACAGCCCACAGGACTTGCTACTGTTGATGTTCACTTCCAGGGCTGACGGCTGCTGTGAGACCCCAGTTCTTGCCTTTTTAGTTTAAAAGAATTTAAACAAGAGACACACAGCAAAGGAAATGCACCATAGAGCAATGTATTGCAAAAGAAAATATTTTGAAAGTGAAGTTTAGTATAGATAGTACACCAGAGAGAGGATTCAAGGCAGGCTGCTCCTAAGGATGAGACAGCAAAGATGGGCACTAGGGAGACTCCCTTTATGGGAGCCTTACATGATGATTCATGAGCGGGTGGGAAGAGGTGTTACTAGGAAGCATGTCTGGGGGAGGTCCTCTGGGTGCACATGCGCAGTAGCTGCACAAGCTTGTTCATACGTCGCATACATCGCATGTCTCATTAGCGTCCGAAATCTCCACCCAGGGGTGTGTTTTTTTACTATTATAATAAGCAAAGAGTCTGCCTGAGGACAGGGAAAGTCAAAATACGCATGCTCTCTACAGGGGAAATTTCCCTACTGAAGAGTGCTCTGCTCAATGAGCTTGACTACAGTGCTAATGGGGAGGTTTATTCTATTGATCGTAAGGTCCCAAGGTTGCCATATCCTGAGGACATGGTCGTTTCCTCGGCCACCTATCCCACCTCACCAGCACCGCGCTGAGGCTGGGTCTGTCAGGTTTCTCCACCGTAAAGTTACTTTTTTCCCATTCTCCCAAGGCTATGCTTTGGAAGGAAGTGCTTATGCCCAGCTCACAATTGTAAAGAGGGAAGTGATACTTCACCCCCTTGAGGGCAATATAGCTGCTTAAGTTATTTAGAATGCTGCAGGGGACATTTGCTTATTTTCCCTCGTTTATGTATTTATTCAATAATGTACTTATTTCAGTGAGAACACCTGGATATTTATTTTATACTTTGGGTTTAATCTAATATTATTTTATGAATTTTGTTGCTCAAATTTTCCCACTCTGGCTATTGAGAGCTCTTTCATTTGGCTCCAGTACAATGTAAAATAGTAATGGTGAGAAGGGCTTGTCACGCCTCATTCCTCTTCTTAGTGAGTAAGCATCTAGTTTCTCGACATTCAGTACGACGTCACCTATAGGCTTTTTGTTCATGTTCTTTATGAAGTTGAGAAAGTTCTCTTTCCTTCTTAGTTTGCTAAGAGTTTTTTCTTTATCAAAACTTATTGTACATTTTGTCAAGTTTGTTTTTAAATTATATATTGTTAAGTTCCAGGGTACGTGTGCAGGATGTGCAGGTTTGTTACATAGGTTAACGTGTGCCGTGGTGGTTTGCTGCACTTGTCACCTAGGTACTAAGCCCAGCATGCATTAGTTCTTTTTCTTAATGCTCTCCCCCCACTGCCCTCCCCCGACAGGCCCCAGTGAATGTTGTTCCGCTCTCTGTGTCCCTGTTTTCTCATTGTTCAGCTCCCACTTATAAGTGAGAACATGTGGTGTTTGGTTTTCTGTTCCTTTGTTAGTTTGCTAAGGATAATGGCTTCCAAGTCCATCCATGCCCCTGCAAAGGATATGCTCTCATTTCTTGTCACGGCTGCATAGTATCCCATGGTGTCTATGTACCACATTTTCTTTATCCAGTCTATCATTGATGGGCATTTGGGTCTATTCCATGTCTTTGCTATTGTGAATAGTGTGAATAGTGCTGCAATGAACATATGCATGCATATATCTTTATAATAGAATGATTTATATTCCTTTGGGTATATACCCAGAATGGGAGAAAGTTTTTGCCATCTATCCATCTGACAAAGATCTAATGTGCAGCACCTACAAGGAACTTAGGCAAATTCACAAGAAAAAACAAACGACCCCATTGAAAAGTGGGCAGTTTCTTTCCTATGCCGTTGACATAATCATACGATCTTTCTTCTTTAGCCTGTGAATGCAGTGAATGAATTATCCTGATTAGTTTTTGAACATGAAATCAGCCTTGTATACCTGGAATAAACTCCACTTGAGTGTGGTGTGTAATTCTTTTTATATGTTGTTGGATTCAATTTGTTAATGCTTTGTTGAGGATTTTAATACTCATATTACTGAGAGATACTAGTTTGCACTTTTGTTTTTTCTTGAATGTCTTCATATGGTTTTGGTAATACGGTTAGAACATCTTCCCTCTGCTTCTGCTTGCTCGGAGAGAGTGTGTAGAAATGGTATTATTTATATCTTAAATGTTCGTAAATTTTCACTGGTGAATCCATCCGAGCCTGGTGATTTCATTTTTGGGGGAGTTAATAATTTACTCTTCTTTAATAGATAGGGCTATTCATGCTACGTATTTCTTTCTCCTTGTGTGAGTTTTGTTAGTTTGTGTCTTTCAAGGAATCCATCTATCTTAAATCCTAGTTATAAGATTTGTGGGTATAGAGTTAGCTGCTGTATTTAGTATTATTTTTTGAGCGGAGTTGTTTTGCTTGTTTTTGTTTTGATTTTTATTTTTAATTATAAATTGAAAGATTATAGTTGTATGTATGGGTAAAAAGTGATATTATGGTTTATGAATACAATGTGGAATACTTAGCTAATTAACATATTCATCACCTCAAATATTTACCATTTTTGTGGTGAGAACATTTGAAATTTAATATCTTAGCAATTTAAAATGTATACTGCATTATTATCTACTGTATTCACCAGGGTGTGCAATATATCTCAAAGAAGAAAACTTACCTTTTAATTTATATAGGATCAGTAGTGATGACTCTTCTTTCATTTTTGTTATTGGTAATTTTTGTCTTCCCTTTTTCCTTGTTAGCCTGAGTAGGATTTTATCAATTTTATTGATATTTTCAAAGAATTAACATTTGGTTTTGTAGATTTTCTCTATTGCTTTTCTATTTTCAATTTCATTGATTTTTTTCTCTAATTTGTATAATTTCCTTCTGCTTGATTCAGGTATAATTTGTTCTTTAGGTGTCTACACTTAACACTAATTAATTTTAGATTAGGTTATTGATTTTAGATTTTCTTTTCTAATGTATGTTTTTAATGCTATAAATATTTCTCTAAGCACTGCTTTTCTGCATCTCAAAATTGGGGGTAAGTTATATTTTCTTTTTAATTTAGTTTAAAATACTTTAAATTTTTTTTGAGACTTCTTTGATTCATATGTTATTGAGAAGTGTGTTTTTAATTAACAAAAATCTGTTGGACTTACCATCTATCTTTCTAGTATTGATTTCTAGTTTAATTACTACTGTGGCTTGAGAAAATACTTTGCATAATTTCTATTTTAAATATAAGGCTACATGGCACAGAATGTAATCTTTCTTGGTAAATGTTTCATGAGATTTTGAGAAGAAAGTGTATTCTGCTTCTTTTGGATGGAATATTCCATAAATGTCAATTAGATCAAGTTGATTGATAGTGGGTTCAGGTCATCTACATCCTTACTGATTTTCTGCCTGTTTGATCTATCAGTTGCTCACAGAGGAGTGCTAAGTTCCCAACTATAATAGGGGGATTGTTTATTTCTCCTTCAAGTTCTATCAGTGATTATCTCATATATTTTGTTGTGCATTTGTTAGATGCATACGCATTTAGGATTGTTGTAACTTCTTGGATAATTAGCCCATTTGTCATTATGTAATGCTTCCTCTTTATCCCTGATAATTTTCCTTTTTGTAAAATCTGCTTTGTCTGGAATTTATGTAAATACTGAAGCTTTTATTTATTATCGTTAGCATGATCTTTCTCTCTCTTTACTTTTAACTTGTTAAAGTCTTTTGAGCTAAAGTGGAATTTTGGTAAATATCATATAGGCAAATCATGTTTTTTAATCTACTTTGACAATCTCTCTCTTTTAATTGGTATATTTAGTCTGTTCACATTTAAATGCTTTTCATATAGATTAATATTGATCATGTTTTTAACTATTTTCTATTAATTTCATGTGTTCTTTGTTCTGTATCTGCCCCTTTTTCTGCCTGATTCCAGTATCTTATGTGATTACATTTGCTATCCTCTCTTGGTGTACTGATTCTACTTAAAATATTAATTGTTTCTCTAAAATTTTTAATATACATTTTTAACTAATCTGAGTCAATTTCATGTAGCACTGTAATACTTCCCATGTAGCACAGGTAACTTACAACTGAGTTTTCCCGTTTACCCTCATGTCCTTTGCGGCATTGCTGTGATTCATCACTACTATTATTGCTTAAACAAACAGTATATGTTGATCAATTAAGAAAAAGAAAAAATTATTTTACCGTCATTTATTTCTTCCTTGAATGTATCTGTCTCTCCACATTTGGGAGTGGCGCTTTGTCCTACAACCTCAGTTCTCCAATGAGTCTAAGAAAATGTAGTGCTTTTCAGTTTTTCCTCCTTTTTCTTGTAAGAATAATTGTGATGACTTCCAAGCCATGTACACATCAGAGCTGAAACCAGTAGTTCCCAGGACTGTGTTTCTTAACACCATTGTTTTGGAAGTTACAGAAACATGATTTGAATCAGTTTTAAGAAAAATGAGAATTTATTATAAGGGTATTGGTATGGCTCATGAAGCCCTAGGACAGTATTGATCCCAACCTAGAACCCAGAAGCTAATTGGCTTAGAAGAAACTCATCCAATGCCCTAAATCAAAGGTGCAAGAAATAGGTAGAATTGAAGTTCAGATGTAAGAGGGAGTGTTGTGTGAAATGTGACTGGAAGAATTGGGAGTCAGTTTACAAAGAGTCATGCTGCAGGCAGTTGGGGAGCATTTAGGTTTCATGAGTTGGGACATGACATGCTTGTGTTCACTTAGAGAGGCAGGGAAGCCAATTCTAGGCTGAGAGAATCTACATTTTCTTCTGAGAACTTGTATAATATTTAGAGTTAAACCATGTCTAGATTTTTGGTGCCCCATTTTTCTCAGCTATAAGAATATATTTTCTCTATATCTGATCAGGAATCAAGGTGCAATTCAGAAGCAGGAGCTTTTAAGTAAAAATAGTGGAATTGTGATATTTAAGTGCTGCCCCTGTTCCATGTTTTGCTAGAAGGTCACCATGTGACCTTGGAGAAGTCAGGCAACCCCCAAGGCTAAGTTTGAATAGGGTTGGTTTGAGTAGAATAGGTTTCTCAACCTCATACTGTTGACATTTGGATCAGATAATATTTTGTTGTGAGGATAGTCTGTGCATTGTAGGACGTTGAGAAGCATCTCTGGCCTCTGACTACTAGATGCCTGTTAACTGCTACCACCCATTTGACGACTGAAAAATATGTCCAGATATTGCCAGATATCCCCAAGGGACGCAATAACCTCTGGTTAGAGAATCCTGGACTAGATTATGGTTGTGGGAGAAAATATTCATAGAGCAAATTCACCTCTTGCATAGAGGAAGGTTCTGCATTTGGATTTAAGGTGACATTGTATTGTCAATTTTTTCTTGGAAATTATTTAAATTGCACATATCATTTAGTTTTCCATTCCCTAGAAGGTCTGCTCCATAAGGCAGAAGACTTGATCTGTTTGCTCCTGTTTCTTCATTATCTAGTATAATACCTCACACACTACAGTCACTCATGAAATATTGGAAGGATGAGTGGATGTCATTGTCCCCATAATTCCACCCCACCTACTTTCCATTTAGCATTGGGTCAGAGACTAGGTTCTTTGGCTAGGCTCTACATGAAGCAGTGGTGTGGGTTTCAAGGCCATGTGTGGAAAATAACCCAGAGTCAAATGCAAGCACATTAAGGTGTTTGCACCATGAGAGGAGCTCAGGAACTGAGATGCACTGAGGTAGTTGTTTTCAATAGCAATGGCTCATTAGGACCATCTGACCCCAACATTGGTCTGGGGTGAGGCCCTGGTTTCAGGGTCTTTAAAAAGCTCTCGCAGTGATTCTTATGTGCAGCTGGAGTTGAGAATCACTGGTTACATCTCTACCAACTCATTATTGTGGAGATAAGCTGATTAGGTAGTTTGGGAAAGTAGACATTTAAATAAACTATTTAAACTTCTCTCTCTCTCTCCTGTATGATTGATTCATGTAAGTAAATGCCTGTTTGTGAAAAATGCCACCATATAACCATATGCACAGCCTCTTTGCACACAGTTTCATGAATTCTCTTTTCAGGATGTTAATCCCCAGTGGCTCCAGCTCAAGGCCCTCTCCCTCAGTTGATTGCTGTGGCTCCTTTGGAGCTGTCAGATGTGTTTGGTCAAGGCTTATGGCTTCACACACATTTATGTGTCAAACAATGTGAGTGCTCTGATCCTCTTAGGGAAAGGGGAAGAGAGAGGAATGTAATAACAGTGAGTGCCTACCATTTTCCTGAATTTGTACTGGGTCTGTTTTCTGTGGTTTCATGTAATCTCCCTACAATGTCCTAACAGGTGGTTCATTGTTACTCAGCAATAGAAATTCACTCTGGCCAACTGGCAGGCTCTTGGGGGTTCCAGAGATGAGTAGAAAGGCTGGGAAGAAGATGCAGAGCCAAGCAGGACCCAAAACTGCTCCCTAGACCTCGGAAGCCTAAACTGAGTTTTGCAGCGAGGAGTGCCTATACCAACAAGCCTCTGCTGCAGCCCTAGATGCTCCTGTGAACATCTGTCCAGCCTTTGTCAGTGGCTCAAACTTCAGAGTGCTAGGAAAAAAATGTCCTCTGGGCAAGCTTAAGTCACATTTTCACCCCCCTGGTTGTGCCAGAGGAAGAGGAAACAACCTAACTCTTCCAGTAACCCAGTTGGCAGTGGCTCCTGCATTCACCCTCCCACCAAGATCAGCACCAATGTGGGACAACTACTACCCCTCCTCAGATAATTCCGGGAGCTCTCAGGATGCAGGCATAGAACCTGGGTGACTAAAACATGACAGATGTTCACTGCAGACTCCTCAATGAGGAGTCTACCATCTCTATGGTAGAGATTAGGAAATTGACATTAATTTGTTCCCCCAAAAAAGGAGATTTGACATTTGTACCTGCATACATTCGACCTCACATTCCTCCTTTATATGCTTTGTGTAATGTTGCATGAGTATCCCTGAAGACCCCACTGTTCTTATGTTACATAAACTTCTGTTGCAAGTACAGAAGAGACAGGTGCCGTAGCTCAGTGCTGTGCCATCCACAAGGCCCCGGAGACTCTGCAGGCTGATACAGACAGTACTCAGGACAACCTTGCAAGGAATTTGAGATAAACACATTTGAAAGGAGCAGTTTGCTCCTATTGAGTCATAGCCTATAACATCCGAGGAACCTTAAAGGAGGCTAGCGCAGTGAGATTTTTATACCCATTTGATTGAAAAACAGCTAGAAGGAAAAACCCGAAAAGCGTGTAGAAACATTTCATCCACAGTCTTTTCATTCCTCTGGGAGTTGAGATAGGGCCATTGATGGGGTCCTGTGGGAAGCAGGGTCTCAACCCTCATCTTCAAGTATTTACCTCTTGAAGGAACATCCAAGAAATGTAGGAAGACAGAAATCAATATGAATGGGTGTGAACATAAATAGTGTTACTGGCTCCATTGTGGCTTTAGGAAGTTCTCCCAGGGAGTGCTTGTGTGGGATTTGCTT
Organism: Homo sapiens; assembly: GCF_000001405.40. Classification (NCBI taxonomy): domain Eukaryota; kingdom Metazoa; phylum Chordata; class Mammalia; order Primates; family Hominidae; genus Homo; species Homo sapiens. The sequence goes on along the minus strand of NC_000012.12, from coordinate 129,686,682 downwards.
TGGCAAAATGTGAGTAAAACACCTTTATCTTCCACTGTGTCCTTAGACTATGGGATTCAGTCCAGCTGTTTTTATAAAAGGAATTTTTTTTAGAATGTTTAGTCTTTGTATTAGTGTGTTCTCATGCTGCTATAAAGAACTGCCCAAGACTGGGTAATTTATAAAGGAAAGAGGTTTAATTGACTCACAGTTCTGCAGGACTGGGGAGGCCTCAGGAAACCTACAATCATGGCAGAAGGGGAAGCAAACACATCCTTCTTCATGTGAAAGCTGGAAGGAGAAGTGCTGAGCAAAGGGGAAAAGCCCCTTATAAAACCATCAGATCTCATGAGAACTCACTCACTATCATGAGAATAGCAGCATGGCATGGGGGTAACCACTGCCATGTTTCACTTACTCCCACCGGGTCCCTCTCACAACACGTGGGGATCATGGGAACTACAATTCAAGATCAGATTTGGGTGGGGACACAGCCAAACCATATCATTCCACCCCTGGCCTCTCCCAAATCTCATGTCCTCTCACTTCAAAACATAGTCATGCCTTCCCAACGGTGTCCCCCAAAGTCTTAACTCATTCTAGCTTTAACCCAGAAGTCCAAGTTCAAAGTTTCATCTGAGAAAAGGCAAGTCCTTTCTGCTTAGGAGCCTGTAAAATCGAAAGCAAGTTAGTTACTACTTAGATACAATGGAGGTACCGGCATTGGATAAATACACCTGTTCCAAATGGGAGAAACTGGTCAAAACAAAGGAGCTACAGGCCCTATGTAAGTCCAAAATCCAATGAAGCGGTAATTAATCTTGAAGTTCCCACATAATCTACTTTGACTCCATGTCTTACATCCAGATCACACTGATGCAAGAGGTGGGCTCCTATGGCCTTGGGTAGGTCCGTTCCTGTGGCTTTGCAGGGTACACCCTCCTTTCCAGCTGCTTTCATGGGCTGGCATTGTGTCTGCAGCTTTTCAGGGCATGTGGCAGAAGCTGTTGGTGGTCTTCTTCTAGGGTCTGGGGGACAGTTGGCCCTCTTCTCACAGCTCCTTTAGGCAGTACCCCAGTGGGGACTCTGTGTGGGGGCTTCAACACCACATTTCCTTCTGCACTGCCTTATCAGAGGTTCTCCATGAGGGCCCTGCCCCTGTAGCAGTCTTCTGCCTGGACATCCAGGGATTTCCATACATCCTCTGAAATCTAGGCAGAGGTTCCCAAACCTCAATTCTTGACTTCTGTGCACCTGCAGGCTCAATACCATGTGGAATCTGCCAAGGTTTGGGGCTTTTACCATCTGAAGCCATGGCCTGAGCTGTGCCTTGGCCCCTTTTAGCCCTGGCTAGAGTGGCTGGAATGCAGTGTACCAATTCCCTAGGCTGCATACAGTAGGGGGGCCCTGGGCCCAGCCCAAGAAACCATTTTTTCCTCCTAGGCCTCCATGTATGTGATCAGAAGGGCTACTGTGAAGGTCTCTGACATGGAGACATTTTTTCCCATTGTCTTGGTGATTAACATTTGGCTCCCCGTTACTTAGGCAAATTTCTGTAGCCAGCTTAAATTTCTCCTCAGAAAATGGGTTTTTATTTTCTATTGTATCTTCAGGTCATTGATTTTCTGAACTTTTATGCTGTTTCCCTTTAAACATAAGTTCCAATTCAAGACCATATCTTCATGAATACATAAAACTAAATGCTTTTAACAGCACTCAAGTCACCTCTTGAACACGTTGCTGCTTAGAAATTTCTTCTTCCAGATACCCTAAATCATTTCAATCTCTCAATCCACAGATCTCTAAGGCAGGGAAAAACAGCCACCAGTCTCTTTGCTAAAGCATTGCAAGAGTGACTTTTACTCCAGTTCCCAAAAAATTCCTCATCTCCATCTGAGACCACCTCTGCTTGGACTTCATTGTCCATATCACTGTCAGCATTTTGGTCAAAGGCATTCAATAAAGCTCTAGGAAGTTCCAAACTTTTCCACATATTCCTGTCTTCTGAGCCCTCCAACTCTTTAGGAAGTTCCAAACTTCCCAACATTTTCCTGTTCTTCTTCTGAGCCCTCCAAACATTTCCAATCTCTATCTGTTACCCAGATGCAAAGTAGCTTCCACATTTTCAGATATCTTTATAGCAGCACCCCACTCTCTGTGGTGCCAGTTTATTCTATTAGTCCATTCTCACACTGCTATAAAGAACTACCTGAGACAGGGTAATTTATAAAGGAAAGACGTTTAATTGACTCACAGTTCTGCAGGGCTGGGGAGGCCTCAGGAAACTTATAATTATGGTGGAAGGGGAAGCAAACATGTCTTCTTTCACATGATGGCAGGAAGGAAAAGTGCCAAGCAAAGGGGGAAACGCCCCTTATAAAACCATCAGATCTCATGAGAACTCACTCACTATCACTAGAAGAGAAGCATGGGAGTAACTACCCCCACGATTCAATTATCTCCCACTGGATCTTTCTGATGATACATGGGGATTATGGAAACTATAATTCAGGATGAGATTTGGGTGGGGACACAGACAAACCATATCTGCCTTTTTTTGTTTAAATGGAATTTATTATTATTATAATTATTTGGGGGGATTTATAGACAGAAGAGGTTGCTTTGCAACTAAAGTTCTTCATGGTCTTCTTTGGCTATGTCCACATCCAGTCATTGACGTTCGCACTTTGTAACCTTGAGTTGACTTTTCATTTATGCAGGAGTAGCTCATCATAGCTTCACCCTGTACTATAGGTCTACCTGATAGTCTGCTTTTCAACAAGACTCAAAGCAACTGAGGGGAAAAGGCCCTTGGTTCCTTCTTGGGTCATCACTGCATCCAGTAGAATACTAATATGATGGCTGGTATGAATTCTGGTCTGCAGATTCGAGTGGGCAAGGATAGATGTGTGTTTGGTGAGAGAACTCAGTCTCAGTCATCAGAGTTTAATTCGCCCCCACCTCAGGTACATTACTACATTCTGGGTTGGTGAGGGGTTGGGAGTGGTGGAAGACTATATAGTGGCATGGCAAGGAGGAAGTGGGGTGGGCTTGGGTCCTACATGTCATCTGTCCATGTAGACACTCATGGGAATGTCCACCCAGGTTGTAGATGGAATGTCTTCATATCCCCTCATCACATCCAGGTTTAATTTTTCTGTGTACCACTTCTGGGTTACTCTTAGGAACGCAGGGATCATGGGCTTGGTTTGGGAAATTTTATGAGATTGCTCAATGCAATAATGATAGCCAGCACTCATTAAATATCTATTTGTGCCAAGCACTGTTCTAAGTGCTTAATTTTTTAAGCACATTTAATCCTCAAAACAATTCTATGATGTAGGTGCTATTATTACTTACATTTTTCAGAAGAGGCACAAACTGAAATACAAAAAAGGTTAAACAACTGGCCAGAGGCCCTATAGTTTATAAGAGAATTTAATTTAAGATATTGAAAGCCTACCCTTTCTAACATGCAGCCCCAGAGCACATGTGTTGGAAAATTCTTCTTCATAAATGCGAAATAGGAAGGCAGTCACTGATACTGCGAGATTCCTTTTTTTTTTTTCTTTAAGAGCACTAAAGTGACTGAGCTAACTAAAATATTTTCTTTATTTAACATATATTTGTTGAAGATTAAGCTTGGTGCTGGGGATTACCAGTGAATAAAGCACGCTGCCAGGGCCTTTCCTGAGTGACTGATGCTGTGAGGATGAGCATGTGGTGTTTGCATTGGAGGGACAAGGTGCCAACTTAAGTCAGCGCTTCTGAGAGCGGATCAAGTGAAGTTGTATCTACCATGACCAAAATCTGTAAGTCTCTTTTTTTTTTTTTTTTTTTTTTTAGAGATGGAGTCTTGCTGTGTTGCCCAGGCTGGAGTGCAATGGCGCGATCTCGGCTCACTGCAAGCTCCACCTCCTGGGTCCACGCCATTCTCCTGCCTCAGCCTCCCGAGTAGCTGGGACTACAGGCACCCGCCACCACGCCCGGCTGATACTTTGTATTTTTAGTAGAGACAGGATTTCACTGTGTTAGCCAGGATGGTCTTGATCTCCTGACCTCGTGATCCACCCACTTCAGCCTCCCAACAAAATCTGCAAGTCTTATTTGTCACTGCAAATTACAGTGACATCCAAAGGCCATTAAACACTGCTGTGACCCTTCCAAGCACTTTACACCCTAATAATTATCAGGAGAAATGGCATTTTCAAAACAAAAGGGCTGTGTTTGCCTGCTGGAGACCACATGGGGTTTATGAGGAAGAGCCCAGAGTCACAGAGTTGCAGCTCTGGGCACCTGTCGTGACACTTTCACTACTTATGCAACTTGGGAGGGTCACTGAAGCTCACTGGGCCTCAGTTCCTGGGGTCTTACCTTGTCCAGGTGTTGTGGAGTATAAACAGAGTAAGGTGAACCTTGAGCACACTTGGTGGCACCACATTTGCTTCAGTACATGATCAATTCCATCTACCAAGAAATGTATCAGGGACCAGCTGAAATGTGAACAGATTACTTAAGGCCATTTCAAACTAAGCAGTGTTGATTCGTTTTCCAAGAGGGCTGATGTTGACAAGTAGCAGATTACCTCTGACTTAAACTATAAAGAAGAAACAAAAAGAGGACCATGGTCAAAGCTGCTTAGGAGGCATTTTCTTTGATAACTCAGGGAAACACCTAACTCAGCACATTCTAGTGCAAGATAGCAGAGCAAAGTGAGATGTAACCTTCCCGTCCCTCCTTCAAATCTGAAGGTATAAAAAGTAAACTGATTTTTTTAAGTGAAAAACACATTAGCATCAACAAAGACTGGGGGAGGGAGTCAGCTAAATAGTGAGACAGATGTTTCCAAAAATCAGCTCAGTGCATCCAATCACAGCTGCAGAGTCCCCTCCCACTCAAGGCCTCATGCAAGGTGGGATGAGAGTGTGTTGGATTGGAGATAGTTGCATATTCTTTGACCCTCTCTAACTGTTGAGATGTGGGTTCTGATCCCCTGCTCTTGAATTTGTACTGGCCTTAGTGAATTGCTTACCCAGTGGACTGTAGCAGAAGTGATGATCTGGAGCTTCTGAGGATAGATCAAAGGAAGCTTTGACTTTTTCCCAGCATCTCCAGGATCACTTGGTCTTGGAACTCTGAGCCAGCATATTAGAAATCCAGCTGTTTTTCTGGGAGACCATGTAAGAGACTCTGAGACTACATGGAGAGGAAGAGGAACCAGGTGAGCTGTCTTCCAGCCTCTCCTGTCAGGCAACCAGACACTTGGGTAAGACTGTCTTTGATCCTTTAAACCAGACCATCCAGCAACTCAATACCACCAAGTGACCTCCGTCAAGCTCCATGTGTAGCAGAAGAATCTCCCAACTGAGCCCTGCCCATATACCTGCTACACAAAATTATGATATAGAATAAAGCTGTGGCATTTTAAACCACTGGGTTTCATAGTAGCTTTTGAAGCAGCAATAGATAAGTAGTGATAAATAAACAGTAGTCATGAAAAGTGTCACTAATCAGCCCCACTTGCAAGAAGACAGATGAGAGTAGATACACCAGCTGGTGGTCTGTCTTCAATCTATTTTCTACCCTTACCCTGCTGTGCTGTGCTTTTCACTGAGTACACCTCTGCAATCTACATTTCACAGGTTCTCTACATCACCCAGCTCTGGCTTTTGATTACATTTGGTCAATTGAAGCCACTGATAGGAAACTTGTGGGTTGGAAAAGGGGTGGAGTCAGGATAATTCTCTCCTCTCTCATGCCACTGTCCCTACTCATGCCAAATTGTTCCTCCACCTGTGGGTCCAGCTCCCACCAGGTAGCCCTTGCCATGCCTCCAATTTTCCAGTTCCTACATGAAGACCTTACTCTTGGCCTCTTTTAACACAACCTCTTTGCTTTGTCCTTCTGACCCTAAGAACAGAGGCTTCCTGTGTTTATTCATACTTGGGCTGTGTCACCATCCTCTAGTTGCTGTTTCAGCAATTCCAGCACCTCTGTAACTACTTACCGATACTAAAGTTCTTCTTGTCAGTTATCTGGGATGGGTCCTGTTCCCTGACTTGGCTATGAGGGTATAACAGTTTGAGGAGATATTTTCTTTTCTGATTGACTCTATCTTATGCCAGAGGCAGAGACAATCACTGGGCTTGTCATTGTGTCAATCCCAGCTGCGATCAAAGGCAGATGGATCATAAGCATTCAGAAATGAGTATAGTCAAACAGAAGACATAATAAATATGATACAAACTTTGGAAAGACCCAGAGGGAGTGGAAAAAGAACACAGAGGGAACAGGTAATATTTTTCTTTCTACTCTGTGAACTTGTTATGCAAAGGTGAGAAATCAATTTTTATATTTCTTTTCCCTTTTATCTTTTTGGGTAGTTGTAGGATTGATAATAAAAAAAGAGATCATCCAAGGATGTATTTCTCTATCAAAAGCAGGGATCTGAGACAGAGAGATAAATTGGAATGATAATCTGAAGCCCAAGATTATCCAAGCGCGTGGAAGAAATATAATACTAACCTTTTGCCCTTATTTCCATTCCCCTTCTCAGCACATGGGCACACACAGAGTTGAGTGAACTCAGGCACAGAACATTTGAAAACATTACAGAAAGGGAGAATAGCACTTAGTTATACCAAACAGTAAAACAGTATAATTGACGGTGTTGATACATGTTTTGCAAGATAAAGCATGGACAAGTGCAATTTATACACATTATACCAGCATAAAAAGAAATTCTGAGCAGAGTTGTTCAAGTTGAGCATGAACCAGGAGAAAATGAAGATGGCAGCCCATTTATATAAATATATTGCTGAGAGAAAGGAAGGAAGGAAGAACTGCAAAGCATATAAGAGACAAAAATAATTGATTTTGAAAGAAAAACAAAAAAGCAACTTCTTAGAGTGGGTGGAATTTTTTTTTAAAATATAAATTTAATAAACTGAAAGTTCAAAGATAGAAAACAAAGAAGGAGATAGTAAAGTAGATCAAAGAGCCAGTACATGCATTGAGGACTAAAACAGTGCCAAAGAAAAACTGAAACTGAGGAATAGCCATTGGTGAAAAATAGAATTATTGACATAAAGAAAATTTGAGATAATCTTGGTTAATTTAAGCAAAAAGGCAAAGGGATTAAAAGAATTAGAAAGAAGGTGACAGACACAAATAACAGAGATGATCCAATATAGGAATACATTCTGACCTTGGAGCTGAGAATCCCAGAAAGAAAATAAAAAATATATTTACGAATAAAAGTTTTTGGATTTTTGTTTTTTATTTCTTTGATTTTGCTGTATTAAGGAAGAGCTAAATCTATAGATTGAAGGGGTATCCTGTGTTATAGAAAAATAATTTATGACAAAATATTAATACAAAACATATCTTGATTATAACATTTTAAAAATAAATAATTTGCTAATAATTCAGGTTGAATAAACATTCACAAAAAATTAAAGAAATGGATATACCATGTTCAGGGATAGAAATGCATAATGACACAAAAGTGTCAGTTTACCTCCAATTAATCCATAGAGCCAATGTAACTCCAACAACAACAAAAAAAAAAACTAGGTTTTTTAGGGAACTTGACAAGTTAATTTTTAAATTTATATGAAGATCAAAGGGCTGTTAATGGATACGACACTAAAGAGAAAAATATATAGATGGGTTATAATTTTTTATAAAATAATAGAAATTAAAATAGTATGATACTGGAATACAATAGATAAATAACAAATGAACAGAAAAAGCCCAAAAACAGACCTATGAAAATGTGAGATTTTGTATGACGAAGCTACTATTGCAGATCAGTGAGAAAAAATATATTTTTCAAAAATGACACTAGAGTACTAATTATCCAAATGAGAAAAAAGGGATGAGATTCCTGCTTCATGCCATTTATAGGCATTGATGTCGTATCAATTGGGCATTAAAAGGAAAAAGTAAATCAGTGTAGAAGAAAATACCAAAGGATATCTTTATATCCTCTGAGAGAAAAGGATTTAGACTTTCTTAATCTACCAAAACACTGAGCACTGAAGGAAAATTAATAAATTTGACTACATTTTTAAAATAAGCCCTTTTTAAATCAAAGACAAACCGTAAGTTTAGGGATGGTATTTGTAATAAATAAACCAACAATTAGAATGCAGTATGTATGAAGAATGGCTGTTGTTCAAATAAATAACCTATAATTCAAAGCAAATAGCCAAATATAAAAATGGGCAAAAAATATGAACAGACATTTTATAAACGAAAACAAAAATAGCCAACAACTATATAAAAATGTACTGCATCCCATTCGTAATCAGGTAAATACAAATTGAAACCATAATGCTTCAATGTTATAATTACCATATTGCCAAAATTAAGCAATCTGATAATAGCAAGATAAGTTGTTGAGGATGTGGAAAAAGGAAACCATAATATTATTGCTGGTAGGAGAAACAAATGGTACAACTCTTCCAGAAAATAATTGGGAATGACCTGGTGATATGACCCCATATTTCCACTTCTAAGGTGTCTGAGAGAAACTCTTACACTTGTTCACCAAAAGATATACTTAAATATTCGTAGAAGCACTGTTTATATCAACAAATACTGAAAATGGCCAAAATGACCATTGAGAAGGTACTGGATAAATAAATTTTGACATATTCCTACAATAGAATTCTTACATGTTTGTGAAAATAATTCAGTTACAGCTAGACACATCAATGAGCAATCTCTGTATTATAATATTTAATTAAAATTTGCAGAAAATACATTTATATAAAGATACAAATGTGCATTAAACTAACAATATAATGTTCATGGATAATGGACCAATATGCTCATTTAGGTAAAACTATAGAAAAAAAAAAAAAAAGACAAAATCACTAGAAAATTTAGGACAGGAAGCCAGTAAGGAGGATGAAGGGTGTTACTGGGGAGGGTCACGCAGGGACATCAGAATACTAAACGTGTTCTAGTTCTCACCTGGGTGCTAAGTTCATGGGATGTTTATTGTTGTCCTTTAAACTGTTCATATATGATATGGAATTTCTGTTAATGTTCTAATACGTATATACGTATGTGTGTTCTTGTGTTTGTGTGTGTTTATTTTTATATAATACATGTCAAAATTTTTAAAGTTTGGAAAGAAAAACCAAGTCAGTTGTCACTTACCAGAGATAGAAATCCATGCTGGCTTTAGACCTCTTCACAGCAACATTCACTGTTGTATCAGTCTGTTCTCATGCCACTGATAAAGTTGTACCTGAGACTAGGCAATTTAGAAGAGAAAGAGGTTTAATTGGACTCCCAGTTCCACATGGTTGGGGAGGCCTCATGATCACGGCAAAGGCAAGGAGGAGCAAGTCACGTCTTATGTGGATGGTGGGAGACAAAGAGAGAGCTTGTGGAGGGAAACTCCTCGTTTTAAAACCATCAGATCTCGTGAGACTCATTCACTATTAAGAGAACAGCACAGGAAAGACCTGCCCCAATAATTCATTCACCTCCCACCAGGTTCCTCTCATGACATGTGGGAATTGTGGGAGTTACAATTCAAGATGAGATTTGGGTGGGGTCACAGCCCAACCGTATTAACTGTCATTCAATGCCAGAAGATAATAGGGCAAAATCAGCAAATCACCAAAGTGATCCATAAAGGGACTTCGGTTATGTACATTCACATGATACTATTCACAGAATACTATATAGCTATTCTGATATGTAAATTTTCTAAAACATTAGGTGGAAAAAAGTGAAGTGCAAAAGGCGGGATAGGATAGTTGAATGGATAGGTAGATGGGTGGATGGATGGATGTGTGGGTGAGTGAGTAGATGGATGGAAACATGGATGCATAGAAAGATAGATTAGGTAGATAGATGATAAACATAGATAGATGATGATAGATTACATAGAGAGATGATAGATAGTGATACAGTTTGGATGTTTGTCCCCTCTAAATCTCCTGTTAAGATGTGACTCACAATGTTGGAGGTGGGGCCTAGAGGGAGATGTTTCAGTCATGGGGTTAGATCCTTTATGAATGGCTTGGTGCCCTCCCCGCAGTAATAAGTGAGTTCTCACTCTGTTCGTTCACACAAGAGCTGATTGTTTAAAAGAGTCTGGTGCCTCCCGCTCTCGCCATGTGAAACACTGGCTCCCTTCCCCCTCCTCTGTAAGCAAAAGCTTTGAAGCCAAGCCGATGCTGGTACCATGTCTGCACAGCCTGCAGAACCGTGAGCCAAATAAACCTATCGTCTTTATAAACTACCCAGTGTCAGGTATTCCTTTATAGCAACGCAAAACAGACTAACACAGACAGATGGATAGATGATAGATTAAATTAGATAGATGATAGATATGATTAGATGAATAGATACATAGATAGATGATAGATTAGATAGATAGATAGATAAATAGGTAGACAGACAGACTGACAGACAGGTAGATATCAAGTACTACTACTACATCTCAAGTAGCATTCCTCCCTGCCCCCATCATCTTGATGTGGTTTATTTTTTGCTAGAGCTTAACACTGCCTGAAATTCAGCGGTTTGCCTCCTTTGTGCTTTGGCCATTGTGGTCTCCTTCTGAGCTCTGTGTGAGCAGGGACCTTGTCTTCCTTGCATATTCTCGAGGCCACAGTGTGTAGTGCTGGGCACATAGCACACACTAAGTGTCTGTTGACTGAAAGATTTGATTAATTTAAAGCCAAAGGCCATGACAAATTTGAAGGCACCGGAAGATTCTCTGTGTGTTAAGAGAGCCCGAGTTTGCTGATGTGAAAATGTCACTGTTTTTCACTCATGGTCATGGATCTCAGACTCTATGGTTAAGTTTTTCCCTGCAAGTCCATCCCAGCACAGGGCTTCTCAACCTCGGCACCACTGACATCTGGGACTGGATAATTCCTGGTTGTGTCTGTGTGTGGGTGTGTTTGGAGCACTGTAGGATATTAGGCAGCGTTGCTGGAATCCACCCACTACTTTCTCCCCCTTGAGTCCTGACAACCAAAAATGTCTCCAGACATTACCAACTGTCCCCTGGGGCCACACCATCCTCATTGGAAATCATTGCCCTGAGGAAACTTTTCCTTCTTATCATGGAATGAAATAGTTGAATTCCAGATTCCTTTTGTAACATACACGATAATTTTATTTTTAGGTTTTTAATTTTAAGTTCTGGGATACATGTGCAGAATGTGCCGGTTTGTTACATAGGTATACATGTGCCTTGGTGGTTTGCTGCACCCATCAACCCATCATCTAGGTTTTAAACCCTGCCTGCATTAGATATTTGTCCTAATGCTCTCCCTCCCCTTGCCCCCCACCCCCCGACAGGCCCCGGTGTGTGATGTTCCCCAATCTGTCTCCATGTGTTCTCATTGTTCAATTCCCACTTATGAGTGAGAACATGTGGTGTATGGTTTTCTGTTCCTATGTTAGTTTGCTGACAATGATGACTTTCAGCTTCATCCATGCCCCTGCAAAGGACATGAACTCATTTTTTTATGGCTGCAGTAATGTATACAATAATTTTCAATAAGCTTTGTATCCCTTTTCTTGCTGCTGCTTCTACTTGTGATTTAAATTCTTCCACTGTCATCTCACTGTGTTTTCTCTGCATTTCTTACTCCTTACTGGTAGTAAAGCTTATTTGGCTCTAAAGACAATCATATTATCCATTTTCTAGATGCTGTTGAGAGGAAACAAAAATAGAGTAAACTTTATTCAGGATCCAAAACATACATGCTGAAAACAATCAGAATTTAACAGAAAAATCTCAGCTCTGTTATAATGAACTGCAATACAAATCCTACATGAGAAAGTCCCCCAAACTAATATGGCTAAGGGTTAAAACATAAAACGAGCCAGGCGTGGTGGCTCACGCCTGTAATCCCAGCCCTTTGGGAGGCCAAGGTGGGTGGATCATGAGGTCAGGAGTTCGAGACCAGTCTGGCCAACATAGTGAAACCCCATCTGTACTAAAAATACAAAAAATTAGCCAGGTGTGGTGGTGTGTGCCTGTAATCCCAGCTACTTGGGAGGCTGAGGCGGGAGAATTGCATGAACCTGGGAGGCGGAGGTTGCAGTCAGCCGAGATAGTGCCATTGCACTTCAGCCCAGGTGACTGTTTTGAGACTCTGTCTCAAAAACAAACAAACAGAAAACATAAAACATATGTAGAGTTCAGACTTGATACATTTTTTAAACCAAAAATTATACAAATAAGAGAATAATTTTGCTGTGATGGACATGATTTGTTGGGAAAAGATGTCTGAAAGTAGGGTTACTTTGGTGAGGATAAATATACATTCTCAGAAGAAAATGAAATTTCTGACATTCTCTACCTAAGTGAAATCTAAGTGCATGAAGAGCCACATTTTAAGGTGAATTTATCCATTTTATTTGCCAGAAGGGACATCTGTGCAGACTGCTTCGATTCAGATCTATGCAGGCTGAGTGTGCTGCTCAGAAAATGAGTCCCTTCCAGGGCCTATTTCAAATCTTTGATGCCTCCGGAATTAGCACCTGATGCCCCTTTGCATGGGTTTGAGGAAGATTCATTTTAATTCTGCTTTTCAAACTCTTGACTGTATTACAGCAAAGAAAACTCAAGGAGGCTTGCATTTCAGACAGGGAGAGCTGGAGAATTGCTGGGAGGCACTGATTTCAGTCTTCATGTGTCATCTGCAAACTGTCAGCGGGGGTTTTCTCTGTGTGCTGAGCTGACAGGGTGACCGTACTCGTGCCTAGAATTAGGTCTTTTTTCCTACCCGTGTCACCTTGGAAAAGGGGCAAAACCCACTTTTCACAGAAGGTTTCCATCATTTTAGTTAACATCCATTTTATAGAATTAAATGGCCTATTTCTGTTCTACAGAGCCTTTGAATCACACTCTTAAGGGACTCTCAGATTGCTAAGGAGCAAAGGTTGGAAATTGGTTTTTCCAGGAGAAGCAGGACATTGCAGATTGCTCCATTAGACACTGGAAGTGTCAGAGCCTGCAGGTGCAGACCCAGAAATCGTCAATATGGTTCTTTGACTGTCTCCTCACTGTCTCTTGCAAGAATGTAAGTGTAATTCCAACACCATTTTGCCTGGACTGCTCTGAATTTTATTCGGACACGAGAAGACTAGGAGAATGGGGGCTAGTTTTTTCTCAGTCCCGGATGTTTGATTTTTTTCAGATTTCTTTCAAGCAGAAATTTCAGATTGGTACATGGCTGATGTACAACAGTTATTTTTCTCAAAATGTAAAAAGTTTTTATGATTGAAATTTCCATACATGTATGAAAGTAGAATGGAAAAACGGATCTGTACGTTACCCAGATCCAGTCATTGTCATTGTCTGCCAGTTTTATTTCATTATTCCTCTTCCAAATACTTTTTAAAAAGTCAACTTTAAAGGCAACATTCTGAATGAAAGAAGCCAGTCATAAAAGACCACATGTTGTATGATTCCATTTATGAGACTTTCTGGAAGAGTTAATATATAGTAATGGAGAAGCGATTCATGGTTGCTAGGGCGTAGCAGAGGAGGAATGGTTCTCCTAAAAGGGAAAGCATGAGAGAGTTTTGGGGGTAATGAAACTGTTTTCTATCCTGACTGTGGTAGTGGCTACAGGAATCTAAACAAAACTTAAAACTCATAGAACTGGCCGGATGTGGTGCCTCATGCCTGTAATCCCAGCACTTTGGGAGGCTGTGGCGGGCAGATCACCTGAGGTCAGGAGTTCAAGACCAGCCCGGTTAACATGGTAAAACCCCATCTCTACTAAAAATACAAAAATTAGCTGGGCGTGGTGGTGCACGCATGTAGTCCCAGCTACTGGAGAGGCTGAGGCAGGAGAATCGCTTGAACCCGGGAGGCAGAGGTTGCAGTGAGCCGAGATAGTGCCATTGCACTCCAGCCTGGACAATAGAGACTCTGTCTCAAAACAACAACTACCACCTACAAAAACTCATGGAACAGTATACCAAAATATTTATATATACATATATGCACATATGTAGATTGTATGAGCCTATAAAATTGTCAAAGCTCACATACTCTTAAATCGTGTAATCTCATTTTTTATTACCTGACACTGACCTACCTTGCACCAGTGCATCCTCACCCAGCTGTTCTCTTTCATCCTCAAACGTACAGGCTCTGGGGAACTTTGGTTACCTAAATCGTATTCTTCCCCTTTGTTTGGGTCAAGGTACGGAACACTAACTGTTGTACCACACCAACCCGGAAATCTCAGATGCTTAACAGGATAAATGTACACTTGTTGGGCACAGGAAGTCCAGTGTTCATTGGGGAGCCTTCCGTGGGAAAGGTGACGAGCTGGGCTCCCTTTGGGGCTCTGCCATCCTTCACATCCAGCTGGTAGATAGGAAATGAGAGTGCGCAGGGTTATGTAGGACATTTTTACAATCCTGGAAGTGGGCATTGCTTTTGCCCAAATGCCCTTGGCTGGAACGTGGTCACGTGGCTACATGTACCTGACAGGCCATGAAAACGGGAGGCCTGGCTGTGGGCTTAGAGAGGAGAAGCTGGCTTGGTGCTTACCAACCTCTCTTTCACATCCTTCAGGACTATGTTCTTGGATTTCCAAGGTCGATGAAATGAATCTGTCTTCACCCTTGACCACTGTCCACCTTATTTGCATTTTTGCACGATCAGGTCATTACCACGAGGCAGAATTCTTTTGCTGGAGCAGCCTGGGGTCTGCAGCGGCCAGGCTCAGCCCAAGCCTTAACATTTCTTTTTATTTTACCCTTAGTCCTAGGTGGTCTGATTCCCACTGTGCTGCTGTGTACCTCAGGCTTGCAATTTGTAAGAATCCAAGCCATTCTACCACTCTGCCCTTTGCTGCCTTGCGTTTTCCTTTCTCCTTCTTTCAAGGTCTGATCAAGGACAATATCTCCTAAATTTACAAAGTAGCTTCCACTTCTTTAAATAGCTTGTCCTTCTCTTGGGCCATAGGCTGGCCTTCCTCTCCGTGCTCCCACTCTGCCTGTGTCTTTCTGCTCTGGGGTTTCCTCTCCCCTACCCCAACCTCTCATCATGTACCCTTCCCCAGCCCTGCCCCAAGTTTCAAAAACGCTTCAGCCCTCCTCATCTTATCTTTTCCATATAGCTGCCCTCACCACGTTGGCTAGTTGTATTTTCTCATATTCTTACATTTCCTGTGGCACCTAACCAATATTTAACCTTTGTTAATTGACTTAAGCAGCTGGTGTTTTGAGTTCTGAGAGTGCTAATAAAACCTTCCCTGGTTAGGGTGCTGGCCATATTTACTTATTCTTAAATGTATCTACCTTCATTTATTAGGGCATATATTTTTCATGGAAACTCATTTTCAATTTAATATTGGAAACCTATTGCAACTACCGTTTTACAACTGATGGAAGCACAAGTATTTCACCAAGTAGGATATGCCAAAGACCTTTTAAGTTATTCTCTTCCCCCAAGAATAATACAAGTTCCTGAAGGTGAAAAGTGTTTTACAAGTTACTTCTATCCTCTGGCCATAAATTTTTTACTTTTCCATTTTCCTTGCAGGGAATATTATTAAACATTATTTTTTATATAGTATCTCAATATTCATCTTTTCTTTGCTTTTTTCCTGTCTTGCCAAAGGAAGTTTTTAGTGACTCCTCACTCAAAACAGAAGAAAACATCAAAAATATTTCCAAGATTTTTTAACAAAAGCTTGCAAATTCAAATTTTTTCTTTTCCTTTTGGAAATGGGAAAGAAATATTGTGCGAACTTCTGCTGAATGTAAATATGTATATCCTCCCTGCTTTCTCTGAGCTCTTGGTTGCCTCCGGCTCATAGCTCAGTTTAGATTTTTGGTGGTACTTTGAGGAGGACTTTAGAGCCATTGTTTCAGAAGTGTGCCTAAAATAGAAATGTTTTATTTCTTTATAGAGTTGGTTTTGTAACCACCCAAGGGATCCACCTTGCCTACTGCCTAGACAGAGCCGATTCATCAAGACAGGGGGATTGAAATAGAGGAAGAGTAATTCACACAGAGCCTGCTGTGGGAGACCAGAGTTTTATTATTACTCAGATCAGTCACCCCAAGCATTCGGGGAGTAGAGTTTTTAAGGATAACTTGGTGGGTAGGGGGAAGCCAGTGAGCCAGGAGTGCTGATTGCTTAGGGATGAAATCACAGGGAGTCGAGGCTGTCTTCTTGCACTGAGTCAGTTCCTGGGTGGGGGCCACAAGTTCATATGGGCCAGTTTATGCATCTGGGTGGTGCCAGCTGACTCATCACGTGCAGGGTCTGCAAAACGTCTCAAGCCCTGATCTTAGGGGCAGCTTAGGGAGGGTCAGAATCTTGTAGCCTCCAGCTGCATAACTCCCAAACCATAATTTCTAATCTTGTGACTAATGTTAGTCCTATAAAGGAAATTGAGTCCTCAGGCAAGAAGGAGGTCTGCTTTGGGAAAGGACTGTTACCATCTTTGTTTAAACTATGAATTAAGTTTCTCCCAAAGTTAGTTCAGCCTAAGCCCAGGAATGAACAAGGACAGCTTGGAGGTTAGAAGCAAGGTGGAGTCGGTTAAGTTAGATCTCTTTCACTGCCTCAGTCATGATTTTGCAAAGGTGGTTTCAATCCCTCCCTTTGGGTTTTATAACACCTTAATCTTAAGGTGTAGGCTGTGAAGATGGGAAAAGGCAGCCGATCGCTCTGGCTTCTTCCAGTCGACAGGGGACATAGTGGGAATGGGAGTGAACTCCAAGGTGAGAAGAATGAAACCACTTTGCAACTGTCTGAGCGACTCCTGCAGGCCTGGCTGGGTGTTCAAGACTTGCATGGCAAAAACATTAGTACCCTCATCTATAGTTTTACTCCAGTGTTTAAGTGACCACGGTTGTAAATAATGTAGTAAATAATGAGTAAATAATTAGGGAAATAATGAGTCCTAGGATGAGGAGTACAGATCCCAGTTTTGTTTGTTTGTTTATTTATTTATTTATTTATTTATTTTTATTTCTTGAGATGGAGTCTTGCTCCGTTGCCCAGGCTGGAGTGCAGTGGCATAATCTTGGCTCACCACAACTTTTGCCTCCTGGGTTCAAGTGATTCTCCTGCCTCATCCTCCCGAGTAGCTGCGACTACAGGCACGAGCCACCATGCCAGGCTAAATTTTGTATTTTTAGTAGAGATGGGGTTTCACTATGTTGGCCAGCCTGGTCTCGAACTCCTGATCTCAGGTGATCTGCCCACCTCGGCCTCTCAGAGTGCTGGGATTACAGGTGTGAGCCACTGCACCTGGCCACAACTCCCAATTTTAAAAGCAAAGATTTGAAAGCATTAGTTTGGGGACTTCTAACCCACAAAGAATTTAGGATTTAGTCTGAACTTCAGGAAAAAACCTCAAGAACAGCTAACAACGGTGTACTAAAGTCTTTCTTTTGAAGCATAATTTTTCTCTCTCCAGTCCCCATTTTTATTAAAAGCAAATCATGATAAAACTTATATTTGTTTACAAAATAAACTTTAGCTTTACTGTACTTGGCCTGATTATTTACATAAAATGTAGCAAGAGTACTTATTTTTCACTTAGGCTTTTTAAATTGGCTTTGATAGAACTCTGTTCCATGAAGAATCTCAGATAAGAGTTTTTAAAAGCCGAGCCCAGCCATGGGTTTGTACCCTCAAATACCTATGAGTTGGGCAAATTCTTCTCCTCTTGAGGACGTAAGATAATGTGGGGTTTCTGAGCCTGTTAGAAAGTGACATTCTTTACTTATCACAGGTCAGGAACCTTGTACAGGGACTCTGTGTGGACAAGGTATGAGGCCAGATTCCCCAGTGAGCTTTAATTGGCTCTATAAGTCAACTTTGATTCTTGAAGGGGAGCATACCACTCCAGTCAAAGCCTTGGTAAAATAACCGCTTTCTCCAATTGTGCCCTGTTACAAAAGAAAACAGATTCTTATTGCACGTATGCAATTAACTATACTGCCATAAATTGAGAATATTCACAAATAGTTTCCAAATTCTGGAGAAATCAGGTAGAGAGGAACAAATATGCTTCAAATTTTGTTCACAGGGGTATATTTTACTCACTTGTTAAAAGTTGCAAATAGCTCTAAAGAAATAAGTTCTCTTGACTCTGAAAACAAAAGGTTTAGCAGTGTTTAACACGTTAGCTCTCCATGAGAGTCCTAGAAGTTTGTTTTTTTCCTCTATTCCAATGGCACAATTTTTAAAGTTGTCTGAGACCTGCAGTCAGGGTCGTACATCTGATTATAAACTGTCTTTTGAAAAGGACCAAAGCAAGACAAAATGTCTGGGGATGACAACAGTCTATAGCCACTATTTAAGCTACAATTGACTAGGAATTTTGGTTATTTCTGTGGCATACAACAATTTTACAGAACAATTATAATTAGTGTGTGTCCTAAGATTATGGGAAACTTCTATAATGTTGATATAATTTAGTGTAATAAGGTACACTAATAATGTACACTAAATTATATCAACATTATAGAAGTTTCCCATAATCTTAGGACACATACTAATAACATATTTATACAAATACAGTCCAAAGTAAACCAGATGCCATTCGCTTTTCTATTTGAAAGTTTTTCCTCTATTCTAATGTCACAATCTCCAGTATTATTAGAATCCTGCATTTAAAGAGCACCTGATAAATTTTATAGCTGATTATAAAACTGTCTTTTAAAGAGGACCGAAAGGAGACAACAATGGTCTGTGGATAACAACATTTTAGGGTAACCAGTTTAAGACACGATGGACAAGGAAATTTGTTACCTCTGTGGTACACAGTCTGTTAACATAATAATTATAATTATTACTGATAACATAGACTAAGTCGTATTAGAATTATAGGAGTTTTACATAATTTTGGACCATATACCAACAACACATTTGCACAAATATAGCCCAATGAAAGCTAAGCACCATTTCATATTTGACAATGCTTCCTGTATGATTTTTGTACAAAATAAATGTTATTTTTGGACTTTAGGTTAGAAAAATAATTTTTTAGGAGTTTAGGTTAGAAAAAAATATTTTGCTAATCTAAAATATTAGGTTAGAAAGAGACATAATTTATAATTTGATTTTGGAAAGTTTGTCAAATATTAAAGGTTTAAAACACTAGAGATCACAAAATACAATCCCTGGTCATCGTAAGTCATTCATTTGGCCAAAATGATAACTCCAAAATCTTAAAAGAAAAACCTTTACTTTGATAGGAGACTTAGCTTTCCAAACGAGACCCAAGAAAGATAGCATGAGGCCAACTGAATTTGTCTTTTCTCTCTCTTCCCTTTTGTTCCCCCTGCCATTTAACCAAAGGAGAAAACAAAACCCTTTCATTATCTTTTAACATTATAGAAAAATTGTCTTCAAAAGAGAAAACCAAATTTCATGTTTTCATTAGTGCATCTTTGATGTTAAAGCTAGTTTTTAAAATAAAATTTTATATCTCTGTCTGGTTTTAATTAGTTTGACCGTAAGGTAAGATTTTCATAAACTTTTTAGAACCCTTTACAATTTTCCATCAAACAGCAGATCAGTTTTCTAAGAAAACCCTGTTATTCGGACATGGGCCCAGATTCCGGCCCCACATCAGTATGATTTTAATGTTTTAACCTATGGAAAAAACCTAAATAATTTCTTTTAAATCTTAGCCACCTTGTTTATACCCACAGAATTTTTTTATAAGATTAACCCTTTACAAACCCTTTTTGCTTTGTTTAAACCTTCAGTTTTGTCCCGTTACTCTAAGTTAAGAAAATCTTTAAAACCCTCTGAACTAGATAAAATTACATTCCCTTTAACAAAAACCATATTATCATGCCTTCTTATTATCTTTTACCAAAAACACATTCCCTACACACCTTGTATGTAAAACTGTTTCTCCAGTAACTCAATTTCATGTTACAATGTTAACTCTTAGCAACTTTTATTTTTAGTGAAAAACCTGATAAGTAAGCAGTTTTAATTATGTACTGGGGTGGAGCCTAGGACATCAGATAGAAATGAAGATAAGGTCTGACTGTTTTCAGCATAGCTACGGGCGTGGCTATCCACAGGTCCCCAGGCCTCATCTATAATCTAATGCTCCAAAGTAGGTAAATTGACAGTTTTCAAAAGTCAAGGAAATAGTTTGACCTTAAAGCATTTAGCAGATTTGATATCTGACCTTAATTTAGACCAAATGTCTACATTTTCAAGACATTTTATTTTACCAATAATCTTTAAAACTATCTTTATTTCTAAAAGATTACTAAAGTTATGTGAACAGAGGCATTAGTTTCTATTTTTCTGACAAAATACTTGATTTAAGCACTTATTTTTCTAAGCCAATTAATCAGAGCTCTTTTACATGTAAACATCACAGACACACACAAAACACACATAAATGCAGACAAACGGAAGATTCAGCAATTGTAAGATTTTTCATTTGCCAGTTTCTTAATCTGGTTACTGGCTCAGGGTGGAGCCCTGGAGGAACAGGGCCTAGAAAGCATGCATTTCTGGGGTCTAATCGCAGCTGAAGGCAAAGACAGATCCCCAAAATTAAGGGTGCCATTTCATACCAGATCCTGGATCCCCAAGAGGAGGGAAATACTTTGGGAGAAGACAGCGCAGTGCTTTTACCGACTGTGCATTTATTTCATTGCGAGGCAACCCAAAGCCCATCGGCCCATTTAGGTGGTTTCAGTTTAAGAAAATTAAAATACAATTTATTTCACATAAGAAGAGAAAAAATATTAAAGGTCCCTCAGGGCTTCCCAATTGTAAACTAGGTAATTCTCAATTACTGAAAAAAAGCTATAAAATGTCAGTTATTCAGATTTATTTTCAAAATAGCTAAAACAGATCATGATGTGTTCTTCACTATTAGACAATAAAGACATCAAAATATATTTAAGCGTCTACTATGTGCCTAGCACTGTATATAAAATACATGTTTTCTATAGTATAAAAGTTAATATAAAGTACCTACGAGATAGGTAGAAAAAGGTGACATAGCAAGTCTCTACCCATAAAGATGTCTTTTAGCCTTGTTGCAAAGTCTAGAAACCCTTATGAAATCAATTGCAGATGACTCAGCAAATAATGAAGTCTTCAGTGACTCCATGTATGAAAGAGGTCAGTATTTTAAGTAGACTGTTCAAATGCAGCATGTTTTCCTTTTTGACTGAAAAAAAAAAGCCTAGAAGCCCTCTGCTTCCTAGTTTTAATTTTCCGCAAAGATGGCCTTTTGTCTGGTTTCGTCTTTGCCCACGCGCTCATTTCCTGCTATTCTCCCACATTTATTAAGTAGCTATTGAACCCTGCTTGCATCGCTCTGAAAATTGCAAATTCCATTGAAGACATGAGCAGCTTCCAATGCTGGTACATCTAAACCTCTTTCTGGTTCTTTGTTTTCTAATTAGCTGAGGTTTGGGCCAGCTTTCCTTGGAGAATCACTGCTGTTGTATGAGTTGCAGGAAATTGCCACCCCCAAGATGCCCCCCCCACCTGCTCCCCATCAACCAAGCTGGGGACCTCACTGGTAAGTTTGAGGTAGGGTCTGGGGTAGGATCTGGGGCCTAAACCATGCCCATTTTTACACACACAGGATGACAGAATTTTGCGACTGGTGAACACTAACTGTGTGTTAGTAGTTAATAATGTGGTAGTAGTTAAGCGTGTAGACTCTGGAGACAGGATGCCTGGGTCCTCTCTACACCTGATCCTCAACCACATAATAGGGATAATAGCATTTACATTCGTGGTGGTGAATGCATACAGCTCACTTAGAACAGTGTCCTACACATACAACTGTTCAGTAAGGGTTAGTTGTCATTGCTGTCATTGTTTTTGTGTCCAGGGGTTGGGTGATTCTGTGTCTGCAGTTTTATTCCACAGTATTTCAGAACCAACCAAAATTAAGGATTTCTACCTTCTCTGAACAAGCTTACTCTTTGACATTTTAAAAATATTCTTCTAGGCCGGCCGCAGTGGCTCACACCTGTAATCCCAGCACTTTGGGAGGCTGAGACAGGCAGATCATGAGTTCAGGGGATCGAGACCATCCTGGCTAACACGGTGAAACCCCGTCTCTACTAAAAATACAAAAAAATTAGCTGGGCGTGGTGGCGGGTGCCTGTAGTCCCAGCTACTTGGGAGGCTGAGGCAGGAGAATGGTGTGAACCCAGGAGGCAGAGCGTGCAGTGAGCCGAGATTGTGCCACTGCACTCCAGCCTGGGCAACAAAGCAAGACTCTGTCTCAAAAAAAAAAAAAAAAAAAAATTCTTGTAATTGTAGAATGTCAAGATAGAAAAAGCATTTCAAAAGGGTTTAAATTTCCCTCCATTAGCACATTCTTTTTCTACCAAATCTGGTTCTAAGCTAAAGCTGGTTCCCATTCATACAGCCCTTAAAGGTGGGATTCTTCACTTGCCCAAAAGGTCCAGAGGCCAGTGGCCTGAGCTGTAGGCTTGGGCTGCCCTTCCAAGGAGGGCTGTGCTCCGCAATCACAACTTGATTTTTTGAAGATTGCTCTAGTGAGTCGTTGATACATCTAATTACAGTCTCCTTACCTCCATTTAAACTCAGTTAGCAAACTTCTCTCTATTTTTTTAAAAATAGAAATGAAATAGTCGAGCAATGATAATTTCCTTCACCAAAAACGCCATGCAGGAGATGTGTAAACGTTACAGTTCTCCTCCCTTTTGAATGTATAGGCCACTTTTTTAAAGAGCCCCCAAACAGTGATTTTGTTTTTCCTAATTTGAGAATAATGGCTAAAATCTCTAAATTCCATGCAACTTCTTTCTTTGCAAAGAGAAAGGTAAAATGTGCCACATGATTACATGGAGAAGGTTTTTCTCCAAGGATCTCTCATAATGCAAAGCAGCGTATTTTGTGGAGGGTGGATAGAAGGATTGCTTGATATCAGAAGTCTTTCTTCTCCTCTTGTTTCTTTACTTGGGTCGCCACAGATGGAGGCATACTGCTTTGCCATCAATTATTCAGAAGTAATTCCTGGTCACCCTGCCAGAAACTGCTTCCAACAGTTCCCAACATCCATTTCCCTCTTTTTCCTTGCTTTTACAGTTCTGTTTTAGCCTACACACCAGGGAACAGTGTGTCCAGTTAAAATCTCCACTTCCTAGAGGACTTTGTGGCTAGGGTTGACTGCATGATTCAATATGTCCTGGTGAAGTCTTAGTGAAAGTCTTTGGAAGGGGTTTTGTGGACCCCAATGTTACCAGGATAAAAATGGGCAGACATGGCCAGCCATGGTGGCTCATGCCTGTAATCCCAGTACTTTGGAAGGCTGAGGTGGGTGGATCACCTGAGGTCGGGAGTTCAAGACCAGCCTGACCAACATGGTGAAACCCCATCTCTACTAAAAATACAAAATTAGCTGGACGTGGTGGCACATGCCTGTAATGCCAGCTACTCGGCAGGCCAAGGCAAGGAGAATCGCTTGAACCCAGGAGGTGGAGGCTGCGGAGAGCCAAGATCGTGCCATTGCACTCTAGCCTGGGTAATGAGTGAAACTCCATCTCAAAAGGAAAAAAAAAAAAGGGCAGACGTTGCTGGGCTATGCCTTTTGCCTTTCACCTTTCTTCTGCCTGGAACGGTGTCCTATTGACTAGGTATAAAGACTATAACCTTCAGACCAGGCGACTGAAAGTCAGAATCTAAATAGTGTAGCAGGGAGCTGGAAGGAGCCTGGGTCTCTGAAGACTTCCTTAATTCACCTCAGTAGGTCTAACTAGATCATCTGCTTCTGAATTTCTTTTAAATGAGAAAAATAATCATTATTTTTGTTAAAACACTGTGTTGAAGTCCATTACTTGCAGCCTAATGCAATCCTGTTAATACCTCATATTTCTTTCTCTCTCTCTCTTTTTTTTTTTTTTTTTTTTTTGAGATGGAATCTTGCTCTGTCGCCAGGCTGGAGTGCAGTGGCACAATCTTAGCTCACTGCAACCTCCGTCTCCCAGGTTCAAGCGATTCTCCTGCCTCAGCCTCCTGATTAGCTGGGACTACAGGCGTGTGCCACCATGCCCAGCTAATTTTTGTATTATCAGTAGAGATGGGGTTTCACCGTGTTGGCCAGGATGGTCTTGATCTCTTGACCTCGTGATCCGCCTGCCTTGGCCTCCCAAAGTGCTGGGATAATGGGCGTGAGCCATCGGGCCTGGCCAATAACTCGTATTTCTACCTGCATTATTAGGACAGATGATTTGAGTCTTGGCCAAAAAAAGCCAGGATTATGGATTTTATCCACATAGGTCATTAGCCGTGGTGAGTAAGAAGGCTGGCATGCTTGAACCTCGCCACTCCTTCTCCTTGTAAATAACTTGGCGATTGGAGGTGGAACAGGTAATAGAAGGTTCCTGGCATGGATAAGTCAGCAAAGTTCCTTGCCTGTAACAGAAACACCTCCAGACACAAGTTGAATGTGAGTTTGTTCTATCTTCACTATGAAAAAGACCTCTAAATTTAAGCCCAAAGTTAGACATACCTTCATCCTCTTTCTGGGATTTATAGCCTGGGCTGCAAAGAAAAAAGAAAGCTCACACTTGCTTTCACTTGATTCAGATCATGTATGATTTAAGACCCAGAGTATGTGCCCTGCTAGTATAGCTTACTCCACCTGCTCTTATCCAAGCAAAATATTTCCTCACTCTGAGCTTCTATTACACTTCTGAGCTGTACCACAGATCAATTAAATAATCAAGGCTTAATCATTTTTCTGTTTATTAAATATTAATTACATTTACTCTTCCAGCTCATCAAGTCTATGAAGATATGACCAGCCATATTTTATACAACTTGAATATCCTATACAACACACCTAGACAGTACTGACTTGCAGACACAATAAAATCTTGTTGTCTGACCAATCAAATGAGGGCAGATTTGTAAAACAGAGATAAAATGTCAAAGACATCTTTATGAAATTACTATTGTTGAATTTTTCTTGTTCCTTGCCATTGATGACAGTGCGCTTGTATTTTTGTAGGTGGAGATATATATTACCACCTATGAAAGAGCTACTTTTGAGGGAATGTTTTAAGGACAAGTGTAGCTGCGCTGTAACCTAGTATCTGAGATAAGTATCAGATTCATCAAGTCACCCTTCCATTGTTTAGATGTGGACAGTAGTTAGGTCTTTACAGAAGTTTAATAACATGGAGGTCCACTTTCCTTTCTGATGGGGCTGCAGGGACTAATAGGTTAGTAGTTCACTAAGGCACTGTGTTTTCAGAGCACCAAATAACTTTTCTGCCTTTGCCTTTTCCATTTCTGAAATGTGTTTTGCGATCTGTGAAAATTAGGTTTTCAGTAAGTTTCTTTTGTTGTTAACTCCAGAAGCTGCTGAGGAACAGGAGTCAACCACTACCATTTGCAGCCTCACTTCCATGAAAATGTAACAGCCCTGAGATCGCCACTCCAGTATGCCTGCGTCCATGGCTTTAAAAACACTCAGCTCCAAGATAAAGAAACTGTACGCAAATGGCCACTGTTGGGAGGTCCCGTTAGCCCAGGAAACTGTATGCAAATGGCCACTGTTGGGAGGTCCCGTTAGCCCAGCACAGCTGCAGACCGAATCTCCTAGAAGTGACGTTTTCCCTCCTTTTAGATGCTTCCCCTGTTTACCAGGGGAGTGGCTTATGTTTCAGCAGTGTTATTTGTAAGTGATTCAGTAAGACTGGAGAAATACATTAGGTTTTGGAAAAATAAATTATGTAGGATGGATGTTACTGGGAGTGCATTTGAGTCACCCAGGTACCTTCTGCCTCACTCCTGTTGGAGACACTAGTGAGGCTCTGACCACTGTGTGTCTATTTGAGAACATGAGAGTGTGAATTTGAGAACATAGGATAGAAACTATCTGTCATGGAGAGTTATTTGCCAAATCCCTTAGGTGTGCCTCTTCCCAATACCAGGCACACACCTAGCCCCACAAGACAGGAGTATTGTCATTAGTACATTTTGGTACAAGGTGTGCAGACTAGCTCCTGTACCCCCCGCACATGAGTGACTCCTCATGCTTTGCTGACACCCCGTTTTTTACATGCAGGCTTCATGGCGACTGAGCCTGCCATCCTGGACACATTTAAGTGAACCAGAGTTTGGGGTCAGCACAGAAACCAACAAAAGACAGACTGCGCATAAAGGGGACACATCTGTGAGTTATGTCACAGACAACATTGGACGTGACAGTCCACGCAACAGGGTTCTCCATGTCAGGTGGCCACAGCTGATTCAATCAGACCTCCGTCTTGAGTATTATGAGCATGAGAGGCCAGCAGAGGAGGCAGGAGAAAGGAAGAGGCTGTGTTAGGGGTGATGGTAAGAACGCTGCATCATGACGTCTTTCCCTGGTGCTGTCCTTGCATCCCAGACACAGTGAACCACTGTGTGCTTCTCTAGGAGGTCTCAGAGCATTTGGTTACAAAATGAATTGCCTTCCCCATTTGTTTATTGCTTTCCCATGTACCCATATGATCATATCACTAACAGTAATTTGAGCCTCTCTCTCTCTCTCTCTTTTACAATACATGAGTCATCCATCTCCTGGCCTTAATCTCCTTTTCCGGTTACTCCGCAGGGCTTTCCCATCACCCTCCTGGCAGGCATAACTCTTCCCCTTTCCAGGGAATAGAGATGGTGACTCAAAACCATGACCCAGCAATAATTTCACTGAATAACTCAGTTCAGTGTCTTCCCAGGCCCAAGGGGTTCTTCTTCTGCATCAGTGCCTCCTGGTAATCCCATCCACTTTACCCATAACTCTCAGGTGCACTTATATAAAATTCCTCGGTCTGGACCTAGGGATAGGAACAATTTTGTTTCTCAGTTGAAAAGTGTAACTTCCCTGAAAATTTAGAGAATACCATTAAATAAATCCATTCTCTAAAATAGCTATTTTTTAGAGCTAGATTATATTTCATGAAAAAATGCTTGTGAACAAAATATATCACACTGTGTCATTTAGGATAATATTGCAAGAGCCATTAAAATATTCTACAGAAAGGATATTCTTTATTCATATGACTAATTACACAACACTTCACAGAGAAGAGTTACTGGGTTTTTTTTTTACCCATTTATCGTTTATTCATTATTAGAAGAAAATCAAATTGCTTCTCAATTCACAAAATAACAACTTTTCAAACTGACTACTCTCTTATGCTCAATCGAAGCAGAAGAGGAGATGTGAGTAAACTCTTATTTGCTTTTGAGAATTTCCAAAAAGTTTGAATATAAGAAAGTGACTGTTTTTTGTTTTCCTGCCAGACATTTGAGGAAGGCTCTTTGTGAGTGGCAGCTTGATCGAACAACCAGCTTTGTCATGCTGGAATTCTTGCTGAAAAACTTGCATTCTGGTTATCTATCACTGTATCAGTAACCACCCCACACTTAGTGATTTAAAACAGCCATCGATTTTTCTTGACAATTTGTTGTGTCAGAAACTCAGGAAGGATTCAGCTGGGTGGTTCATCTTGACTCCAGGTGGCATCATCTGGGGCAGCTGGTGGAGGATGACCCACTTCCAAGATGACTGCTAAAGTTCAAGATCAGCCTGGACAACATGACGAAACCCCATCCCTACAAACAAACAAACAACAAAAAAAAAATTAGCCATGTATTGTTATATGTACCTGTATTCACAGCTATTCAGGAGGCTGAGGCAGGAGGATCCCTTGATCCCGGGAGTTGGAGGTTGCAGTGAGCCAAGATTGTACTACCACACTCCAGCCTGGATGACAGAGTGAGACCCCAGACAGGGGTCTCATTGCTAAAAGGACTGCTAAAGTCACACATCTGGCACCTTGGTGCTCTTTGGCCTCTCTCTCTTCCACATGGCCTCTCATCCTTCATTACCTGTCCATGTGGCTTGACCTTCTCACAGCTTGGTGGGCTCAGAGCAGTCATGATTACATTCTGAATTAATAGTTGAATGCGTAAAGTAAATGCAGGCACCAAGTAACCTGCAGGCTTCCAAAAATGAATATTTTAAGGAATTAGGCTGAAGCTTCAAGGCTTCTTAGGCTGCAGTCTCAGAAGTCCCAGCATGTCACTCCCATTATACTCTATTCGTCAAGCAGTTTTCTGAGGCCACCCCAAGTTTCAGGGCAGACGCTACGTGTTGCTGGGAGGATGAAAGAGTAGCAGAGAATTTGAAGCCATCTTTAATCTACCATTTGGTGTTTGCTAATCTAGTCTGTAAATGCTTGTTTGTAGAGGCCGCATTTATAGCACACAAAGATGCAAAACTAAGTAAGAAGTTTACAGGAATAGAATTAAATCATGCATTGTTTTGTAGCAAGTAATACACCCCCTCTTAGGCTAAGGGGATTTGTTGAAGCTTTGTAGGAGAAATGAAAGAAGAAATATCTAAGACATTTCTAGGTTACTTTATCTAAGTTATTTGCAACTGTTTATCTAAATTCCTCAAACTACAGTGGTTTTTCTAACCAACCAGGGGTTTACTGGATTACTGATGCTGCTTTCTTTTCCTAGAAAGTTTATTCCCTATTGTCTTCGCATAGTTTTTACTTTCTCCATGAGCAGGTCCCATTTCAAATGTCACCTCCCCAGAAAAGCTTTTTCTGGCTACTCTCTCAAGCACTTGTTACTAGCTGAAATTGCATTATTTATGCATGGTGTTTGATTTCAATGCTCATCTGTCCCAAGCTGCTGGAAGATAAGTTCCACTAGTAGAATTGGTCTGATTTGCTTACTCTGCAACTCAGAACCTAGCCTTGTGCTTAGTGCACAATGGCAATGTCATGATTATGTTCTGAATTAATAGTTGACTGCATGAAGTAAAATGCAGGTACCAGCCTCCTTTTCGGAAACAAATGCAGTTTAGCTAGAAGCTCAGAAAATTAAACATTCTCAGTGACCTGTGTTAAACATCCAGTGTCTAAGTTTAAGGACACACTTTGGTAAGTTTTCTCTCCCTTGGCCACAGCTGCTTTCCTGCAGACCATGGCTATCCATGACTGGTTGCCAAGTGCTTTTCAAATGAGAGAAAGGCAAATGGCCCATTGTGTTTGCCATTAACTTACCCGTACATTTTTATAAACTGCAAGGCATTGTTGCCTTGAAGGGGAGGCTGCCCTCTCAAACGATGACCTTCAGCATTTATTTTAACTACAAAAATGTATTTGACTGACGGTTAAGGGGCTGCTTAGAGACTTTGTTTATTTCCTTCTTGATGGTGGAAATGTGAGATCAGCCCCCTCCTATCCCATTGTTTTCTGACTTAACCAGTTGACGGTGGAAATGTGAGATCAGCCCCATCCTATCCCTTTGTTCCCTGACTTAACCAGTTGACGGTGGAAATGTGAGATCAGCCCCATCCTATCCCATTGTTCCCTGACTTACCAGTGCCAGCTACCTCTGTTCAGCCATGAGCCTCTGGGGCTGTACTTGGGGTGGCACAGACACTGGCACAGTGGAGACATCATTTCCTGTACAGATGTTGCACATGTTACTGGAGGGCTGGTGAACACATGCATCTCAGGAGAATTCTCTTTGTCATGAAAGCTGAACTAGAAGTTACCAACATGTTTATCCTAAAGGACTTTAACTTCCGTGAGTCTAAGCTGGGGATTACAAACTGGCAACATCAAAGAGATACCCTTTTGGACACATATGATATTTCAGTTCATCTGTTTTATATCTTTGAGACAGTAGATATTTACAAATCCACCCTTCAAAAAGAGATAGATTTCTGTCTTCTTGAGAAAATTTCAAAGAAATAGTGTATTGTGGTGGTTAGGAGCACAGGTCTCCATCAGACAGTGAGGGTGTCTGAGTTTGAGTCTGAGCTAGGTAACATCAGATGAGATACTTAACTTGTCTGGACCACATTTTTTTAGTAAAATAATAGTGCCTATCTCTTATAAGTGATTAACTATTAAATGGGTTCATTTGCAAAAGAAAAAAAGTGTTTCAAGCACAGTAAGTGCTCAAAAGTTAATTTTGATAATTATTGTTCAATACCAGGCTTTCATTTCCACATGGCAGTGGTGATCTAGAGCTGAGAAGTAGCCGCCAATTTTAGGTAGGCACATACTCTGCATCCAAATGGTCTTTTCCCCTCTACTGTATTACATCTGGCCAGAGTCATGCTTTACCACACCTAGTATAGGTGTAAAAAACAGACTATGAGGCTAGAGTCCTTGAGTGCAACCAGCGAGCTCTGTGTCCTGAGACAAGGGCTTTAAATGCCTTGACTCCTGTAGATATGGAGCTTTCAAACCCTTGAGTTCAGCTGTTATATAATCAGCTGTTTCTGCCATGAAGATTTTGGTTCTACATTCTGATTCCACAGGGCCAGGGGGACCTCAAGCCCTCCATTCTTTCTCTCTCCCTCCTCTTTTCCCTCCCTCTCTCCTTCCTTCTCTTCCCTTTCATTCTTTCCTTTTCTCCTTCCTTCATTCTTTTCTTCCTTCTCTCCTTTTTCTCCCTTCCTCCCTTCCTATCTTCCTTCTTTTCGTCTTTTATTCTTAGCAACTACACCAGATAAATCTTATCATAGGGCATGTTTGGGAAACGTGAGTTGCTGGATAGTAAATGGAATTTATGGCCTTTCTAAGTGAATAATGGTTGGGGTTGCACTCTAATTATAGAATGGGAAATCTATTGCTTAAGATAAAGTGGGTTTGATGAAGGCTTGGTGAAGCAGCTTCAGCTCTAGTAACGTTGACGCCTGGAAGTAGCCTTGAGAGGAACCGAAAGAGAAGTTTGGTCACTTCAGGTTGTATTTCCATGGCCAGTTTTTTGTCTGTAACCCGAGGGGCTCAGAATGCAGGAAGTCACCAACATGTCCCCTTCCTTCTGTGTGTTTGCATTTCTTTCATAATATAGCATTATCCAAAGAAGACTAAATGCAGCTCTGTGCCAGAAAGGGCTCTTTTAAGATGATGCTATTTTCCGGTTCAACAGATAGCAGCTCATTTGCAGCCCTCCAGCCAATGACAGAATAAATGAGGGACTTTGTTGCAGTGGCTGGGAGGATGAGAACTGCATCTTTGTGGTTTTGTGGAGTCACCTCTCGGTGGCCTTAGGTGAAGTGTGAAATCCCAGAGTCCCCTGCACTCCCCTGCAACGCCCCCACGAAGGGTAAGTAGAAAAGGAATTCAGGGACCAGGCGTGGTGGCTCATGCCTGTAATCCCAGCACTTTGAGAGGCCGAGGCAGGCAGATCACCTCAGGTCAGGAGTTCAAGACCAGCCTGACCAAGGTGGCAAAACCCCATCTCTACTAAAAATACAAAAATTAGCTGGGCATGGTGGTGCATGTCTGTAATCTCAGCTACTTAGGAGGCTGAGGCATGAGAATTGCTTGAACCAGGGAGGCGGAGGTTATGGTGAGCCAAGATTGCATCACTGCACTCCAGCCTGGGTAACAGAGTGAGACTCATTCTCAAAAGAAAAAAAAAAAAAGGCTAGACACAGTGGCTCACGCCTGTACTCCCAGCACTTTGGGAGGCTGAGGCAGATGGATCACGAGGTCAAGAGATCGGGAGCCTCCTGGCCAACATGGTGAAACCCCATCTCTACTAAAAATAGAAAAAAGTAGACAGGCATGGTGGCAGGCGCCTGTAGTCCCATCTACTGTGGAGGCTGAGGCAGGAGAATGACTTGAACCCGGGAGGCAGAGGTTGCAGTGAGCTGAGATCGTGCCACTGCACTCCAGCCTGGGCGACAGAGCAAGACTCCGTCTCAAAAAGGAAAAAAAAAAGAAAAGGAATTCAAGGAAATTAAATGAGAGAACAATGGAAGGACAATGTTTTTGGATGAAAATGTGTTCGTTTGTTTGTGTTTTTAGAAGTTTCTCTCTCTGTTTGAAGGGGCTGCCTTTCCTTTCTGTCAGATATACACAATTTTTCTAGGTGTCAAATGTCCAAAGTCTTTGACTAGCTCTTGAGAGTAAAAAGGAGAAGCCCTAAATAGACCAGAGAACAGCATTTATCCACTGGCCTTGGGAGGTTGTGTACTTTCAGCAAGCCGAGGGTCCAAATGATTGCCACCTCCGGAAACTATACAGTGACCTAGCGTCACAAAGCATGAATTTTGTTGGGGGCTTCTCATTCTGATATCTGTTAAAAAGTGTAAATGTAAACATAGATATTGATTATGCATTTTTCAGTGGGGTTGAAATAGTCACCAAAGGCATAAAATTGGTTATTAGGGGGGAAGAAAATCTTACTCTTTTCATGTACAAAGCATAGATCTATTTATAGTACATAAGAGTTATACGGTACATCTTTAGGCTTAAAATTTTCTCGAGAAGAGTGATTAGGAAAAACACCTGTACCAAAGTTTCTTAGACCAGGAGCATCTTATAGTGGCAAAAAGGAAGTGCTCAGAACACACACACACACACACACACTCACACACACACACACACGAGAGAGTGAGAGAGAGAGAGAGAAAGAGAGAGACTGAGACTGATGGGAACATGTCTGAGAGACACAGGAGCCAAGGGAAAGAGCTCCCAGTGGCCAAAGCTCGGCATGTATCCTTGATAGAATGTGAGGAAAATAACACTTCACATCTATGGTCTTCCTCCCAAAGATGAATAACCTCAGTCTATTCATGAGAAACACAACAGACAAATCCCAGTCAAAGGACATTCTACAAAGTAACTGACCAGTAGTCCTCAAAACTATGTAGATCCTCAAAAACAAGGAAGGTCTAAGAAGCAGTCACAACTAAGAGCCTCCTAAAGAGATAGGAAGACTCAATGTAACCTGGTACCTTGGTTGAGATTCTGGGACAGAAAAAGAATATTAGAGAAAAATGGAAGAAACGTGAATAATGTATGGACTGTAGTTAATAATCACTTCCCACTATTGGGTCGTTGATTGCAGCAAATGTACCGGCTCACGTAAGATCTAAAAGAAGAGGAAGCTGTGTGGCGTGTGTGGGAACATTCTGTGCTATCTTAGCCATTTTTCTATAGATCTAAAATGGTTCCAAAATAAAAAAGGTTTATTTTTAAAAGGAGCTCTGTAGGGAGTGATAATGACAACAATAAGGGTTGGGAAACATGACTATATGTACACAGCCAGTTGCCATTGGTGGCGTCGTGGAGATAGGCTGTTCATATTGCTGGGCAACTCATTCCAATGCTGAAGTCGCTGCTGGTTTCTCTGATACGAATTATCTTATCCAGATTTCCTGCTCTCTATTTTCTCCTCTTATCAGTTAGCCTCAAAGAAAAAGTAACAAGATAGAGTGAATTTAAAGATAATGTGCTGCTTCTTCCATGGAGAAATATCTTTCCTGATATGTCATTGTTCACGGGCCCCATACCATCCATCGGCCATCACCAGGCTTAGCTGTTCCAGCACCTTCACATTGCACTTAGCCGGAAGCCCTGGCTGTGTGATGATGATGTTGACCTGGCATGTGATCTCTGCCTGCCTCTCAGACTTCATTTGAGCCGTTCTCCTCCCTGTATGCCCAAACCATGCAGCCCCTCCTCATCCTGGTTATCAAATCACCCAATGCCTTGAGGCCTTAGGACTCTGCACCTCATGACCTCCAGCGTGGAATTCCAATCTCTTCCCTTCACACGGTTGGGCTAGCTTCAACACCACCCCATCCAACAGAGCTTCCTTGACCATCTGACTTAAAATGCGTCCACTGGTGGATTATTCTTTAACATAACACCAGGTTCTCTTCCTTTCTAGATGTAAGACAATTTTAAATACGTACGATTGTTTTCTCATTCGTCATCTGCCTTCTGAGACAGTGGGTGGGATGTGGTGTGGCAGGCAGAGACCATGTGAACAGACACCTTGGGTCATGACTTTACATCCAGTTCCTGGCACGTGTCTGGCAAAGAGTGATGCTTATGTTAATTTCCTGTGGCTGTTGTAACAAACTACCACAGCTTTGGTGGCTGAAAGCAGCACAAACGTGTTGTCTTACAGTTCTGTGGATCAGAAGTGTGAAGGAGAGCTCACTGGACTAAGTCAAGGTGTTGGCAGAACTGCATTTTTTCTGGAGTCTCTAGGGAAGAGTTTGCATTCTTGCCACTCCAGCAACTAGAGGCTGCAAGCATTCCCTGGCTTGTGGCCCCTTCCTGCATCCTAAAACCCAGCAGGGTGGCATCTTCAAATCTCCCTCTGACTCCAGCTTCCTGCCTTCTTCCACATTTAAAACACCCTTGTCATTAGGCCCGCTCAGAAAATCCAAGATGATCTCTTTATCTTGAGGTCAGCTGATTAGCAACCTCAATTCCTTCTTCAACCTTAATTCTCTTTTGCCAGGTAACATAATACATTCGCAGGTTCCAGGGCTTAGGATGTGAGCATCTTTTGACGGTCATTTTTTCTGCATGCCACCAGTGCTTAAAATAAAATTGCTGAACGAATGAATGAATGAGTGCTCTACATCAACAATTCTTAGTAACCAGCCCCACGGTTGCCAGCTGAACTTTATCAGAAAATATATACCCAAGTTCTATACCGTTCTTCTACGTTGGAAGAACCTTGAAGGGATTCCAAAGTACTGACTTGATTCAAAGCAGATGTGTTGTGCAAGTGATTCATTAACTAGTTTTCAAAGTCCTAAAGTGCTATTGGAGATTATACATGCCTCTTCCTATGCTGGCTGACTGAGAGCTGCAGGTCCTCGCTTTAGTTCTCACAGGTAAATGATTTGGAGTGTCACCAACTTCATTTTTGCCTGGGACTAAAGGTTACCTTCTAGGCGTCTTCTAAGTAGGTTGTCAGAACTGCAGAAATTTGGAATTCAAAGCCTAAAATTGGTATTTTACTGCGATTTACTGAAGTCTTTTGCAATTCTCCTGGGAAGGCTACAGTTTCATGACCCCTGGCAATTTTGCAGAGTTCCTACTGTATACATGTATGCCCAGAACTCCTACTGTATACATGCATGACTCCTCAAAGATGCTCAGGTGAACAGGATAGCAGGGAAAGAATGTCTTGGGTTGCTTGTGCTTTCCAGTTGCTGCTGTCCTTGCTTCTTAATTATGAATAACTCTGCTAATTTTACCATTATCAGCTTAATTTGTTTGGAGTTGTTTAACTTTAAAGTGATTATGGTGCCAGATAAACTATTTCTTTAATAGCCTATAACTTTCCACTAGGTGCTCTTTCAGACACGTTGTGGTTTAAATATCAATGTATTTGTACCATGTTTGCTTGAGGTGTGTATATATTTCCCCCAAGTTTTGCTTATACAAAGGTTATTACTAGTTCAGTGCACTCCATTCCCGCATTGGAGAGTACAAAATGATGAAGAAACAAGCTGAAACATGAGTCATTTGCCTAAATGAACCAAGGTTAAAAATAAATTGAAAAGCACTGGTGCAATGCTTTTCATACAATTCCACTTCCCTGTAGTATCAATGCGACTTGGTCACAAAAGAAAAGAATATGCTCAGTTAAAAAAGGGATATTATGTTTTTGAACCAATAGAATTAAATCTGTGTTTTTTGCATCATGGTTGTGCTTTGCTGGATGGGAGAGAGGATTAAGTATTCAAAATGATCACACACACAAACACACATACACACACAGACATGATAACAAACTTATTGGCAGATCCAGAAAGGAATACAGCAACTAGTCAAAGCTTCATTCATTACCCGGGATTGATAAATAGATAAGGAACACCACAGTCAGATGCTTATAACATATTTTGAAATGATGTGTTGGATTCAATAGCTAGAAGGTAATATGGATTTTGAGAGCCCTGAGGGCTTAGACATGCCTCCTTCTAACTTTTCTATCCACCCAAAAGTCAGTCAGCCATTACCAACTGCAAATAAGGTAGTAGTCTTATATATAAAGTATTAATGGTTCAAAAGTTACCATCACCTGGTCTATGGTGAATAATATTAGAAATAAAATGAGCAAAAACACATGAACAGGCAGTTCACAAAAGAGGAAATCTGCACTGCCAACAGACTTGAGAAGAGATGATCAGTTTAACAAAGAAATTAAATGAAAGCCATGGAAATGGAAAATTAAAGTCACGCCAAAGTACCATTTCACACCCATTAGATTGACAAAAGTTAAAAAGCCTGGAAACACCAGTTGTTGGTGATGAAACGAAGCAGCCAGGACTCTCACCTTCCACCAGAGAAGGGATGACTTGTTACAATCGTTTTGAAAGTGATTTGGCATTGTGTAGTAAATTTGAAGATGCAGCTGCCAAATAACCCAGTGATGTTTCTTCTAGTCATTTATTCTAGAAGAAACTCTTGCTCACAAAAAATATGATAAATACAAGAATGTTCAAAACACCATTGTTTTTAATAGTAAAACATTGGAAGCAACTTACAAGCTCATCAAAAATACAACGTCTGAATCATGCAATATTCATTCCATATGTATTCTATGGTAGCAAAATGAATGAACTGTAACTGTATCAATATCACAAACATAATATCGAGCAAAAAGATGAAATTACAGGTAGATGCGTACAATAGGATAGCCTTTATGTAAATGTTGAAAACTTGCAAAACAATTATATATAAAATCAGATATGGATATATGTGTGCATTGTGCATTGACAATGTATTTGTATCTGTATAAGTGGCAGGTTTAGGATAGAAAATACCTTAGAGCGGGCAGAGAGGTGTGTGAGGGAAGCAAACACCATGCAAGTTATATGGAGGTTTCAGTTCTATTTGCAATATTTTGTATTCTATTTCCTCTGAGTATTAGGTATATGGGTGATTATTCTGTATATACACATACACACACACACACATACATAAACATACACACACACGTACACATAGACACACACACAAACACACATATACACACATGCACACACATACATACACATATACAAACATACAAATACATGCACATACGCACATATACACACATACACACACACATACGCACACACACATACATATACACACATATACACATACATATGTGTATATATCTTTATGTATTATATAGAATAACATGGATTATGCATGTATATATACCTTTTTATTCTATTATATAGAACAGTATATTCTATAGGTTGTTTTTTACATATATATGAATATATTTCTATACCCTATTGTATGTTTAAAATATTTTGCAAATGTAAGAAAAGAATTTAAATAAGTCAGTAACTTATGAGAGTTAAGAATTTACTGGAGATGAGAGAAAAATATTTATAGTTATCATAATTATTTTGCAAAGATGGTAGAGTGGTGGGGAGTATCAGGTTCCCAATCAAATGATTACAAAATTTCTG
The DNA here is from genome assembly GCF_000001405.40 of Homo sapiens. NCBI lineage: Eukaryota > Metazoa > Chordata > Mammalia > Primates > Hominidae > Homo > Homo sapiens. The sequence goes on along the minus strand of NC_000012.12, from coordinate 129,649,444 downwards.
TCTCATTTCATGCCGTATTTTACCCTGTGTGGGGGTGCTTTCTTGAGGTTACATCTGTATTTAACTTTACTTGGTGGCTTGTGGAGGCATTTTATATTAAAGCAATTCCAAGTTTTTCTGTACCATCTTCCAAGCTGGAGATGGGTACCAAGGAGAAAGTGAAGGAATATGGAATTCAATTCCTGATGACACCTTGTTCGTCTCTGTTGTCAGAACCCTGTACCTGACTGGAGTAAACAAACTATTGTTGAATAAGAAATGAGAGATCTGAGTGTGAATCCTGACTTTATCATTTATGGAGTGACTTGAGCGAAGTTTCTTATCCCCTCTAAATATTGGTTTCTTCATTTGAGAACATGGGGTCAAAAACCATCTACTTTGCAGGATTATTGTGAGGGTGAAATGAAAACCCAAACCAAAAGCACCCAGCATCCTGCCATCTGGAGATGTTTTCCTTCCCTCCGGAGTCAGTTGGAACTCTGAAGTGTGCTTAACATGGGGCTTGGGAGACCTCTCCAGTTTGGCCCGCATTCTACAGTTCCTTCATTTTGAGGTTTTAATTTACCAATTATATATATATTTTTTTATAAAGGAAAAACCCTATTTATTATAGATGGTATTTGAGTGAAAATGCATATCATATGAAAATTTTACTGCTGAATTCCCCATTTATTTGATGCATTATTCATTGAAATCAAATGCGTATTCATAAAATACTGTGGTTTAGGCACCACTTTGGTGATTTGTTGCCAATAAAATTGACTTGTATACCAATTGAACATAGATACATTATTAAGAGTGAAACAATTATTCATCAATAAATATTTTTTAATGCACGGGCTATGTGCAATGTATGTGACAAGAGAAGCATAAAACAGGCTTTGCCTTGAACTGTAACTGCCCAATGGGCTCACCTTGCCCATTGCCCTGATAGAGCTGATTTATGAAGACAAGGGAATTGCAATAGGGAGAGTTTAATACACATAGAGCCACGAAACAGGATACCGGAGTTTTATTATTACTTAAATCAGTCTCCTCAACAATTTGGAGGCTAGGGTTTTTTAAAAGAAATTTCTAGGGCAGGGGGCAAGGGAATAGGGAATGCGGATTGGTTACGTCGGGATGAAATCATGGGGAGTCAAAGCTGTCCTCCTGCACTGAATCAGCTCCTGGGTGGAGGTCACAGGACAGGATGAGGCAGTGTACCAATCTGGGTGGTGCCAGCTGATCCAGCAGAATGCAAGGGCTGAAACATACCCCAAACACCAATCTCAGGTTTGTCAATAGTGATGTTATCCATAGGAGCGATTGGGAAGGTTAGGAGCCTTGTGGCCTCTGGCTGCAGGACTCCTGAGCCGTAATTTATAATCTTGTGAAAAATGCATTGGTTTTACAAAGCGGTCTGGTCTCCAAACAGGGAGGGACTTTGTTTTGGGGAGGGGTTATTATCATCTTTGTTTCAAATTTAAACTACGAACTTAATTCCTCCCAAAGTTAGTGCAGCCTATGCCCAGAAATGAACTAGGGCAGCTTGGAGGTTAAAGGCAAATCGGTTAGGGCAGATCTTTTTTCCCATCATAATTTTCTCACTGTTATATTCTTTACAAAGGTGGTTTCAAAACGACAAAAATTATTACCCAGGATGCTTAAAGATCTTCTACAAATCAATGAGAAAAAGCAAAATAACACAGTAGAAAAATTAGCAAAAGATGTGTGGATTAATTTACATAAAAAATACCAGCAGCCAATAAGCATATGAAACAATGCTCAATGTCTCCAGTAATCAGGGAAATACAAAATAAGCAATACCATTCCACAATCATTATATTGGCAAAGGTAATATCGCACAAAAAGAATCCTGGGAACTCTCCTACTCTGCACGTGGCAGTGTAAATTGGTGCAACCACTTTGGAGAGCAATCTGGCAATATCTAGCAAAGCAGAAGGCAGCCTTCCTCCATGATCCAGCAGTTCTGCTAGACACACACCCAGAAGCTCTCCTACATCTGAAGTCAGAAGCAACTACAAAACATTCACTGATTGTCGTGAGGAAGGCTTGGAAACAACCTAAGCATCCCTCGAGGAAAGAATGCATCAAAGTCTCAGGGCATGTGCATACAATACAGCAATATATGTGAGTTAAAATAAATAAACTAGAGCTGCATGTACACAAGTGGACAAATTGCAAAAAAAAAAAAAAAACAGAAAAACAAAGGAACAGCAAATAATGCACATTGCAGAAATATGTTATGACAATATAACAATTTGAAAAACATGCAAAATAATACTGTTTTGTTTGTGAGTATATATATATATATATATATGTATGTATGTATAAAAACATGTGGTTGGGCGCAGTGGCTCACCCCTGTAATCTCAGCACTTTGGGAGGCCGAGGCAGGTGGATCACCTGAGGTCAGTGGTTTGAGACCAGCCTGGCCAACATGGGGAGACCCTGTCTCTACTAAAAATACAAAAAATTAGCCAAGCGTGGTGGCGACACCTGTAATCCCCACTACTCAGGAGGCTGAGGCAAGAGAATTGCTTGAACCTGAGAAGCGGAGGTTGCAGTGAGCCAAGATTGCACCATTGCACTGTAGCCTGGGTGACAAGAGCAAAACTCCATATCAAAAAAAAAAAAAAAATGCATGTTATTTATATGTGTGTTTATATCTTTGTGCGTGAATGCATGTTTATATATATATACATATACACACATTTGCACATATTGTATATATACACGCATACCCACGCATTTGTATAAGAACACAGCTAGGAATGATAAATGCAAGTTGATGATTGTAATTATCTTGGGGGAAATAGAGAGTTCAGTGGAGAGAGAGAGTCCAGAGAGTATTTGGGAGGAGTATTTATCTCTGGGTGGTGGGGACATGAATGTTCATTATACTACTCTCTACTTCTTTTGTATTCCTGAAATATCCCCTAATACAAAAGCCTTTGTCCCTGTCTCAGCTTGACAGCCTATGTGGGAGATACCCTAAGAAGCTCTAGGAGGTGCTGATGCAATGGCTGGGAGAGTCATGGCCGAGTAGCAGAAAGGTTAGGAGTCAGACTGGTGATTCCTACCAGCATTGCCTTAGACAGAGTCCTTATCCTCTTGGACATACTGCATCGCCCTCTGCAAAGTGGGTAAAATAATACCTGCTGAAAGGTGGTTGTGGAGAATAAAAGAGACAGTGCGAAATGTACTTTTGTGAACTCTGGGGCAGAAAAATGTAATGGGAGCTGTTATAAGCCAAAGTTCCCCAAGGCTGGGGCTCAGCCTGGGAAGCCAAGTGGGTTTTTGGCTTCATGCAGGAAATAATTCAAGTACGAGCCAACAGAGTAAAGTGAAAAAAGTTTATTAAGAAAGTAAAGGAGTAAAAGGGTGGCTGCCCCATAGGCAGAGCACCCCGATACGCTGCTGACTGGCCATATATATGGTTGCATCTTGACTGTATGCTCAACAAATGGTGGAATATTCATGAGTTTTCTGGGGGAGGGAGGGGAGTTCCTGGAACTGAGGGTTCTACCCCCTTTTAGAACATATAGGGGAACTTCCAGGAGTTGCCATAGAATTTGTAAACTGTCCTGGCACTAGTGGGAGTTTCTTTTAGCATGCTAATGCATTATAATTAGCATATAATGAGCAGCAAGGGTAACCAGAGGTCACTCCGTCACCATCTTGGTTTTAGTGCATTTGGCCTGGCTTCTCTATTGCATCCTCTTTTATCAATGGGGTCTTCTGACTGGGTCTTGGGAAACTAGTCTTGCTAAACCCCTATCTCAACACTGGTTATAATTATCAATAATTCTAAGGGTGTTAAGCATGAAATGAAGACAAAAGTCAGTGTGAGTTAAAAATACATTGATTGATTCCTTTGTTCCTTCATTCATTTTGTGAGGGCCATAGAAATTGGCCCCCTAAAAGTTCTCTGAAAAATCACCGACATAAGACAGACTGATCAATAAGAGAAAAGGCATACAAAGTTATTCAGCATGTATATGTGGGGGCCTTCCAAATGAAGACTCAAGCGAACAGTAAGTTATAGAAGCTTCTATACCACCCTGAGGCCACAGCAAGGAAGGCAAACTCAGAGCATAGCCAGAATCAGGTTATGTTGGAAAATCAGGTTGAGGGGCAAGACAGATTAAGAGAGAGAGAAAGGAAAAGGCCTGGCTAGCATAGGTGGCCTTGGTATGTAGGTGAAGCCTCCTTCAGAGATAATAGATGGTAAATGTGTCTTTTCAGACTTTCAGAGGTATCGGACTCTCAATCTCTCCTGGATCCAGGAAAGGGATGGAAAGCTGAGGGGGCTTGGCTGCATTAATGGAGATTCTCCAGGGTTGCAAACTTTCCCACAGAAGACAGCCTTGCAAGGCTACTTATCTTTGCTGGCCAAGCAGCAGCCGTTTCAAAATATGTTTGGGTTAATTTTTTTTTTTTTTTTTTTTTTTTTTAGATGGACTATTGCTCTGTCACCCAGGCTGGAGTGCAGTGGCGCGATCTCGGCTCACTGCAAGCTCCGCCTCCTGGGTTCAGACCATTCTCTTGACTCAGCCTCCCGAGTAGCTGGGACTACAGGCACCCGCCACGACGCTGGGCTATTTTTTTTTTTTTTTGTATTTTTAGTAGAGATGGGGTTTCACCATGTTAGCCAGGATGGTCGTGATCTCCTGACCTCGTGATCTGCCCACCTCGGCCTCCCAAAGTGCTGGGATTACAGGTGTGAGCCACTGCTCCTGGCCCAGGGTAAAATATTTTAATTTCCTTCATTTTATTCACTGAATACTCATTGAGGGAGATTATACTGTGTCTGATGGTTACATATAGTACTCTCTTATTGTTGTAACGGCACTGTAAAATGGTAACTGCAGTTCCACTTTTAGGGTTAAGGTGTCTCCTGTGGGTGGGTAGTGTGTCCCCATTCACACTGCCTGGTCTCTCTCACTCCCATGGTAACGGCCTTCCCAGGAGTCCACATTGCCCTCGTGGGGCTGATAGTCTATTACAGCTGCAAGGACAAACAATTATGGCCACAGTGAGGCTGTCATGGAAATATGTACGTGGAGCAAAGGAAGCCTGCTCAGAGAAGGGACTTGAAGAAGCGAAGATTCTCTAAGAATTGTGAACTCTGAAAATCTGAGACATGTCGTAGTTAATTTAGAGTTTCTTTTGCCAAGGTTGAGGGTGCATGCCCGTGACACAGCCTCAGGAATTCCTGATGACATATGCCCAAGGTGGTTGGGGCACAGCTTGGTTTTATATATTTTAAGGAGACATGAGACATTAATCAATATGTGTAAGAAGTACATAGGTTCCCCAGCACTTTGGGAGGCTGAGGCGGGCGAATCATGAGGTCAGGAGATGGAGACCATCCTGGCCAACATGGTGAAACCCTGTCTCTACTAAAAATACAAAAATTAGCTGGGCCTGGTGGCACATGCCTATAATCCCAGCTACTTGGGAGGCTGAGGTAGGAGAATCATTTGAACCCAGGAGGCCGAGGTTGCACGAGGTTGCAGTGAGCAGAGATTGAACCACTGCATTCCAGTCTGGTGACAGAGTGAGACTCTGTCTCAAAAAAAAAAAAAAAATGGTACATTGGTTCTGTTCGGAATTGGTTCAGTCCGGAAAGGTGGGACAACTGGAAGCCTGGAGGGGCCTTCCAGGTCATAGGTAGATAACAGACAGATGGTTGCATTCTTTTGAGTTTCTGATGAGCCTCTCGAAAGGAGGCAATTGAATATGCATTTATCTCAGTGAGCAGAGGGGGGACTTTGAATAGAATGGGGCAGGTTTCCCCTCAGCAGTGCCCAGCTTGACTTTTCCCTTTAGCTTAGTGATTTGGGGGCCCCAAGATTGATTTTCCTTTCACAGAATTGTGTCCATCCACTAGAAAAGGGGGCAGCAAATCTATTCTGTAAAAGCCAGGCAGTAAATAGGTTTGGCTTTGCAGGGTATACAGTTTCTACTGTGGCCAGCAAATCTGCTGTTGTGCAGAGAACGCAGCCAGAGAACATATGTAAGCACATAGGCACGGCTGTGTTCCAATAAAACTTTATTCGTCAAAGCAGGCGGTGGGCTGGGTTTGGTGAGTGGGCTGTAGTTTGCCAAACACTGCGCTAGTGGTGTGTCACATGATTTTAGATGGGGCCACAATATAGCATAGGTGAAGTTGAAGCCTGGAGTAAGAAAGTAGTTCCTCTTAAAATGATCTGTGGCTAGGTGTGGTGGCTCACGCCTGTAATCCCAGCACTTTGGGAGCTTGAGGTGGGTGGATCACGAGGTCAGGAGTTCAAGACCAGCCTGGTCAACATGGTAAAACTCCGTCTCTACTAAAAATACGAAAATTAGTCGGGCGTGGTGGAGTGTGCCTGTAATCCCAACTACTAGGGAGGCTGAGGCGGGAGAATCCCTTGAACCTGGGAGGCAGAGGTTGCAGTGAGCCGAGATTGTGCCATTGCTCTCCAGCCTTGGTGACAAGAGTGAAACTCCGTCTCAAAAAAAAAAAAAAAAAAAAAGATTTGTAAATTCTTTGGTTGTGTCTTGGAGAAATTCTCCATTGTTGTCAGAATGTGTTTAACGTTTCTCTGACTTTGGGTAATTTCTGATTGCAGCAAAGACAGGAGGTAAAGATAGACCATCACCAAGCGAAGAGTTTTCTAACAGTGCTGTCAACTTTTAGTTTACAGAACTAAGGTGAGGTTGCGTTGCAAAGTAAATGGATTCAAAAATCTTGAAGGGTTTATTTGAATAGCTAAGGTTTGGAAAATACCGTTCTTGTCCAATTTGCACATTTTATAGTAAATGAAGAATAAGCTCAGAATTAGGTGGCCTACCCCAAAGGATAGAGCCAAATAGAGAGAAATCAATCTGTAGGAGTGAACTGGGAGCTGAGCTGGGGACTGGAGGCTAGGTCTGAGTGTGGATGGAAGGAAGAGCTGCATCCAGGAGTCAGGAGTGGAAATGAAGTGACAGGGTGGCAGGAGAGAGTTTACTGGTTGATCTGGCCACTGTGAAGCAGCAACTCTGCTGCTCTCGAAGGTGCGCTTCCAAATGCTATGCATGCTGGACCCAGACCAGGCTCTGTGTTGTACCTGGGGCTAACCCTATCATAACATTGCAGCCTGCCAGGGCCCTTGGCCTTGATATCTGATGATACTGTTTTTAGCAACCACAGAAAGTGGAATTTAGGAGTATTTTGTTTGGCTGGGAAGGTAAACGATTGCATTCACCCTTGTGACTGTTCAAAGACTGTCATAAAATCTCTCCTGTCTTCCCTCTCCCTCTGACAGCAGAGGCCCCTTCCGTTAGACTTCCTCAATTAATCCTGGGTCGTGTAGCTGCAGGCCTCCTGGCTAGCGTCCCGTCTCTCTGCTAGGAATACTGTCATCCCCACACTTCTGAACTGCTGCATTTTCTGCTTGGTTTAAGATGGGATGGAGCTGTAAAGTGTTCTATGAGACATGTTCGGTTTGTATTTGGAAAATTTGCATGATATAACACAGCTCAGTAAGTTACAAAATGAGCTGCAATGAGACATTTGCACTGTTAAAATCTGAAAATAGAATAATAGGTCCTTCAGATGCGCTGCTGCAGGACTTGTCATTGTGAAAGGAAAAGCACCTTCCAAGCTGGTCGAACTCATCTGAAAGACAAGTGCGGTGGGATGAATCTCAGCCTGTCTCAGCCCCCTCTGCTCTAGAAGCAGGGACAAGAGCCCATGGAATGGGAGTCTCAGGGCTCCATGTCACTCTGGCCCTGGCAGAGCAGATGCACTGAACAGAGGGATTTGTCTGGATGAAACCACCTTAGGCCAACATGAGATTCGGAACCATTTTCTGTTGGGTCTCTGGAAGGCTTTTTGGAAATGACATGAAATTTGTGAGATGACCTGGACTAGTTTTGGAAGTTGTACGGATGTGCGTTAGTAGCACCTTGTGATCTCTGCTGGATGGCAGCCTTCTGTTGCTTTCAGGATTCAGGATTTGCTCACCAACGGTATTTAGTGAGGGCCTTTCACAGGCATTCTTCTAGGTGTTGGAGATGCTGAGCTGAAATAGACAGGGTGGTTGCTCACATGGAGCTTACCTTCTAGGTGGGTAGAGAATGAATAAATGAATGAATAGAAGTAAAATGAATACACAAGTCGTGAGTGCTAGTTCTTTTTCCAAGAGTAGTGGGATAGAGCAGGGCTTCCTACTGTCTTTTTGTCGTGCCTTACATAGCAACAGACCCCAACATTTTTGGCACCAGGAACCAGTTTTATGGAAGACAATTTTTCCATGGACCGGGGCAGGGTGGGGAGGATGATTTCAGGATTATTTCAGCACTTTACATTTATTGTGCACTTGTTTGTATTATTATTACATTGTAATATATAATGAAATAATTATACAACTCACCATAATGTAGAATCAGTGGGAGCCCTGAGCTTGTTTTCCTGCAACTAAATGGTCCCATCTGAGGGTGATGGGAGACAGTGACAGATCATCAGGCGTTAGATTCTCATAAGGAGCGTGCAACCTAGATCCCTCGCATGCACAGTTCACAGTAGGGTTGGCACTCCTATGAGAATCTAATGCTGCTGCTGAGCTGACAGGAGCTGGAGCTCAGGTGGTAATGTGAGCGTTGGGGAGTGGCTGTAAATACAGATGAAGCTTCACTCACTCACCCATCACTCACCTTCTGCTATGTGTCATGGCTCCTAACAGGCCACAGACTGGTACTGGTCCTGGGGGTTGGGGACCCTTGTTATGTAGGAATTAATGTCTGTGTGTCACAGTGGGGGAAGTGGATATAGCAGGTTATGACCAGAAGTGAGATGGGGCTGTGGCCTCTCCAGGTCCCTCCTAGATTCCCCAGGGGCTGGGAGTGCCCAACACCTTAGCATTTCCATGGTTCTTTCCCCAATAGCTCACTGTGAAGCTCCAAAGTGGCACGGTCAGGAGATTCTTTGGATAATGTGGTCAGGAGAAGGTGAATTTGAGCAGACATCTGGTGATGATAAGGGGTCCCCCATGGGAACATGGAGGGTAGAAGAAGCATCCCATTCTTATGGCAAGCGAGAGCAGCAGGAGAGTGAATATGAAGCATATTTGTTTTTGTCCGATGTGGATTTTATGAAAATCCACGCTTTTATGTTGTGTCTGTGGCTTTTTTTTCCTGCTAAACTCTCAGAGCTGAATAGTTACAAAGACGATTCCTTGGCCTGGAGAACCTAATATATTTACCATCTGGCTCTTTCCAGAAAAAGGGTGCAGGCCCCTGAAGCAAGTGAAGGAGAAATGGTAGGGGAAATATTAATAGGCGAGTGACCTTAAAGGCTGTACCATATAGCCTAGTTGCTTTGGAATTTCTACGTGTGTGTGTGTGTGTGTGTATGTGTGTGTGCACACGTGTGGTTTTTATTTCATGCCAAGAAACATGTGGCAGCATTCTGCATTATGTTAGTATTGGGGGATTTGATACATAGCAGTCTTACATCTGTGGCACATAGCACCTTTTCTTTATTATGGACACTTTATAAATGCAAATTACTATCTTCACTGTCTGTTTCACAATTATCCCAAATCTTGACATGGTCTTCAGCTGTCAGTAAAAAAATGGAGAAAAAAAAATTTACTCTGAAGAAAGGCAGGTTCGAGCCAGACTTTTGGGCCTAGGTTCTCATAGTGCCTGCCATATAGAGCCATGTAAACTACATTCGGGGAGTTTGAATATTCTTCAAAGTGGGCACAGAAGCGACTGGAGGGTCCTGAGCAGGTGGAGATGCACCCTGACTTGTACTTTTATGAATGTGGCTTGTTGTTTGCTGTGTAGACATGGTCTGTAGGGGGCCCAGGTGCAAATGCTGGCCACAGGTGGAAGGTTCTCCCCGTGTTCTGGGCCACTGGGGACACTTAGCTGGACAGAACAGGTATGAAGAAAGAAAATGAGCAGGAACTCCAAGGAAGTAATCATTTAAAGCCCTTGGAGTAAAGAAGGACATTGTGTTCATGCACATACTGAAATTTGATATAAATGTTTCCTGACTTTTTTTTTTTTTTTTTTTTTTTTAAGACAGAGTCTCGCTCTGTCACCCAGGCTGGAGAGCAGTGGCTCAATCTCAGCTCACTGCAACCTCTGCCTCCTAGGTTCCACTGATTCTCCTGCCTCAGCCTCCCGAGTAGCTGGGATTACAGGCACCCACCACCATGCCCAGCTATTTTTTGTATTTTTAGTAGAGACGGGGTTTTGCCATGTTGGCCAGGCTGCTCTCAAACTCCTGACCTCAAGTGATCCGCCCGCCTCAGCCTCCCAATGTGCTGAGATTACAGGTGTGAGCAACCATGCCCGCCCCTGATTTTTAATGTGTCTCAAAGTTAATATTTTTCTCAAAGAATTAGAAACTGCCAGGTCCTGTTGAAGTCCATTTCCAGTTGACCTTTTTCCTTATTATCTTGATGGTTGGAAATGTATCCTCTCGGATACTTCAATCCAGGTTTGTTTTTTTCATTTGAAACTCCCGACTTTGCATATGCTGTGTTAGTCTGTACTTAATCTAATGTGCACTCTCATTTGCCCCTCTAAGTGGGAAAGCAATGTGGCCACCTTTGGTGTTAATTACTTTTTAGATTCATAATTGCGGGGACTGCTTACAGCATTGGACCTGAGTGGGACTCTTGTTCACAAACATCGCACCTGTGTGGTTGATGTACTCCCCTGCCAAAGCTCAGAAGACATTTTAGCAAGAGATACTGATGATACCGGAAACTGCAGAAAGAATTCCATGGGTCCATTTTCTAAACGCCTTCAGAGATTCAGCATATATATATATATATATGCTGAATTTATATATATATAAAAATATATATTTATATATAATTTATATATGTTTATATATTTATATATGTTTATATTTATATATGTTTATATATTTATATATATTTATATATGTTTATATATATAAAAAATCACACTATATATATAGTGTGATTTTTTTTCAATGAAAGTAGGAAATTTAATTTTAAATTGCCATTTGTGGCTTATTACTTTACCTTTATGTGTAGTGTAATCGAGGTAAGTGAGCTGAACCTAGAAGAATGTCTGTCTTACCCTCCGATGTGTCACATAATTTGGGGGTAAAGGTTGGAGGTGATTTTATCAGCCAGTAGGCAGCATATTTGGGCTTCCCATGTGATATGGTGAAACCATGATGATGCTAACAGACCAAACAGACCAAATTAATAAAACGGGTAAGGACACATGGCTCCAGCCATTCTCCACTATTCTTTCTGCTGTACTGTATCACTTTGACATTTCTATGGATGGTGATGGAAGATCTCTTCCAGCCCCTGGCTGGACGGCTGATTTGTGTTTCATTTCACTTACACAGAAATTGTGCAGGGAGTGAGTATTGAGTGACAGCTCAATACCTGCTCTGTCCTCACCCAAATCTCATTTTGAAACGTGATCCCTAGTGTTGGAGGTGGGGCCTAGTAGGAGGTGTTTGGATCATGGGGGTGGATTTTCCATGAATGGTTTAGTACCACCCCTTGGTGCTATTCTTGTGATAGTGAGTGGGTGAGTGAGTTCTAACCAGATCTGGTGGTTTAAAAGTATGTGGCACCTCCGCCCCCTGCCTTCCTTGCTCCTTCTCCTGCCATGTAAGACCCTGCTCCCCTTGCACCTTCAGCCATGATTGTAAGTTTCCTGAGGCTTCCCCAGAAGCCAAGCAGATGCCAGCATCATGCTTCCTGTACTGACTGCAGAACCATGAGGCCATTAAACTTCTTTTTTTATAAATTACCCAGTCTCCGCAGGCTTTACAGGAAGCATGGCTAGGGAGCTTTTACTCATGGTGGAAGGCAAAGCCGGAGCAGGCATCTTTACATGGCCAGACCAGGAGGAAGGGGGTGGGGGTAAGGTACCACACGCTTTTGACCAACCAGTTCTTGTGAGAATTCACTCACTACACAGGACCAAGGGGGATGGTAGTAAACCATTTGTGAGAACTCCAATCCCATGATCCAGTCACCTCCCAACAGGCCCCTCTTCCAACACTGAGATTACAATTCAACATGAGAGCTGATTAGGGACACAGATTCAAACCATGTGAATAATACTCTTCCCAGTGTATTCAAAAACACCATGAAATTCTGAGACAAAGGCAAATTTACAAATTTGTTTTTCAGTGTAAATTTTAGAGAGACAAAGTATAGATTTGAATACAACATACCTGAAACAAATGAACAGAGTAATTTCTATTTCAATAAGGTTGACATTTTCAAAAAGGCTATTATAGTTAAATCTCTTTAAGAAAAAAGCAGTTGTAGGGTGATGTAGGAGATTTTACCTAAAGCAGTTAAAACTGTCGACACGTGAGTCATCTTTGACTGGAAATTTAGCATGCATATTTCCAATTCGTGCTGAAAATTAGGTGTGTATCATTTTGTACTGTGTTTATATTGGGGGAGGTAGAAATGAGAGTTTTGTTTCTTCTATGTACATAACATAATTCTTTATTATGGGTATGCTACAAATTCAGGTTGCCAGTGTAACTGGTCCACATTAGTCCTAAATCTTGACAATTCCAATTGTCAAATATGGAGAAAAATTCACTCTGAATAAAGGGAGATTCATACCAGTCAGGTTCATACCAGTCTTTTGAACCAAATTGATATCTCTTTCTTTCTCTCTCTGTCTCTCTCTCTCTCTCTCTCACACACACACACACACACACACACACACACACACACACATTTCTGTATGAATTTACTTGGTCATTACCTGGGAAAATGTCAGGAAATAACCAAATCACAGGAATTTAGACAAAAGTCTTTGCTTTGACAAATGTAGACCAAACATAAAATTCTAAGCCCCCCAACTGACTGAATGAATCCCTTCTCTTGACTGAGGGGATTTCAAAAGAAACCTACACAAACTAGCTCAGGCTGTGATAGGAAGCAGGTTCTGGACAGGCCTCATTACACCCTCCTTCCTTTTTTCAGGGACAACTGACCAACATTAACACAGAGATATAAACACTGAGAAAACAAACTGTTTGTAGCAATGAAATACCAAATTCTAACCCGACTCTAGTATAGCATTACATGACAGATAGCAGGCCTTGGAAGGAACCAAAGCATTTTACCCAAAATAGATTTTTTTGATGTATTTTGAAATGTCCCTGCAAATCTGTCTCTTGTGGGGAAGGCCTACATTCTGTAGATAATCCCCTTCCCTCTCCAGGGCTTTTTCTGCTCCTGAAGAGTTAGCTGAGAGTCTGGCACCTTTTAAAGATCTAAGCAGGAAATATTTGCCATCTATTGCCTCTAAGGATAGCCACCCAGGAAACTTCATCTACATAATAAGAACCTTGGTCTCCACAAATACTTATTTTAACCCAGACACTACTTTCTATTGATTCCAGCTCTTTAGGTAATAACTCTTTCAACCAAGTGCAAATCAGAAGATATTTGAATCCACTTATGCCCTGTAATTGTCCTCAGCCCCTGCATCAGGACAGTTGTCCTGTCCAGTGTTTCTGCACTGAACCAATGTATACCCTACATGTATCGATTAATGTCTTATATCTCCCTGAAATGTATCAAATCATGCTGCACCTCAACCACCTTAGGCACACATTCTTAGGACCTCCTGAGGCTGCGTCTTGGGCCATGGTCACTCACATTTGGCTCAGGATAAACCTCTATAAATATTTTACAGAGCTTGGCTCTTTTCCTCAATACTATTTCTCCAAGTATTTCATTGTCATCTCTGCGTAACTTAATTAACTAAAACTTGCTTGGACTTTGAGTAATGAGAGCACTCCACCATCAAATGAAGGGAACACAAGTCCCCTGAGCGCTGGTTTCAGTGTTAGCTGTGGTTGGAGTAAAGGCATGCACTGGGGAACAGGTGTCTGCTGGTGCTTAGAGACAGTGCAGCTTCCCTTGACCTGAGGCTTCTTGGAGATGTTAAGGAGGGCGACTGCACAGGGGTGCTTTCCCTCCCTTTCCTTTCAGGCTGCTGCACAACGCTGTGAGCATCCTGCACCTCTCTGTGGATGACTCTCCTTGCCATTTCTTTTGTCTGTTTGTTGTTTGTGTAATCTGAGGACTTACCGTTATAGAGATCCCAACAGAGATCAAGTTATAGACATCAGCTCTCAAAAAAGAGAGAGAAAGAAAGAGGGATGGAAATGAGGAGTTTGCTGTTTCCATGACTACTAAAGACCTCAGGTCAAAAACATTTTCAGAGGCAAATGAGGTAGCAAAACTACATCAAAGTGGTGGATGCTGGGACAGCGAGGGAAGGTGAGGCTGTTACATTTAGACAAAACATTTAGAAGTGTTCTTCTTTATGATCATGTTTATTATGTAGATGTAATTACATATATGCTAATGATGTAGGTACTTTGTGGGGAAGTGTTTCATTATAGTTTTGAGTTTGTTTAAAAATTTAAACACTTCAATAAAGGAATGGTATAAGGAGCCCAGAAAATAAAAATTCTTACACAAAATGGTTCTAGTTCCTCAAAGCAGCATAATGTTTCTAAATAAGTAAATTGTGAAACAGAGAATAGTAGCTTAGAATTATTTATATTTGTAAACTCTTAGGTGCTAATAAAACTATAAGGCAAATTTTAAAAGAGGCAAAATTTTAAAAAAATTAGTGCAGAGAATACTAAGAAGGCAAAAATAATAAAACCTTTTCTATAAAACAAAATAACAACATAATTTTAAAATACAATATTCCAACTCTGACCTGCCAACGTTTCATTTTCCTTGTCTCTGGCATTTTAATTTAGACACAAATGATTGATCACATGAATAATTTAGTATAGTCCAAGAAAGACATATAAAAAGCATCAGGTTTATTTCTAAGATTTAGATACAATTAAGACTCTACAAATAATTCAATGAATTCAGAACTTTTAAACTACAGTGCCATCCTGAAAAATTTCATTTTTTTTTTTTTTTTTGAGACAAGGTTTCACTCTTTCACATAGGCTTGAGTACATTGGCACAATCACAGCTCACTGCAGCCTCGACATCCTGGGTTCAAGCAATCCTCCTGCCTCAGCCTCCCGAGCAGCTGGGACCACAGGTGCAGGCCACCATACCCCGCTAATTTTTTTTTTTTAACGTATAGACAGACACTGGCCATGTTGTCCAGGCTGGTCTCAAACTCCTGACCTCAAGCCATCCTTCTGTCTCGGCCTCCAAAAGTGGTGAGATTACAGATGTGAGCCACCGTGTCCTGCCTGGACAATTTCTTAAGTACCCAGTGTGTGTGCCGGGGACTGAACTGAGTGCAGGGGACACCACTGCTGTGGAGGCCTTCCCACACGTGACAACGCCAGGGAGGATGGGATGCGGGTGTTTGGAGTGGGAAAGAATTAATATGCTGGGTTCTGAGAGCCATAATAGTCTCAGCAAAGCTCCAGGACTTCCTCCGCAACACGGAGATATATGTTGGGGGAGAAGGTGTTGTTCTTTTTTTCTTTTTTTAATATTGTTCTATTAACTTAGGTGGGAAGGCATGTCTCAGAAGTTACTGGCTTAACTGCATTGGAATGAACATTTTTAAGTTTCAGGAGCAAAAGGCTCCAAATCCACTGTGTTTGCCTTCCCATTGTTCCTGGCTCCCTGTGAAGAAAACATTAGTGGTTTTTGGCAATGAGAACATGAACCAATGTGAGAGAAAGCTGTCAGGCCCGGGGACCGTTAAATGGGAGATGGATGGGGAAAGTGATGGGTCCTGACAGCCTGGGAGTCTCCGGCCATCCATCACACTCTCACCATGAAAGAGAGATGCCATTCAGATGTACTTAAATTCCCAAAGAGCTGACAAAATGAATCCAGTGGAGGAAGGCTCCGGGTGTGAATCATGGTCCCCTTGACTTCAAGGGGTATTAAAATGCACATGAGGAAATACAAACCAGCAGACTCAATATTTGCTAAACCCTTAGTAGGCTCAATTTCCTGGGGAATTTGGTTCTACTTATGTGCCTATTCATTCTCAGGTGACATATAAGAAAGCTGTAATGGGTTTTCTACCTACTATGGCCGGGAGTCCCACAAAACTAAGCTCATTGGATTTATATTGTTTCTTGAATTTAAATAGGTAAAAGCTCCTTGTAAGAATTGGAAACAATGTATCTTGAAAACTTTGGATTTGTCTGATTTTCCACATGTCCATAGGTGGTTGATCTATAATTCATAAGTGTTATGAAACATTGGAGAAAAATACAGAGGAAAGCCAACCATATCCAGGGGGAAGATGTTTGTCTCTTTGTACATGAATTTTGCTTTGTCTGTAATGCGACGGTAAAGTGGAGTTTTTTGTTCCTTTTGGAGGACAGATGATGGTTCTGTTAAGATAAAAAAATTAGTTGTATTGAATACAGAAAAAAACATTTAAGCCAAGCATCCTACTTACCCCTATGTGGGATTTAAAGTGAATCAGACATGGTCCTGGCCCTGAATGAACTTGTTGTCTACTTAGGGGGCATAGAGGGGGACAGTCAAAGCAAAGAGAGGACTGCATAGAAGATGCGTGAATGCACCGAAGTGGCTGACAAAGTGTCACAAAGTGGCACCCAAGTGATGACAAAGGTCATCAATAGTTAGTGACTTCAGGTATTAATAAGGCAGCTTGGGGTCCATACTGCAGGAGACAGGTTGGCTGTAGGAAGGGATGATGCGGAGAGGGAGCTCGTGCGTGGATGGTGGAATAAAAGGGAATCCAAAGATTATCTTTGACAGTTGGGTAGGATTTCCACAGCTGAGAATAGAGAAGAAAGCAGATGGAGTGGCCTCGAGGGAGGGACTGGCAAAGTGCTCAGAGCGGACAGCCATGTCTGCAGGCCAGTGGCCCACCCAGGTGGAAGAAAACACAGCCAGGAGGAGACAGGAGGTAAAAATGAATGGGGAGGTCGGATCCATTTTATAATGGGTCTTGAAGACAGAACTCCGAAGACTGGATCTAATTCCACAGGAAGGAAGCAAAAAAGAGGGTCATGAACAGCTTTTGAACTGAGAACTAATCTCATCAGAACTGAGTATAATATGTCTTCCTTGTTTTTACTGCCGAAAAAGGTTTCAGAGAAAAGAAAACAAAACCCCCAATCCTGCCATTCCAACTAAGCAAGCCGTAGGCACTTGTTTTGTGTTCTCCTTCCGTCCTCAGCCACCGAGGGCAGGATTTTTACCGAGGCATGATTATATATACACACGGCTCAGGCTCAGCTTCTCCGCTTACATATAAGCATTTCCTAAGGTGCTAACTTATATTCCTAATTATGATTTCCAAAACCCTTTAATAGTCTTTCATAAGTCAGCACCGAAATACCTGAAGTCATTTTCTAGTCCTAGCGTATTTATGTAAAATGCTCCTGTTGTGTATAATGCTCCTGTTGTAAATAATGCTGCAGTGAACGTCTTCCTGGAGTTCCCTTTTGCCTTTACTTATTCCTTGGAATAGGTCCTGTTTTGTGTGTATGTAACCTGACTCTTAAATTATATGGCTCTTATGTGGTAAGTCTGAGGATCTGTTGAGTTTTTCAAGGTACAGGAGTTACAGTCAAGTTACAACATATTAACCAGGGTGTGGTGGGGGGATCTTTTTCTTTAGGATGCCAATGGCTCACCAATTCTGTATCCCTCTGGTTGTCAATCAAAAAGGTATTAGCAGTCCACACCTATTCCGTGACGATTCCAGCTCCCTGGGAGACAAGACTTTGCAGAATCACTGGCACTCACTTTGTCTCTAGGTGATCCTTTCCCAGCTAAGGGTTTATCAGACGCATCACCGGGGATCATCAGTCATGTGATTCTCTCTCCATCCCATTTCTTCTGCTCCTATGAGACATTCTTTGCTTTTCTAAGTGTATGAGGAAATTAATCACTCAGTTTGGATGCTCAGAATTTTTCCTCAGTAATTCTCATGAATACCTTAATGTGTTAGTGTGCAACTTCTCGAGTCAGGTCTGGATTCGTTTCCTCTGTTGTTTTGGAGGTTTGTGAGATTATGAGTAACCCAGGATCCTTTCTGCCCCTCTCTGTTAACCCAGGCTTTACGACTGCAGGTTGCATTTTGCTGCTTTCTGCTCTTTTTCATAAGATAGGCCGACTGATAATTTGGGGATGGTGCCCATGGTTTTATCCAGAGTTCTTTAATCTTTATCCATTAACACCTGAGCGTTTATGAAAGAGAAAGACGCAGTAGCGCTGAAGGAAGCAGTTCTTGATGTCAGACAGCTCCAGGCTGAATCCTGGCTTTTGTACCTCCTCCTCAGGTGGCCTTGAGCAAGCTAATTAGCATCTCTGCACCCCATTGTTCTCACCTATGTAATGGGAATAATAATGATAATTCTAGCATCCTACCCCATATGGGGTAGGTCACCATCAGGATTAAGAGAATAATTCTTTATCCAGTCTGTCATGGATGGGCATTCCGATTGATTCCATTTCTTAATGCAGAAACAGAAAGCCAAGTACCTTATGTTCTCACTTACAAGTGGGAGCTAAATGATGAGACTCATGGACACAAAGAGGGGGAACGACAGACACTGGGGCCTGCTTGAGGGTGGAGGGTGGGTGGAGGGAGAGGAGCAGAAGAATAATTATTGGGTACTAGGCTTAGTACCTGGATGATGAAATAATCTGAGCAATAAATCCTCATGACACAAGTTTACCCATATAACAAACCTGCATATGTACCCCTGAACCTAAAATGAAAGTTAATAAAAAGCAATAATTTACATAGTGGACTTACTATTTTGCTTAGCATATCATAAGTATTGAATAAATATCAGTTATGACTAATTCCTACCATGATCACTTGAATAACAGATATCATGGCAATTTCTGGGTCAGGCTAACTTTTCCTATCTCTATTTGCTAGCTCTCAGTGTTTTGAATTATTCTCCTTCTTAGAAATACTCCAAGAAACCTTCCAGGAAACCTCCAAGAAATGTTCTAGAAAACCACCAATCCTTTTTGTTTATAGTAAAACAACCCCCATATCAAGAATGTGAAAATGAGCCATTTTCAGCCTTAATACTCCTTGGCTACCCATCTGATGGTGAGATATCTACTCAATCTGTGTCCTGTGGTTTTTCTTTCTTCTTTCTTTCTCTTCATGTCCAGCTGCCTTGAAGTCCAAATTTAAAACATTTAGCCCCACTGTTCACAGCTGCCTGTTTTTCTCAAACACACACGTGACATATAACTTAGGTTCCATACTGGAGCTCTTATAAATGAAAGTGGACAGCTCCTGTTTTTCTGACAAGAGAATAGAGTGAACCAGGGGTTCCAGGCCAGCTGGGATATCTGGAAAATCTACATGTGGAGGTCATGTGCAAGTTCTTTTTGTGTGTCTGTTTTGTATTCACATATGCCATTTAACAACAACAACAATGGAACCAGCCATCCAGCAGATATGAATCAACTTCCTGCTACCTGCAAAGCTCCTTTTCAAGTGCTGGCTCAATTCAAAGATAAAACAGAAGCACATCTTGATCTTGAGTAATAGATTATAATTTTACCAGATCCACATTTGACTACACAAATTCAACTCTGTGTGCTACTTTAAAGATATAAATCAGGTGCCAAACACAAGCCAAGCTAGGTCATGTGGCAGCCACCACAAAACTCCTTCATAATGGCCATATCAAGAAACAGTGTACACAAAGGTTTGTATACAAGGTCATGCATACTGAGCTTATTGGCTGTCCGGGGGATTTTCACGGATGGTGTTTGTTTGTATAGTTTTTTTTTTTTATTATTAGGCATTAACTGTTGGGCCTAAATCCTAAGTAAAATGCAACACCACGAATAAAGTAATAAGAAATGAAACACTTGAAGATCGGTAACTCTATGGAAGAATGTGGAAGACGGACATCATGGGAGAGGCAGAGTTAAACCGAGATGGGATCAAGGAAGATGCCTCCTAGGTGGGGAGGGTGGAGAATATTTTCTGGAGAAAGCATTTCAACTGAGCTTTGAAAGATTCATTTCTGAAATCTCTGTTGAGTATAACTCTGTCAGACACTGGACTAGATGCTGGGGCTGAAATGATGAGCAAAAACAGAGATGGTGAATAAAAATCTTGAAGATAAGATTATAATTCTGGAAAGTGCCACCAGGGAGCATTAGCTGGGGCTCTGATAATGTGGAGTAGGGTCTGCAGATGGGCCGGACAGAGGAGTTTCCCAAGGGCAGGGATGCTGCAAACAGGATCTGGAAGAGAAGTAGAGGCCAGTGAGGGGATAGGAGGGAATATCCCAGATGGAGGGAGTGGCAGGTGCAAAGGCACCATGGTAGAAGGCAGGTGGTGAGAGCCAAGGGTGGCACGAAGGTGGGTAAGTCTTGGGTAGAGGGAGAAAGGGGCATACAGATGGAGGGAGAGAAGGGATAGAGGGAGAGAACCAGGTAAAGATGGAGAGAGAGAGAGACAGAGGGGCAGAGAGAAATGAGAAACAGAGAAAAAGACATGAGAGAGAAAGAGAGGAGAGAGAGAGAAAGAGAGATAGAAATGAAGGAAGGAAGATGGGGAGAGGGAGGGAGACAGAGTAGGAGAAGGACAGGAAACTGATGAGGATAGCAAGGTGGTGGAAGCCAAGCCACATGGTAAGGGATTCTGGCTTTATTCTAAAAGCAGCAGGTATGTAGGAAGATGGTCATGGGAAGATGAGAGAGGGAGACAGACATGGCCATCACACTGAGTATCCCCACACTGTGCTTTTCCTTAGTAACATTTACCATGTTCTACAGTTACCTTATTTGTTCATTTCTCTCCTTGTCCACTGAATGATTCCCCGATGAGGCAATGTGTTCAGCAAAGGTGGGGGCTGTGTCTGTCTGGTTTACTGTGGAATCCCCAAAGTCTAGCAGAGTTCCCAGCACATAGTAGTGTTCTGTGTTTATTTGTGGAATGAAGAAGAAGCAAGAGAATGTCTGGGCAAGCCTTCCTGCCTAATGGTCAGCAGGGTACAGACACGTCCCTGATACAGACACCTCCGCCCCTGCCGAGACATCCCAGGTGTCCTGGCTGAACAGGGTTTCATGCACCCATCCCTCCTGCCTCCTGTGACATTGCCCTGCTCTGCCTTGGATCTGTCACTCAGAAACTCAGCACACAACCTATGGCTGATAGAAGTAGCAACCACCAATTTCTTTTCTTTCTAATCAAGGTTTTCTGAAATTGCTGGAAGTACACATTCTAAAGTCATGATCTTTCCACAGTCCTCTGGGAACACATGTGATATTCTTGTTAAATATTCATTACTTAACACTTGCTTTATTGAAATTTTCTCTCATTTACCAAATGATTTCTAGTGAATTTTATCAACAAAATGAATAATAATCCAAAATTACAATTTAGTCTTAAAACACTTGCAATAATAATGTGTTATTCCTCCTCTTATCGGAAATCTTTTGTGTGATATAAATTACTGTTTTTTGGAGACAAGATCTCACTTTGTCACGCAGGCTGGAGTACAGTGATGCGATCTCAGCTCACTGCAGCCTTGACCCCCTGGGCTCAAGCAATCATTCCACTTCAGCCCTGAAAGTAGCTGGATCTCCAGGCATGCGCCACCACGCCCGGCTAATTTTTTTTATTTTCTGTAGAGACAGGTTTTGCCATGTTGCCCAGGTTGGTCTTGAACTCCTGAGCTCAAGCGATCACCTGGCCTTGGCTTCCCAAAGTGCTAGGATTACAGGCAGGAGCCATCATGCCTGGTCTAAATTATTATTTTTAAATTTTATTTTTCTTATTTTCTTATTTTTGTGGGTAACATAGTAAGTGTATATACTTGTGTATATATTAGTGTGTATATATTGTGTGTATATGTTAGTTTTTATTCTCTAAAAAAAAGGTTTCTGGTTTCTCCCATTGGTGTTCAGCAGCTTTATGGGATACTTTGTATACAGTCAGGGTCACTTAAGGATGGGACATACTCTGAGAAATGTGGTTTCATTGATGTGCAGACATCACGGAGTATACTTACACAAGCCTAGCTGTTCCAGTCTACTACACACCTACTCTATATGGTATAGCCTATTGCTCCTAGGCTACAAACCTGTGCATCGTGTTACTGTACTGAATATGGCAGGAAATTGTAACACAGTGGTAAATATTTCCATGTGTAAGCATAGAAAATGTACAGTCAAAATATGGTATTATATTCTTACATGATTCGTATGTGAGCACCATCATATAGGCGGTCTGTGGTTAGCTGAAATGTCCTTGTGCAGTGCATGACTGTTTGGGGAGGTCAGGTGAACTGCTCTCTTGCCTAGTTCTCGTCATGTGTAAAGATGGTGTAAGATCTCGTATTTTGGGTGTAGTGATGCCATCGTCTCAATTCACCTGTGCTGGCTTGATCCTGTCACACTAGTCACAATCACTAACGTAATATGCTTCCTTTTCCAATTCTTCATTGCATATCGTCCTCCTTTTTTGAAACAGGTGGTTCTGAGTGCCAAGAAGTAGAGTATCCACATTAAAAATCAGTCTTAGCCAACGCTGACTTG
Source organism: Homo sapiens (assembly GCF_000001405.40). Taxonomy (NCBI): domain Eukaryota; kingdom Metazoa; phylum Chordata; class Mammalia; order Primates; family Hominidae; genus Homo; species Homo sapiens. The sequence continues at coordinate 129,626,912 of NC_000012.12, read as the reverse complement.
GCTGACCTTACAAGTCGATGGACTTTGGGGCCATGGATACTGCTCTTTTAGTTCCAGAAACCTTAGTGATGAGGATAGCTCCCTAATAAAAGCCATGAGAAAATTAAAAATAAAAAACATTAGCCAATTTAACAATTGCCATAATAAATGTTGCACTAGGCCGGCCTGGTGGCTCACGCATGTAATTCCAGCACTTATGGGGGCTGAGGAGGGCGGATCACTTGAGGGCAGGAGTTGAGACCAGACTAGCCAACATGGTGAAACCCCGTCTCTACTAAAAATACAAAATTAGTGGGGCATGGTGGCAGGTGCCTGTAATCGCAGCTACTCGGGAGTCTGAGGTAGGAGAATCGCTTGAACCTGGAAAGCAGAGGTTGCAGTGAGCTGAGATTGTGCCACTGCACTCCAGCCTGGGCAACAGAGCGAGACTCCATCTCAGAAAAAAAAAATTGGCACATAAAAGTAGAAAAAAAGTACAATTGAGTAGTATGCAAATACTGTACACACAAGCCTGTTGAATGTTGATGTTTTCTTCCAAAATAGTCTAAAACTTGGTTTAAGTATTTATATTCCTAAATCCTGGGAAAATTGCACATCCTGTCTTCGATTATGTTCTTTGGGATATTAAGGGTTTCACGAACAAAAACAAACAAGTTAGCATTAAATAAGTTTGGAGAATAGTGCATTCCTTATCTTCCTCCTGGAGATTCCCAAAGCCTGGGACCAGTAAAGGCTCTGAGAAGTTGAGCAGAGAAGAACCTGCTGAGCTTTATTGATCCAGTGTTTTTCAAAATTAATAGACCGTGGAGCTTTTTTTTTTTTCCCAGCTCAACACCAATTAAAATTCTATTAGGAACAAGATTTCCAGAAGACACAATTGGAAAACAACTGTCAGTTACTATGCTTCTAATAGCCGTATGCCACCTGCTGCTACTGTGAATTCTATGCTTTTAAACCTTAAATTGAAGAAGAGTCATACACGTGACGTTGTTTAAAGTTGGACTGAATTGTGTATCTAATTTTTGACAGCAGCCATCAACAGTAAACATCCTAAATTGAGACTTTACACATACCCCCTCTGAGTGGGCATTATTTAAATGCAACCACACAGATTAGGGAGTTTAAAAAAATCCTACAAGTATAAAGTGACAAATTGTGTTGAAGGTAATAAATCCTGCCTTTAAATAATGCAAGTGCTGTGCAGGGCTTCCTTTGAAATGCCTCATGTTTGACTAGTATTCCTAAAGCGTTACAGATCTCATCCACACTCTGTCAGAGACACAGTAGTTGTTTTGCTGGTCTGTGCACTGAAACAGCCTGTAAAAACTGTGAGCATATCGTCAGCCTAGAGCAATGAAAGTGTCTCGTATTGGGGAGACCAGAGCTAGTGAACATGTCAGTCCAGGAGAAAAATTCTGGGCTTCAGGAGGTTTTATTTTACACTTTCCCAGCTCCCCTGGGTATGGAAATGATGAAAACAAACCTTTTGGTGTGCAGGTGCCAAAGGTGGAAGAAAGAACAATACTTTGTAAAGAGGGAAAACAGATTAAAAGAATAATGTCACTTTATTTGAGAAAATTAGGTTTTGTGTCTTTTTCTTGAAACTTACAAAAATGTTGGGTACCTGTGCCGTAACTTGATGATATTGAAAAGAATGGCTAAGTAGTATCGAGAAAATGTAGAGACCTCTTAAAAATGAATGAAAAAGTATCAATACCAAAAGGAAAATGGGTAAAAGGTATGAATAGGCAAGCTCAGAGAGGGCCCTGGGAGAGCCAATGAGACTGAACGGATGAGGAATTTTAGGAATGATCAGGGACACATGGAAAATTACCTGCACAGTGAGGCAGTAGCCATGCCAATCAGGTTGAAAAATGTGAAGGCATCTGTCAAGCCAGCAATAATGTTGAGTGTTGTGAGGTGTGGAGCAATGGAAACGCTCACACGTCGCCAGAGGGAATCACTGCAGCTTCCCAGAGGCATCTGGAGGGGACTCCCCATTTGTGCCTCCAGATGCCTTCTCCACTCTGCCCTGTGCCTGAGAGGCTGACCTGCATGGAGCACAGCATGGACTGCCTTGCTGTCTGGTTCACTCTGCCCTGTGCCTGAGAGGCTGGCCTGCATGGAGCACAGCATGGACTGCCTTGCTGTCTGGTTCACTCTGCCCTGTGCCTGACAGGCTGACCTGCATGGAGCACAGCATGGACTCTTTTGCTGTCTGGTTTCTGGGGCTTTCAGCCCATGGGAGGCACTGGCAGGAGATCAGAAGGCAGAGGAAGGTGAGCACTGGGTGTCTGCCCATCTCCTTCCTCATTGGCGTGGGCTGACAGTGGCTGCAGTCTTCACTGGATGCCACTGTGCTGTCTGCAGTGGTCTTGTCCTGCTGGTCCAGCTGAGCTCTGATGACCATTATCTCCCCAAGCTCCTCTGGGTCCCACACAGCTCCTAACCTGGGGATGACTCATTGGCCCTCACTGGTTCTTCTTTGTTCCACTCACATGTCTTTGAATTGGCTCTTCATAAAAGTCTTCACAATTGTCCCATTTGGGGGTCCCAGTTTTGTTCTGCCGGGTCTCTGAAGAAAGTTGAAGGCACGCAGCCCCTCTGACCCTTTTATTATTCATTCTTAAAGAGAAGCTTTTGCATTGGACTCCTAAAAGACATGGAGATGGATATCCACAACAGTATTGAAATAGTGAAAAAGTGTAAACAGCTTATGTATTCGTCAAGTGATAATTAGCTAAGGTAGATTATAATACATGCAGATCAGAGAGACTTATGTAGTCTCTGCTCTATAGTTTTCCCAGCAACACAAGATAAACAAAGGCAGGGGATATGACTAAGTCACTCATGTATTATTCAACCAAATATTTGATTTAGGAATGGCCTATAGGCATGACATTGTGCTGTGCGCTAGGGTTAAGATGGAGAGTTATACAAAAGTGTATTGTGAGTTTCTCGACTGTCCAGCAATCCCACTACTGGGTATCTATCCAAAGGAAAATAAATCATTATATAATAAAGACACTGGCATGTGTATGTTTATTGCAGCACAATTCACAATTGCCAAGATATGGAATCAACTTAAGTGTCCATCAACTGATAAGTAGGTAAAGAAAATGTGGAATATATATATATGTGTATATATATGTGTGTATATATATGTGTATATATATGTATATATGTATGTATATATATGCATATGTATGTATATATATGTATATATGTATATATATGTGTATATATATGTATATATATATACACACATACACACACACACCATGGAATACTACTCAGCCATAAAAAAGTAATGAAATAATGTCTTTTGCAGCAACTTAGATGGAACTGGAGACCATTATCCTGAGTGAAGAATGGAAAACCAAGTACCACATGTTCTCACTTACAAGTGGGAGCTAAGTTATGGGTATGCAAAGTCATAGAGAGTGGTATAATGGACATTAGAGACTCAGAAGAGGGGAGGGTGGATGAAGGATACAAAAATCACCTACTGGGTACACTGCACACTCTTTGGGTGACAGGTCCAGTGAAAGCCCAGCCTTCACCACTATATAATTCATCTATGTCACCAAAAAACCACTGTACCCCTAAAGCTATTGAAATAAAATACAAAATAAAAAGCAAAGAATTCACCCAGAGGAACAACACAGTAACAAAAAGTGCTAAATAAAATGTGTAGTTAAGGTAGTTGGTTGTTGTTACATATTATCTGTGAGAGAAAACTCAAATCCGACTGGTTTAAGCAAAAAGCATGCTCCTTGCTTCAGGGACAAGTAAATCCCATGAATCCAATGCTATCCTTAGAAATCTCAGTCTCTTTCTCTCCATCTCTCTCTCCCCTTCCCCCTCCCTCTCAGCTCTGATTTCCTCTATGTGTTATTCCCATTTTCTTCTATTGCGGATGAACTTACATTACCTCGTATCTGGAGAGATGCCACCTCCAGCCCCAATTTGTATTCCCCCATTAGCCAAAACCAGGTTTACCACACTAGCTTTAACTGAGAGTTTAAAGGAGGGATCTTAGCATCCTTGATTGGCTCATTTGCCCATGTATGAACCAATCACCATGGCAATGACAATGGGTCACTCTAATTGGCCACCCAAAGTCACATGATCACTCCTGTGGCTGGTGGGAAGGGCACTATGATTGACAGCCCCTTTGGGACCACATGGAAAAGAAGTGGATGGTCCCCGCCAGGTTCTACGTAGATGAAACCAAGCATGTCTGCACTGCAGAAACAGAAAAGAGCTCCGGCTTGTATAACACCATATAGTAGAGTTCAGAGCAGAGGGAAAGCCCTGTTTGCTGATATAGTTACGGACATATTCCTGGGGGAGGTGAGTGGTGACCTGGACTTTTCTATATGTAGAGAAGTTAGATCTGGCTAGGATGTAGGATATAGTCGGTCAGCTGGACTTTTCCTTGAACCTCTACCTAGGTATACGTTCCCCAAAATTTATCCACATTTCAATTTCTTGCATTATATATTAGATATCCAAGGATTCCCTAGTGACCCTTGCCAAGGCGTAAGAGCCCCTCCTGCGTGCTGACTGCCCCATACGCGCCCACTGTCGGTGCCGATTACAGCAACGTCATCTTCTCGTCATCGCCCACACCGAAGCTCCCTGGTCTCTCCAGATTATGCCTGTGGGGCTAGTGGACGAGTGGGGCTTGTGGACTCTTGCTGGCTTCTGCTTTTTCATCCGTTTCGAAATGCAGACTTTGTGTGGCCTAACGATTCACTTATTGTTTCAACCATTTCCACTTTCCCTGGATTTTATGTGTGTCTCTGAGAAGAGAGAGTTCCCCCACGTACCTACTGAGGCTCTTTTTGCGAAAGGAAGTTGCCTCACTGAGACTGGGTAACACTTGAGGGTTTCCCTCCAGAGAGGAGCACAACCTTCTCTCCTTTTCCAAAATCAAATGGGCGCTAGGGAGAGAACAGACCATAGCATAGACGTAACAGGAAGGAAGGAAGGAGAAAAGAAGGAAGAAAAACTTGAAGGAAGAGCATCCATAAAGGGAGGTGGTTTCACCCGCACTGGGGCTCTAGTCCCAGACCACCTGGGTTCGAAACCTGCCTCAGGTAAACAGCTGTGTGTCTCTGAGCAAGTCATTTAGCCTCTCTGTGCCTCAGACTCTTTGTTGGAGATAGTGATAGTACCTACCTCCACTGGAAGATGTAGTGTGTTAATTGACCAGGCTGGCATAATGGTTGGAATAGTTAACATGTCGCTCTTTTAAAGCTCTGGGACACCACCTGCCTCACTCTCTAGCACTTCCTAAGCATTCACTCACTTTATTTGGACACCAAGGCAGAGGAGTGGGGAGAGAATGTTAATATCAAACATTCACTGGGTGCATCGGTGGTGCAAGCACAGCATTTTGGCCAGTGGGGATATGGCAGTGAGTAAAGAGACAAAGTCTTGGCCTCAAGTGTACGTTCTAGTGGAGAGAGAGGAGAAATGTGCATGAATAGACAACATGTGGCAGTGGGGGCAGGGGGAGGGTGGCGGTGCTGAGCTCCCCAGAGAGCATCGTGGCAGCATGAGAGGGCCAGGGTGATGGCAGGTGGGGACAGTCGGGTGCTGTTTGGGCAGGAAGGCCCCCTGGAACAGAGAGCTGGAAGGGAGAGAGGGACAATCAGGAAGGGCACACTATGCAGAGCGCACAGCCATGGCAAAGATGGAGCCTGAGTGTGCTTGGTGCCTTCTAGAAAGTACAGTGTTTGTTCTGAGATGAGGAAGGATATGGGGGATGGTGGTCAGAGGAGTGGGAGTGCCAGAAACACTGAAGGTCACCAAAGCCATGGAGGGGTGTCAACCTCCACTTGGAACCACGTGGGAAGACACTGCGGGCTTGGATCTGGGCATGATGTGACCTGACTTCTTTATTTTTTATTTTTATTTTTGTTTTAAGTTCTGGAATACATGTGCAGGATGTGCAGATTTGTTACATAGGTAAACGTGTGCCACGGTGGTTTGCTGTGCCTATGAACCCATCGCCTAGGTATTAACCCCAGTGTGCATCAGCTAGTTTTTCTAATGCTTTCCCTTCCTCTTCCTCATCCCCCAAGAGGGCCCCAGTGTGTGTTTTTCTCCCCCATGTGTCCATCTGTTCTCATCGTTCAGCTCCCACTTTTAAGTGAGAACATGTGGTGTTTGGTTTTCTCTTCCTGCATTAGTTTGCTGAGGACGGTGGCTTCCAGCTCCATCCATGTCCCTGCAAAGGACATGATCTTGTTCCTTTTAATGGCTGCATAGTATTCCATGGTGTATATGTACCACATTTTCTTTAGACAGGGTCTCACTCTGTCACCCAGGCTGGAGTGCAGTGGCCCAATCTTAGCTGACTGCAACCTCCGCCTCCCGGGTTCAAGTGATTCTCAAGTTTCAGCCTCCCGAGCAGCTAGGATTACAGGCATGTGCCACCATACCCAGCTAGGTTTTGTACTTTTATCAGAGATGGGCTTTTGCCATGTTGTCCAGGCTGGCCTCGAACTCCTGGGATCAAGGGATCCTCCCACCTCAGCATCCCAAAGTGCTGGGATTGCAGGCCTGAGCCACTGCTTCTGCAGGCCTGACATATTTTTGAAGGAGGTCTTTGGCTTCTGTGTGGAGAATACACTAGCAAGGGCAAAAGCAAAAGCCCAAGAGCAGGGAAGTGGCTGCCACGGTAATTCCAGCCTCCAGGAGACAGAGCTTGGGCAGAGCAGTGGCTGTGGTGACCTTCCAAGTTGAGTTGCCAGCTTCAGCCTGCTTTTGGACTTGAAAGGATGTGCAGAATCGAAGATGGCCCTGGCGATGTGGTGACAGCAACCCGTGGATCACTTGGAGGATGAGCAGGTTTAGGGACAGAAGCAGAAATTGATGTGTATGGTTTAGACACACTGCTGACCTGGGCTGCGTGGCTTTGGGCCGTGGTTAGGGTATTGTAACCTAATAGGACTCATTCTGGATGACTTTCTAGAGACAAGCTCTGGTTTTCATATCCTGAATGCTCCTGTTCTGTTAGGATAATACACTCAATTGCAAAATGAAATGTCCTTTTAAACTATTTCTGATGATATTTAAGAAGAAAATGATTACTGAAATTCGGTGTGAGTCAAAGAAGTGTTGTTTAACGAGTTTCATTAACACTCCTGATTGAGACCTTTAAACCAAATGTCAGATGATCCTCATGTTTGAAACACTGGAAACAGGAATTTATAATGGGGACATTAAAAGAATTTAGTTCTGCAAATGGGATTACAGTGATACCTTTTCTGTTAAAAGTTAATTGAGTTTAAATGAAGGCAATTTGGCGGAAGTTAAAAAATCAAATGGGTGGTGGGGCTGGGGGAGCCAGTGGATAACCCGAGACAAATGAATCCCTTAGGAATAGGGACAGCTTGGAAAATTATGTAGACATAGGGAAATTGGCTAAGTGTTCCCATATTTAATTAGGTCATAAGTCGTTCATTGGCAGGGACATTTCTGCACATGCATTTAAAGCACTGTGGGGATCTCTGCTATCACAGTGTGATAAAACCTGTCCCTTTTAGAGCACCATTTTTATCAGAGAATTTCAACAGGGATGCAGATCGATTCTCTTCCTGAGCGTATGTATGCATTGTACACCAAAAATAAAATTCGAAGGCCCCTCGACCATCTGAATGGACCTCTCCTCTTGGCCAAGGGCATTTCAGAGTTAACCTGAAAATCGATTTTAGGCTATGATGGAAGAAGGGGTGGGACATGCCTCATTATCCCCTCCAGCATTAACCTCAACTCTGACCTTAAGTCTGATAAGAAACATTTACAATCGATTCTCTCTAAAGCCTGCTATTTGGAGGCTTCACCTGCATGATAAAAAACCTTGGTCTTCACAACCCCTTATCTCAACCCAGTTATTCCTTTCTGCTGATAACAACTCTTTCAACCCATTGCCAATCAGAAAGTTTTTAATCCACCTATGACCAGGCAGCCCCCGCTTCGAGTTGTCCTGCCCTTCCAGATCGAACCAATGTAAATCTTACATGTAGAGATTGATGTCTTCTGTCTTCCTAAAGTATATAAAAGCAAGCTGTACCCAACCGCCTTGGGCACATGTCAGGACCTCCTGAGGCTATGTCACAGACACATCCTTTATCTTGGCAAAATAAATGTCCTAATTTGATCCTGACCTGTCTCAAATACTTTTGGGTTCACAGTATGTATTTGTATGTATGTACATAGATGTGCATTTTAAATAATTTAAATACACAGTGACTTTATCAGAAGGCTGTACAATTTTTAAGGAATTTGATTCTCACTATTTGATTCCTCTTCTCTTCTGGTTTTTGAAGGTTATCTGTAGTAGAAATGAGTAGTTTTAAGAGAACATATAGTCTACAAAGCCAAATATAGTAACTCAACTTTTACAGAAAAGGTTTGCCAAACCATGGGATGGAACATTGACTAGTACAAAACCATAGTGCAAAAGCAATGTCTGTTAAGCGAACAAACACATCAGGTAAATTTTGTCAGAGAATAGGGTTCCAATTGCTTTCTGATGTTGGTATGATGGCTGAAGCATTACTACTCTGACCTCATTATTATTTTGCTTTAATAATTTAAGAATGATTTTAGATATTATGATTTTCTAAAACATAGCAAAAACAAAACCCTCACAATTTTGGGTCCAGAGATTAGCAAGTGAGCACACAATCTTTTTAAAAACTTACTGGAATAGGACCCTCGCATCTGTAACATTTATATTCATGGCATTTCACGTTGGCTTATGTAATTAAATTTTACGCCTCCAGGCTCTGTGTTTAGCAGGCTCCCTAGGTTGTCTCTGGTCCTCATAACACTGCCCACTAGCTGTGGCTTTCTTCATTTCACGGATTGGGAAGTGAAAGCACAGGCAAGTGAAGTGCCGATGTCGAGGCCACAGAGCTACGAGGTACCAGAAAGCATCAGACTTGAGATCTGAAATGAGGCCAGTCTGCTTCCAAAGCCACATTCCCATCTGCTGTGTCTTGAATATATGCATCCCCCTAGTATTCATATTAACCCCCATGTATTAGGTGGCGGGGCCCCTGGGAGGTGATTAGATTATGAGGGTGGAACCTCATGAATGGGATTAGTGCCCTTATGAAAAGAGGCATCAGAGAGATGCTGCCCCCTTCCACCAGGAGAGGATGCAGTGAGAAGATGACATTGATGAACCAGGAAGCAGGTCCTCTGGTGTGAGGCACCGTTGACAGCACCTTGACTTTATCTCCTGGTTCATCGATGGCACCTGTGACTCCATCTCTCGCATCAACAAATAGAACCGCACTGCTGCTCCTTTCAATGAAAAAGAAGCCTCAAGACCCCTCAGGAATGGTATATACAAGATCTGCCACATCTGAAACTTCCAGCCCCCGGAACAGTAAGACATTTCTGTTGTTTATGAGCTACCAAGTCTGTGGCATTCTGTTAAAGTGGGCAGAATGGACTAAGACACCATCTCATGGATGAACAGCTGGGGTACAGGGAGGTGAAGTGAGAAGCTGAGGCCTGAGACAACAACTGGGTTGAGTAGGTGGGAGAAGACCTTCCTGGGAATGTCTGTCACTCAACCAAGTCAGGTGGCTAGGGTTTCTGTTTTTAGGATCCTTTAATTATTTTCCATTCTTCATTTTCCATTAACCTTTGTAAGCAAAGCCAGTGGTTCTGAATCGTTGGTACCATGGCCTTGTTTTCTCCATCAGTTCTCACCTGCAGGCTTCACTCACACCCATGGGATTCAGAAAATTCTTTGTGAGTGCATCTCAAGGACAAAATAAAAATTGCTTTCAGAACTCTGGCAGTACAGGAGTCTGAGAAATGCACTGCCTGGCCTTCAGCCCTGCTGATTTGGGGAAGACAAAAGTAGGGAACATGAATGATGCATGCAAAAAACAAAAAACAAAATGAAACAAAAACCCACAAACAAATATACAACAGCGACAAAATCCAGTGTTCTTCATCTCCTTGTCTACTCAGCCTCCTTACATCAGCTTTTGCTCATACAGAACAAACTTCAACAATAACAAAAAACACAATGCACATAATTGTGTTAGTCCATTCTCACGCTGCTAATGAAGACGTACCCGAGACTGGGTACTTTATGAAGGAAAGAGGTTTAATTGACTCACAGTTCAGCAGGGCTGGGGAGGCCTCAGGAAACTTACAATCATAATGGAAGGGGAAGCAGACACGTCCTTCTTCACATGGCGGCAGCAAGGAGAAGTGCCGAACAAAAGAGGGAAAAGTCCCTTATGAAACCATCAGATCTTGTGAGAATTCACTCACTATCACAAGAATAGCAGCATGGGGGTAACCACCCTCATGATTCAATTTCCTCCCACTGGGTCCCTCCCACGATACATGGGGATTATGAGAACTGTAATTCAAGATGAGATTTGGGTGGGAACACAGCCAAACCATATCAATAATTAAGTCTATAATGTCATCTCTCATATCAGCAAATACAACCACACCACTGTGCCCCTCAATGAAAAAGAAGGCCAAAGACCCCTCAGTCATGGTGTCCCTCTCCCGATAATATCTATTCCTCCTCTGGTTCCATGCCAGTCTGCCTTGGGTTTCATGTAAGCAAATACTGAATGATGAGATTGGGGCGCTGATGCATCAGAAATGGCTGAAGGCTACCGCAACTTCTTCAACTTTCACTTAATTCATTGTGAGTCTCAGCATGCAGGTTTTCTGGCATTATGGCATCTATCCCATTTATAGTGAAACTATAATTTTGGCTCTCTTCTGTATTTACCCACCAAACAAGGAAGTAGAATAAAAGTGTCCCAGCCTCAGCCTCTTGTTTTCTAATGTGTTGTTTTGTTTCTCCTGTTTTGTAATGGTTGACTTTGCTTAGTGGTCTGTTTCTTCAAACCAGCCATTGCACATCTGAATGCCTCCCTGGGCCAGGCAGGTGACAGGAATGTAGGAGGGGCCAGTAGAGAAGAGAGGAGCTGCCACTCAACTCAAGCCAGTTCTGGCTCTGGGACGGGGGTAGCAAGTCTGTGTTCTCACAGCTATCTTATTTTATTTTATTTTATTTTATTTTATTTTATTTTATTTTATTTTATTTTGTTTTGTTTTGTTTTGTTTTAATTATTTTATTGAGACAGAGTCTTGCTCTGTCATCCAGGCTGTGGCATGATCACAACCCACGGCAGCCTCGACCTCCTGGACTCAAGTGATCCTCCCACCCTGGCCTCCCAAGTAGCTGGGACAACAGGCATACACCACCACACCCAGCTAATTTTTCTTTAGTTTTTTTGTTCTTTTTTTTTTTTTTTTGAGATGGGGTCTCACTATATTGCCCATGCTGATCCCAAACTCCTGGGCTCGAACAATCCTCTCACACTGGCCTCCCAAAGTGCTGGGATTACAGGTGTGAGCCACCATGCCTGGTCTCACGGCCGTACTTTTTTTTTTATATAATTTAAATGTAATTATAAATTAAGCTATTTCTGAGCCAAAGTCACCATATCTGTGACGATGAACTGAAAACCCTCCTTTTGTAACCTTTCACCTAAACAAACGGCCAGATATTGGGAGAAGTGAGCTTGACGGAAGATTCATCCCTGATGATGAGGTTGCTGTGGACTCCAGAGTCTGCCTAGAGGTGAAATAATTCAGTGATTCATCCCCAGACAAAATCCACATTTCCCTGTTCTAGAGCCTGCCTAGGAGTGAAATAATTCAGTGTATCATTTCCAGACAGAATCCAAATTTCCCTGTTCTGTGTTTGTGCCCTGTGACAGTAGATAGCAGTGTCCAATCTCACGATGGCTATTGTGTTGCCATATAATACGCTGTTAGGTAACATTGTATGTCAGGGGAGCTTATTGTCATTGAATCCATGAGACATTTATTCAAGTGTGCTTCTGATTACAAGAGATATAAATACCGGAATGCAGGGGCCAGGGTAGATGTATTGATTCAGTTAGAGGTTAGAAATGGAAGATTCTCAGGGCAAAGAGAGGTATTTAGTTTGCCCTGCACATTAAAATTAACTAGACATGGCTAGCTTTTAAGAATCAAGATGTATCACATGAAATCCACATTTCTCATATCATTTGGATTCCGGGGAGAGCTGGAATTCCCCGGTGTGCATGGCTGTGACTTACAGCTGCTGCTGTGGTTAGGCGGGGCGTGTGTGTGTGGGTCTTCGTTTTCCACAGTCCCCGCCCAGCCTGGTTTCACTCATTTCTTCTGTTTATCTGGACTCTGTAGACATCTGAGTTTGTAACTAGTGGATCAGATTTTGCTTCTTCCTTGAAGAATTTTGGACTGCCGTTCGCTATGGCAAAGATACTTCAGAGATATTAGTGATTGGGATTTAAACTCCAGACAGAACTGTTTGAACTAAGAGGGATTATAGCAGAGTGATTGCATCTGACCCTCTTGGTTATTAAGCATTCCATTATCTTTCTCCTTTGCAAATGAACTCAGGGTGACCCAGGCCATTCATGACTAAGAGTTCACCCACCTTCCCGTCCTCTTTGCAGCAGGGCATCAGTCCCTCTGGCCTTGAGCTCACTGAGCTATGGGAACTATCTCAGAAACAGCTTACTTCTGGACATCCAATGATGTGAGAAAAATCAGTCCCTCTTTGGTTAAGCCACTTTACTTAGGTTTCTGCTGTTTGCAACAAGTGCAGTCCTCACTGATAGAGGGTTCAAGAGCATGGGTTCTGGAGCCAGTCCCCTGGGTTCTGGAGATAGTCACCTGGGTTCTCCAGACAGTACCCTGGGTTCTGGAGACAGTCGCCTAGGTTATGGAGACAGTCACCTGGGTCCTGGAGACAGTCCCTTGGGTTCTGGAGATAGTTGCCTAGGTGATGGAGACAGTCACCTGGGTTCTGGAGTCAGTCGCCTGGGTTCTACAGCCAGTCCCCCGGGTTCTGGAGTCAGTCCCCTGCGTTCTGGAGACAGTTGCCTGGATTCTGCAGACAGTACTCTGGGTTCTGGAGCCAGTCTCCTGGGTTCTGCAGACAGTCCCCTGGGTTCTGGAGCTGGTTGGGTTCTGGAGCCGATCCCCTGGGTTCTGCAGACAGTCCCCTGGGTTCTGCAGACAGTCCTCTGGGTTCTGGAGACAGTCACCTTGGTTCTGGAGACAGTCACCTTGGTTCTGGAGACAGTCCCCTGGGTTCTGGAGACAGTTGCCTGGGTTCTCGAGCCAGTCTTCTGGGTGCTGGAGACAGTCCTCTCGGTTCTGATGCTGACTTTTCAATTCCCTAGAAGTTGCTGCGATGGCACACCCACTAGCCACATCCGTATGCTTCCTGACATTTGCAGCCTCCTGCATAGTTTAAACTGGGGTCATGTGACTGAGTTCTGTCAAGCAGCGATGTGAACAAAAATGACATATTGCTGCTGGGCCTGGGCACGACAGAATGGGTGTGCCTTCTCCAGTCTTATCTTCCCCAATCACAGCAAATGGGGAAGACGCCCTGTTGAGACGAGAGTGTCTGTCATTCTCTGTTTGCATGAGGATGGAGCAGATCCAGGAGACAGTGGATAGAGGAGCGGCTCCATCAACTTACATGAGACCTTTGTTACAATGCAGGAATTCGGGGTTTATCTCTTATAATATTTAGGTTAAATTACCAGACAAATTAAGAAATTGATAATAGAAGTCAGGTGCTTTCTAAAAAAAAACCTAAACCAAGGCAGTGACTTGGCAGTTACGTGCCAAAGTGACGGGGTGAGCTGTTTCCTGAAATGTGTCTAACCAACTGGGACCCTGTGCCTAACCAACTCGTAGTTCTAGGAAAAAAGGTTTAATATCAGAATGTTAGTATTTTATGTTTGGCAAGTTATTAAATAGAACAGATGGGCTCAGGACGGAATTGTGTTTGCAAGAGGAAATGAGGGATAGAGGGATTTCTGAAATTCAGGGCCTTACAAAGTTGAAAAACAGACTTTGTCTAGACATGAAATGTTAAAATATTAGATTGACAAAACCTTTGGGCAACAAAAGTCCAGGTCTTTTTTTGTTTGTCCGTTTGTTGGAGACGGAGTCTCGCTCTGTCGCCAGGCTGGAGTACAGTGGCGTGATCTCGGCTCACTGCAACCTCTGCCTTCCAAAAAGCCCAGGTCTTTGATTCAGGGGCAAAAGGTCAGACTAAGCGTACATCAGATGAGTTGCCTGGGGCCAAATTAACAACATGTCTTCCCACATTTTGGGGAGCAGTATGGGACTGATAAACAAAGAAATAAGATGAGTCTCAGAAATATATATATATATATTTTAAAAAGAACTCTGGGTATAATTAATAGATTATGGAACAGACCAGAAGCAAATACGTTTTTAAGGTTACTAAGCTTTAAGCCTGTAAGAGTAAGTCTACTACGTTACTACACTTTTAAGGAAATTGCCCTGTCGAAGAAATCATTAGCCCAGTTTTAACAGGATTTTTTATTTTTATTTTTTTACTGCTTAAGATGTGAAACAATTCTTGGTCCCCCAAGCGTCCAGGAGCAAGAAGCAGGCTGCAGAATTTATGCAACTTGGCCAGGAGGCGTTCCTTCTTCCTCTACACCCACTGTGGATGTTGACAAGGGGGAGGATGGAAAGGGCAGAGCTGCAGGAGAGCAGAGAAAAGAGCCGCAGGCAGTGATGGACAGGGAATTCCTCCCCTTAGTAAGATCAGCCAGTGAACAAGGACACCCCCATGCTCAGTGTAGGGAGAACTTACAGGGCCCGTCATTGAAATGTGATGGATGTTACAGCCCATGGTCTGCTGTGTGCTCCCCAGCTCTCCTTTCGCAAATGAGTGCATCTTCCTTCTTCTGTCCTTGGTCCACCATTGCATGTTGGGTCTAGGGTGGAGATCAGTTGTCTCCTTTCTATGAAGAGCCACACCTCCATAGGGTACTGCGACCGGCCACGGCCCAGTGTCTGCGTTGTGAGCTGGATGGAGTGAGAGCATGAGACTTGGGGATGTTTCTCTTAGTGGGAACAGAATGGGAGCTGTTAAGTGTATTCCTCAATGTGTGGGAAGGGGCTGGAAGACAGTCTTTGCTGAGGGTTTATGCTCATCCAATAGCCCTGTGCTCCCCTACATCTCCAGACTTTCCCTACAATTGGGCTGAGGCCACAAGATGACATTGTAGCGGATGGAAATGTGAGCATCAATGATGAATTATCTCTAGTTCAAGGCACTTCAGTATCAGGGTGCCTCCTCCATTCCTGTCCTCCCATGATGGAGTGAACCTGGAAGCCCTGTGTTGAGATGGTGGCATTACAAGGTAGAGGGAGCCTGGATCCTTAAGTCACTGGATGGAGGAGAGCCCCAGTCAACGTCCATTGGACTTCTAAGTGAAAAAGTTTGTTGTGCTAAGCTACTTACACTTAAAATATGCCTTGGGCCCCCAAGCTTCCATGAGTAAGGAAGTAACTGGGAAAAATATCCACAACCCCCATTTCAGTTGTAGACAAGGAGGATCACAGCAAAAGGAAGAACCTTTCAAAATGCCAAGAGCTGTGGACATTTACAGATAAGGGAATTCTTCCCAAATGACAGAATCCGCATGCAAACTGAGGGTAGCTAGTGTTAATTACCATGAAAAATACACTAGTTAGCTGATCTCGCTAAAGAAAGTTAGGTCCCCTTTCCATGTCTTCGTTTTCTTAAAAGTAAAATCTAGACACTACAGTACCTACCTCATAGGATGTTCTAAGTATTAAACTATGTGGAGAGAGCTTCGGATAGGGTCTGACACATGGTAAATGCAAAAATAAAAATAAAGAAGGGAAGAAAAAGAAAGGAAGGCAGTGAGGCAAGCAGGCGTCTAATGTTTCTCAAGCAATCCTGGTTTGAATTCTGCCATAGATTTTTTTGGATTCCTGGGGTGCAGCTGAGATCATGAGTTTGGGGATTGATGAATATTATGGTTCTGCCTGATCTAGGTGAATGCACGCTTCCCTCTGGGGAGCAATTTGGACCAGTGCCTTGATCTGTCTGTTATCAGAATGTTTGTGCAGTGTCAGACTAATGCACTTTTGCAGTGCTTAACCTAATTGCCCTGTAAATCCCTGCGATTATATGCTGTTTACTTCCTAATATGTCCTAGGAACAAGTTCGTAATTCACTTAAGGAAGAAGAGAGCAGCCTTCTAAAGTTTTTTTTTTTTATGTTAACATCATCAATTACTTACTTGCTTGTAATTCAAGGAATAGAGCCCACATATTCATAAATCTGACGATTTAAGTGATGCTGGACATGGCTCTATGCAAGCAATCTGGGCTACTTCCTCCCAGCCAGTTGGCTGGACGGTGGTTTCTCAGAGTACCTTCAACAGAAACCCAACCCCACGAGAATGAGCCAGACTTCTAGAAAAAGAAACTCCAGTATTTTGAGTTGTTTTAATGCTTTATGGAAGTAGGTGATCAAGATGAAAGTAGAAGTGAAGCTCCTATGTTAGAACAGGAAATTGACTCTTTAATATATTAGGGAATATAGTTGTTGAAGCTATTTAGGGAGATTGGGGTACAGGGTTTAAGATAGAAGAATGTATAATGCACGTGTCAATTCAATCAATTCAATAATGTACTGCTTTTCCCTCTCTCTCTGTCTCTCTTTTTTTTTTTTTTTTTGAGACAGAGCCTTGCTCTTGTCGCCCAGGCTGGAGTGCAATGGTGCAATCTCAGCTCACTGCAGCCTCTGCCTCCCAGGTTCAAGCAATTCTATTCTCCTGCCTCAGCCTCCTGAAGTAGCTGGGATTACAGGCACCCACCACCACACCCAGCTAAGTTTTGTATTTTTTAGTAGAGACGTGGTTTCACTGTGTTGGCCAGGCTGGTCTTGAGCACCTGACCTCAGATGATTCTCCTGCCTCGGTCTCCCAAAGCGTTGGGATTACAAGTGTGAGCCACTGTGCCCAGCCTTCCCCTCTCTTTTCACTT
This sequence comes from Homo sapiens, assembly GCF_000001405.40. Taxonomy (NCBI): domain Eukaryota; kingdom Metazoa; phylum Chordata; class Mammalia; order Primates; family Hominidae; genus Homo; species Homo sapiens. The sequence goes on along the minus strand of NC_000012.12, from coordinate 129,609,968 downwards.
TATTTAGTCCTAAAGGAGAGAGGATGTCACTGTTGTCATGAGCTGTATGTAGACCACGCCCCTTTCTAGGACAAGGCTTGAGGGATAAACCCCCAGTGGGGAGTGTGTTCCCTGAGGCCCTGGTCTGTGTCTTTAATCATATTGGGTTTTTACTGGAAGATCCACGTGGTAACAGGGGTGTGGTTTCCGTTCCACGTTGCTGTCCAGGGCAGCATACAGAGCTCAGAAAGGCGGGCATCTGACTGGGGAAGAGGGGCCCGACCTCTTCGTGGGATGAGGAGACACTGGCCCTTGTCCAGTGTCTGGACCAGAGCATGAACAACGTAGTGCTGAACCTTGGCTTAAACACTCACCTGCCAGCCCAGCATTTGCAGTTGGGAGAGCACCAGCCCTTTCCCTGGTTTGATCAAGATTTGATCAAGGCTGAGTCCAAGCCTTGCTAATGACCAGGATTGACTTCCCAGGCATTGCGTCATTGTCAGTTTTCCTGTCGCTTTTTAAGAGGCCTTTGTCTCTTTTGGGATGCCAACCATGCCACGGGGGTTTTTAAAGGATGGGATGAGTCCTTGGCAAGACTCTATGTAGCACTATGTCCTACTCTAAGAAGGGTAGAATTTTCTTTCTCGTGATATGTTGATGACTCTTTCAGATAGTGGTTCACAGAAGGTGGTTCCCAACCATCAATATTAGCATCACCTTGGAACCTATGAAAAGTGAACAACTTGGCCAGGCATGGTGGCTCACTCCTGTAATCCCAGCACTTTGGGAGGCCAAGGTTGGCAGATCGCCTGAGGTCAGGAGTTCGAGACCAGCCTGACCAAGATGGTGAAATCCCGTCCCTACTAAAAATACAAAAAAAAATTATCTGGGCGTGTTGGTGGGCACCTGCAATTGCAGCTACTCAGGAGGCTGAGGCAGGAGAATCGCTGGAACCCAGGAGGTAGAGGTTGCAGTGGGCCAAGATCACGCCACTACACTCCAGCCTGGGTGACAGAGCGAGACTCCATCTCAAAAAAAAAAAAAAGAACAATTTGAGGGCCCAACTCAGAGCCCAGACCTACTAAGCTGGAAAATTTGGGGTGGGGCCTAGGAATCTGTATTTGAACAAGGCCACCAGGCAATTTGAGTGCGAGTGAACTTTGAGAACCGCTCTGTTCTTATAGGTTCCTTGGCAGCCAAATCAGGAGGAGGTTTGTTTGGTAATTGTAGAATAGGAAGAAATGAGGATGCTAAGCATGACAGACGGAGAAAGGCCGGAGCTGATGGCTTCATCAACTTTGATATTTTGGGCTTACCCATTAAAAGAGGCTACCTGCTTTTCTACGGAATATGTAGGTTCTTTCTTAGCTGTAAACGCGACATGATTTTTTCAGAAACAGTGGATATCAAGGAGAATGCTTAGAGGTTTCAGAAGAAAATTGACTGCATTTCCATCCAGCGAGCAAGCCAGTCTCTCATCAACAGTGTCAGATATTTGCCAAATAGGAGCTTTGGTTGTCTAAGCTCTGACCTGTCTCAGAGCCTTGGTACCCTTTTTAGTGACAACCGAACCTTCATTCATCATCTACATAGTTAGGCCTCATTTTTGCAGACTGAAAACAGCAACAAGTCCTAGTCCAGACTGAAATTAGGTTGGGCTTCTAAAGGGAGAGTGTCTGTCTCCTAGTCTGGGCATCACAGCTCACTCCCTGCAGAAAAGTTGGTATTTTGATAGTCTTTGCAAACTCTTCTGGTCCGTTAATTGAAAAGCCAGTGCACTTCAAGTGAGTAAACATCAGAGTTCTTATTTCTGCTGCTTCAGGATGAAGAGGGGTAGATAAAACTCCTTAAAACACACTTCGCTGTTCCTTCACAGTGATTTTAGTTTAAAAGCCAGGGGTTTGTGGGTGATTATTCTATTCTTCTTGCAATGTGTTATCTGTTTTTCCCCCACAGCAATCAATATTTCACAGACTCCACAGAAACAACGCTGATCTGTCGGCTCCTCCCCCGCCGCAGTCAGCACATTCACTGGGGGCTGAGTGTGATTATCTGGTACAATACACTTGAGCAATAGTGATTCTGGGCTTGAAAAGTATGCTATAAGTTGATGGGTGGAATTAAAAGCTGGATTTATGCCATGAGAAACTCAGCAAGCAGCCTCTATATCTTAGAGGGTAGTGGGGGAAAGCTGGTATGAAATCTACAGGTACTCCAAAACACAGAAAAAGGCATTTAAAAATACGTCTTCATTTTGGAATTGGTCTCTGTTCATCTATTCATCCTGTAGTCGGTCATTCTATTTATTGAATGAACACTCAGTGTGTGCAGTCAAGGGTTAACTGCACCAGAAAAAGGCTTGGCCCTTTGTCTGGCCTCCTGGGTGGTAGCCTCTAAGCCCTTGGAATTTCCTGCCTGTAAGAGTGTCTTTGTTTATCTGGAGACCTTGGGCCAAGACAGATAGTCTATGCTAAAAATGAATTTATAGTGGAGGCTTGATCCACCCAACATTGACTCATCTCTGGAGGAGCTAGAGGTTGAGGTCAGCCTTGCAGGTGGTCAGCCCTGACCGTGGGAGCAACCCTTCGTAGGAATTCTGCATGCCAAGCTCCAGAGGGGTTTCCCCAGTTAGCAGTACTCTGTGCATGCGATCGCAGGTTTTTGCTGCGAGGAATGAGCCCACTCTGCGTGACCCACTGGGAGAGAACTGGAAGTTCTACACCCAGGCTCCCAGAGATCCTACCCTAAGCACCTTTTCTTTCTTGTTGCTGATTTTAATCGGTATCATTTCGCTATAATAAACTGTGATGGTGAGGATACCAGCTTTGCCACATTCTGTGAGTTCTTCTAACAAATTGTTGAACAAGGTAATCTTGCGACCCTCCCCAATTGCAGAGTGACTATTCAAAAAAAAAAAAGAAAGAAAGAAAGAAAGAAAAAGAAACTAAGCAGTGGAGACACAGAGATGAGAACACAGTTTCTTCATTTCCAAGATAGACAAGGAAAGTAACAATTGCAGAAAAGCATAATAAATGTTCGTTGGAAATCCAAGAGAATGAACAATGCACCTGCCACCTCTCACTGTTCTATGAGCAAATGCATTCTTTAGAATCAGGTAGCATTTTGAGAGTTACATCATATAACAAGCATTTTGGTAGAGAGTTCTTGAATCAGATAATATACTCAGATGTTTAAGATATGTAGTTTTTATTCCCTCCAATTTAATGTAACTTTTTTTCTTGCCGCCCACTTTCTACCCAAGTGGGCAGAAAATTATCTCAGTTACAAGTAACTTAGTGTCTTTTTGTTAGTTCTGAGTTCTCCCTATCCTTCCCAAAAGTTGCTTCTAAGTTTCAGGTGTTTTCTGTAGTGCCTGTATTGGGGTTGGAGTGATGGAGGATGACCTTGGTGTGGTCACTGGTTCATCTTGTCCAGCCTGGTCCTCAGCTGTCTGCCTGCTCACATCAGAGCCTTATCGTTGCTACGTTACTTGCCAGGTCTCTCTCTCACTGAGCTCGCCCACACCATCTCAGGGATGCAAGAGATCTTAGCTGCTTCTCTGTGTGGCTCCGGGGCTGCGGCAGACTCTGAGCTAACTTAGGGACTCTCTACCTACATACATATGACAGACCTAGATACCCCTCATGTATCTTTTGTCAATTTCCCCAAGCCCTACTCAAGGAAGACTGTGGAGTCTGTGGACCGGCTCGATCAACAATTGCCCCAAGCCCCTTTGAAGCTTTCTGAACTAGAGTGGATGGAAACTAAAATGACATTTCCCGAAGACTATCACAGCTAGGGTTCCATCTAGAATCGAGGTACTGTTCTACCCTGAAGGCACCCCTGTGAAGACCCAGGGAGAGATGTGAGCACCATCCCAGTGAAGGATACACTGTGCAGAGAAAGTGTCTTTTTTGTTTTATTTTTGTTTTTTGATTTTAGTAAGCACAGTAGCTGAGGGTTCAAGTTCTTGTTCCACCTCAATGGTATGTTGATTGTTAATTCTCTAGCATACACAGCCACCCTGGAGGCCACAGTACAGCAGGGGAGTTGCAGCTGGAGCAGCTCTATGGGGCGGCTGAGCCAGGTTCCTGGCTGTTTTCTTGGCTGCATTGTTTCTGGCTTTGTGGAATCTAAGCTTGTTTACTTGTCCCTTGCAATATAGCTGCTGTTAACTGCAAACCACAACTCTGACCCATGAAAAAAATGATGTATGAGAAACGCCATTGCCAGTTTATTAATTTACAATGGAAAAAATGACTGTCAAGGTTTCCACATGAATATTTGCTCATCAGCACACTTTCTATCTACAAATATATATATATATATGTATATGTATATTTGTGTGTGTGTGTGTGTGTGTGTGTATATATATATGTGTGTGTATATATATATATATATAATGCCTAATTTCCCATAATAATTTAAAGGCTGCTTGTGGGGCATAAGATCATTCCAAGGGGAACTGATGTATGATTTTCTAGTGCTGGATGCAAGTGTCATTCAAGTACTATTCAGGAGAATATAAGATCAGACGAGACCATTTTTTCCTGGATGTGAGAGAGATGATAGAACTTCCATATAACGTGAGAGATTTAAAGTAGGGTGCATGGGTGTTCTCCAGAGAATAAGTTGCCTCTTCCTTTGTGTTTTGTATATATATCTTTTAGACATGAGTCAGTAATGAGCCAATCTACAATACCGTGGTAAAACTAATGTCCCCACAAGTGCACATCAGTTTGATAACCATGCCCGTCATGTCCCAAGCATTTGGTGGCACACTGATGGGTTTTTGGGTGTCACACAGGAGAACACAAACTACAAAATACATGACAAAAAAATCTGAAACCGGAACAATGATGAGAACATTTAAAAATGAGCCAAATCGAAGGTGTCTCAGATTTATATCACTAGTATATTTTTAAGGGTAAGTGACTTACTTTTATGCATATCTATACAATGAACAGGAAAATACTAAAATTAGCATACTGAGAGATTACTAAAGTGGGAAAGAGGTTCTAAATAAGTATCTTGCATCTCCTCTTGTTCACTGCCCCTTCTCTCAAGGCCAAGGCTATTTTAATTAAACTATTTTCTTAGTAAGGTATGCATTTGTATTGTTGAATATTAAGTCTGCTAATAGCGTCTTAATTTTGTGTCTTAGCTGGGTCTCTGGAACTGGAACTTGGAATTCATTTGAAGCTAGTCAAGCTTAGATAACGATAATGATAATTAAATCTCATGCTTCAGTATCTAAGTATGATAATGCTTCAGGCATGAGGGGAAGGAGTTTCTTCCATGATGCCATTTTCCAATTGGTTAGGTGCATTACAGTGATTTGAAAGCATCTTTTCTTCTCTAATTCAACTGAAAACAATTACCAGAGGCTGGAAAGTTGGGTCAGGTCTGGAAATGATGACATCTGTAGTGTTCTGAATTAAAAATGACCTAAGCTGCTGTAGGATCCAACGCTCGTGCTCCTTGGCATTTAGCCAAAGGAGTTGAAAACTTATGTCCACAAATAACCTGCACCGGGATGTTTATAGCACCTTTATTCATAAATGCCCAAACTTGGAAGCAACCAAGATATCCTTCAGTAGGTAAATAAATAAATAAACTGTGGTGCATCCAGACAATGGAATATATATATTTTTAATTTTACTTTAAGTTCTGGGATACATGTGCTGAACGTGCAGGTTTGTAACACAGGTATACGTCTGCCATGGTGGGTTGCTGCACCTATCAACCCATCATCTGGGTTTTAAGCCTCACGTGCAGTAGGTTTTTTTCCTAGTGCTCTCCTTCCCCCTTACCCCCAACCCCTCGACGGGCCCTGGTGTGTGATGTTCCCCTCCTTGTGTCCATGTGTTCTCATTGTTCAACTCCCACTTATGAGTGAGAACATGCAGTGTTTGGTTTTCTGTTCCTGTGTTAGTTTGCTGAGAATAATGATTTCCAGCTTCATCCATGTCCCTGCAAAGGACATGAACTCATTTTTTATGGCTGCATAGTATTCCTTGGTGTATATGTGCCACATTTTCTTTATCCAGTGTATCAGTGATGGGCATTTGGGTTGGTTCCAAGTCTTTGCTATTGTAAATAGTGCTGCAGTAAATATATGTGTGCATGTGTCTTTATAGTAGAATGATTTATAGTCCTTTGGGTATATACGCAGTAATGGGATTGCTGGGTCAAATGGTATTTCTGGTTCTAGATCCTTGAGGAATTGCCACACTGGCTTCCACAATGGTTGAACTAATTTACACTCCCACCAACAGTGTAAAAGTGTTCCTTTTTCTCCATATCCTCTCCAGCACCTGTTGTTTCCAGACTTTTTAATGATTGCCATTCTAACTGGTGTGAGATAGTATCTCATTGTGGTTTTGATTTGCATTTCTCTAATGACCAGTGATGATGAACTTTTTTTCATATGTTTCTTGGCCACATAAATGTCTTCTGTTGAGAAGTCAGGCAATGGAATATTATTCAGTGCAAAAAATAAGGGAGCTATCAGGCCCTGAAAAGACATGGAGGAAAACTTACAAAAGAAAAAATGTACCAAGGGAAAGAAGGCCATTAGAAAAGACTACATGCTGTAAGATTTCAACTGTAGAACATTTTGCAAAAGACAAAACCTCGGAGACAGTAGAAATGTCAGTGGTTTCCAGGAATTGGGTTGGGGAGAGATGGGCAGAGCACAGAGGCTTTTTAGGGCAGGGAATCTACTCTGTATGATATGGTAACAGTGGGTACATTGTCATTGTACATTTGTTCAAACCCATAAAATGTGTAACACCAAGTGTGAACCCTAATGCCAACTTTGGACTTTGGGTGATAATGATATGTAGAGATAGGTTCCTCAGTTGTAACAAATGGATATAGTTTGGCTCTGTGTCCCCACCCAAATCTCTTCTTGAATTGTAGTTCCCATAATCCCCATGTGTTGTGCGAGGGAGGGACCTGGTGGAAGGTAATTGAATCATGGGGGCGGTTACTCTCATGCTGTTCTCGTGATGGTAAGTGAGTTATCACAAGATCTAATGGTTTTATTAGGGGCTTTTCCAACCCTTTTGCTCAGCACCTCTCCATCGTGTTTGCTTCCCCTTCTGCTATGGTTGTAAGTTTCCTGAGGCCTACCCAACCCTGCATAACTGTGAATCAATTGAACCTCTGTACTTTATAAATTACCCAGTTTGGGTGTGTCTTTATTTGCAGGCGAGAATGGACTAATACACACATTAACCCTCTGGTGGGGGATGGTGATAAGGAGGAGGGCTGTGTATGTGTGGGGAAGGGGATGTATGAGAAATCTCTGTACCTGCCTCTCAATTTTGCTGTGAACTTATAACTGCTCTGAAAAACAAGGTCTGTTGAAAACAAAAGTCATATGCCCCTGTGACTAGTATCAGTAGCAGAGGCCAACACATTTCTGCCACCGGAGTTGGATGGGATAGGTATAAATCTACTATCTTCAGTTCATCTTCTCCTCCCTATGTCTTTTTATCTACTTTTCAGTTTTTTTTTTCTCTTTTCTCTTACTTTGCATATTACCATTGCCTTTTCTCCACAATTTAAATAAACCAGTGAAATTCCAGGCAACATTTCTATCTGCTTTAGGAAGTAAAATTCAGTGAGCTCACGGATAGCTATATTGACATTTTTATTTCCTAGTATCCATCATAGTTTTTGGTACTCTGTTTTTGGAAAGGTGGAATACTGAGATATGGGTAGGTGTCTGCACATTCTTAGCCTATAGTGTGGATATAATACTTGCATACAGGCGGTCTAGTTTTCAGTTTTTACTTTTCTACCTGATGGTCTTTGATGATAGAGTTGGCCCTTGTAGCTGTTCTGCCAATGAAGAACCATATCTTTGCTAAACCCTGTCCTATGTACTGAAGGTAGAAGTGAATGGACTCCAATGAGAAAGACAAATAAATCATTATTATACCACTCAAAACAAGTGATAATGAAAGTATCAGCATAATTTATTTTGTCATGTTTTGCTTTATTATGATTTGCAGATTTTTTTTTTGATAAATTGAAGGTTTATGGCAACCCTGCATTGAACAAGTCTACTGGCACCATTTTTCCAACAGCATGAGCTCATGTCATCTCTGTGTCACATTGTGACAATTCTAGCAATATTTCAACTTTTCATTGTTATTATATTTGTTATGGTGATCTGTGATCCGTGATATTTCATGTTACTATTGTTTGTGGCTCCATGAACCATGCCCATGTAAGATTTTCACCCTAATTTATAAATGTGTGTGTTCTGACTGCCCCACAGACAGCTATTCTTCTATCTCTCTCCCTCTCTTCTCGCCTCCTATTCTCTGAGACACAAAAATATTGAAATGAAGCCAGTTAATTACCCTACAATGGTCTCTAAGTGCTCAAGTGAAAGGAAGAGTTGCACATCTCACATTTTAAATCAGAAGCTAGAAATGATTAAGCTTAGTGAGGAAGGCATGTTGAAAGTGGAGACAGGCTGAAAGCTAGGTCTTTTGTATCATATGGTTATGTTTCGAACGTGGAGAAAAAGTTCTTGGAGGAAGTTAAAACTGCTACTCCAGTGAACACACAGATGATAAGAAAGTGAAACAACCTTCTTGCTGATATGGAGAAAGTTTGAATGACCTGGATAGAAGATCAAGCTAGTCACAGCATTCTCTTAAGCTAAAGCCTTATCCTGAGCAAGAGCCTAACTTTTCAGTTCTATGAAGGCTGGGGGCAATGAGGAAGCTGAAGAAGAAAAGCTGGAAACTAGCAGAGGTTGTTTCATGAGATTTAAGAAAAGATGCCATCTCTATGACATAAAAGTGCAAGGCAAAGTAGCAAGGGTGCTGACAGAGAAGCTGCAGCAAGTTCTCCAGAAGATCTAGTTAAAATCATTGATTAAGGTGCCTACACTAAATAAAAGATTTTCCGTGTAAATGACACAGCCTTCTATTGGAAGAAGGTGCCTTCTAGGACTTTCATAGCTAGAGAGGAGAAGTCAGTTTCTGGCTTCAAAGGACAGGCTGACTTCCTTGTTGTTGGGTAATGCAGCTGGTGACTTTAAGTTGAAGCCAACACGCATTTACCACTCTGAAATTCCTAGGGCCCTTAATAATTATGCTTACTCTACCCTGCCTGTGTTCTATAAATGGAACAACAAAGCCTGGATGACAGCACATCTGTTTACAGCACACATCTGTCTACTGAATATTTTAAGCCCACTGTTGAGATCTGTTGCTCAGAAAAAAAGATGCCTTTAACAATGTTACTGCTCACTGACAATACACCTGGTCACCTAAGAGCTCTGATGGAGACACACAAGAAGATTTATGTTATTTTCATGCCTTCTAATGCAGCATTCATTCTGCAACCCATGGATCAAGGAGTAATTTTGGCTTTCAAGTCATACCTTTGATAAGGCTATGGCTGCCAGAGATAGTGATTCCTCTGATGGATTTGGGCAAAGTAAGTTGAAAACCTTTTGGAAAGGATTTACCATTCTTGATGCCATGAAGAACATTGGCAATTCACGAGAGGAGCCCAAATGTCAACATGAACAGGAGTGTGGAAGAACCTGATTCCAACCCTCATGGATGACTTTGAGGGGCTCAAGACTTCAGTGGAGGAAGTCACCGCAGGTGTGGAAACAGCAAGAGAGCTAGAATTAGAAGTGGAGCCTCAAGAGGTGACTGAATGGCTGCAAGCTCATGACACAATGTGAACAGAGGAAGAATTGCTTCTTATGGATGAACAAAGAAAGTGGTTTCTCGAGATGGAATCTACTCCTGGTGAGGACGTGTGAGCATTGTTGAAACGACAACAAAGGATTTAGAATATTACAAAGACTGATTTGATAAAGCAACAGCAGGGTGTGAAAAGATTGGCTCCAATTTTGAAGGACGTTCTGCTGTGGGTAAAATGCTATCAAATGGCATCGCATGCTACAGAGAAATCTTTTGTCAAAAGACGAGTCCATTGATGCAGCAAACCTCATTGTTGCCTTTTTTAAGACATTGCCACAGCCACTCCAACCTTCAGCAGTCCCCAACCTGATTAGTCAGCAGCCATCCACATGGAGGCAAGACCTCCCAGCAGCAAAAAAAATTAGGTCTTGATGAAGGTCCAGGTCATGATGATCAGTTTTAGCAATAAAGTATTTTTAAATTGAAGCATGTACATAGTTTTTTTAGACATAATGTTGTTGTACATTTGCTAGACAACAGCATTGTGTAAATGTAACTTGTATATGCACTGGGAAACCAAAAACCAAAAAATGTGTGACTCACTTTATGGTGATATTTGCTTTATTATGATGATCTGGAACCAAACCCACAATATCTAGAAAATATGCCTGAATGCACTAGATATATGTGACACACTTAAAATGTGTGAATTATACAATACATGAATCCCACTGATTCATGACAGTCAACAGTTTTATGGTTGTAGGGTTATGTTTAAAATGTGACAGCTTCAAAGCAATTATAAATTCTGACGGATTAAACAAAGTGTGGTCTCAGTAGTCATGTTTTAGGTTTAAATTCACTGTCATTTGACTGGAAGGAAACCCTGTTTGCAGAATAGATAGTGGCTGGTGTGTAATGCCTCTGTAATTCAAAATCACATTTTATTATTTCTTTTGTCTGATTATAAACAAAGGATTGCTAATAATTCACTGAAATGTATTAGTTGTGGATATGTTAATTGCAAGTGACAGAAACCCTACTCAAACTGGGTTAAGCAAAATGGGGAATTTATTGGTTCATAAAACTGGGAATTCCAAAGGTGGTGCTGCTTTCAGCATGACTGGCTCTAGGATTTAAACAGAGCCACAGCCATAAATTATTTTCTACTTCTCAGCTGTGCTCTCCTCTCTGCATCCTCAGCTTGGTCCCCTCTTTGATGGAAATTTGGCTGCCAGAAACCTGGGCTTGCATTTTCTCTCTCAACAACCCCAGGGGAAAGAGATTCTCTCCAAACTCCTTCAGAAGTATAAGCATTTTCTGTGATTGGTTTAGTGTCATTAGATATTCATTTCTAAGCAAGTTACAATGCAGTGCCATGAGATGGTCTGAGCAGCCAGGCCTTAATCAAAGGCCCATCTCAGCTTAGAATAGAATCAACCCACTCATCCACATGTACTCCCAGTGAGGGACAGGTGGAAATACAGCTTGTGGTATCAGAGAAAGAGGGAATGAATTCTTGAAAAGCAGAAAAATTTCTGCAATCGTTACCAAAACATAGATCTTTACAAATCAATACAGTTTTTCTGTGAGGTGTGACTATTCCGTGCCTGTTTTTGTTTTTAATTTCTTTTCTTGATAGTATTTATTGGGCTTCTATTTATTAGGATTGTAGTATTTCTTTGGCTTTTATTTATTAGGTTCTATAGTGTTTCTTTGGCTTTTATTTATTAGGATTATAGCATTTCTTACTTATTTTCTGCCACTATTGCCGGTAAAGACTTAGAAGCAACAACAACAGAAAATCCAAACACATCATCTATTTCTAATTTTGCAGTAGAGCTGGGAACGTGCTCCAGAGGATGAAGGAAGTGATGATTCCATTTGGGGTGGACATTCCATAGAAAATCTTTTTTCAGATGTCAGTCACGTCCATCAGAGATAAGCTTGGTGTGTTTATATGGCCAGGGGCTTTGACCTGGAGCCTGCCTGTCTTTACAGCCCTCTTAAAGAAAGTCCCTTGAGTTATTCCAGAGTAAACTGTGCTTCTCAATAGCTCATAAAAAAATAAGGAGCATTTTATAGGATGCCTTTTCCTCATGGAAGATGTAATGTGTGAAAACACTTCTGAATTTTATAAGAATCTGTCCAGGAAATCCGGCTTATAGTGTGCTAGAATTCTACACCTTCCAAATGTGTACAATTTATATTTGTAGTTGAATTCCTTTGTAGTTTTTTGTTGTTGTTGTTGTTGTTTTTGCAAGTATGTCATGGCTGGGTTCCTACTTTAGAATTTCTTCTTCTATTTCCCTACTCACTGCTTTTGATTGAATTCTTATGCTTCTGACCTCATTCAAATGGTGTTTTTTTTAAACTCCTGTTTGAATGTACCCATCACCCCATCCACCCCCCGCCAATAAAGCCCTTCTAAATATAGGACCCAGTCTGAACTCGGTAGGAAATTCTGTGATTGTCTGAGCTCCACAGCTAGTCCAAGGCGGATGGGAAAATCCTACCTTTGGGGCATTTGATGATGTGAAGAGAACACTTCAACCAATGTACCTACACTTTCTAAATGCTATGTTATGGTTGAAACGCAGGTGAGAGTGTGAATACAATGTTTTGGTTCCCTGACTATACATTTTTGTTTTTAAAGGGATTTCTTTCATGTTTCACTTAGGGGAATGATATTTTAGTCCTTGGACTGCCTGAGGGAACATGCTTATATGATGGATTCAGAGACAATATTACTGTCTCAGGGGACTGTCCTACTTGTACTCCGTGAATGTTATTTGCTTCTGGGGAATCTTGATGGAACACTTACCTTTATAATCATTTTACTTACCATGCTGGTAAGCGCTACAGCTCTGTTTGATGTAAGTATGGGGTGTTCATTATAGGAAAGTTGTTTTTATTTTATTTATAAATACTTTTTTAACACTTCAGGGCCTGAAGAATAATTTATGACATTCTGGTTACCAATGTGTACAAATAAAGTAAACAGGAGTATATCACTGTTGTTTGTTTAAGTACCTCTCCCACTGAGATCAGCAAAAATGTCCTCTCCTATCTTGATTGTATACAGTCAGCCCTCTGTGTCTGTGGGTTCTGTGTCTGTGGATCCAACCAACTGTGGATAGAAAATATTTGGAAACAAAAAGTCTGTACTGAACATGTTCCCTCAGGCAGTCCAAGGACGAAAATATCATTCCCCTAAGTGAAACATGAAAGAAATCCCTTTAAAAATAAAAATGTGTAGTCAGGGAACCAAAATATTGTATTCACACTCTCACCTGCGTTTCAACCATAACATAGCATTTAGAACGTGTAGGTGCATTGGTTGAAGTGTTCTCTTCACATCATCAAATGCCTTAAAGGTAGGATTTTCCCATCTGCCTTGGACTAGCTGTGGAGCTCAGACAATCACAGAATTTCCTACCGAGTTCAGACTGGGTCCTATATTTAGAAGGGCTTTATTGGCGGGGGGTGGATGGGGTGATGGGTACATTCAAACAGGAGTTTAAAAAAAAAAACACCATTCGAATGAGGTCAGAGGCATATGGAATTCAATCAAAAGCAGTGAGTGGGGAAATAGAAGAAGTAATTCAAAAGTAGGAATTGTCATTATTCTCTAAACTATACAATATAACAATGATTTATATAACATTTATATTGTATTAAGCATTACATGTAATCTAGACATGATTTAAAGTATACAGAAGGGTGTGCCATTATATGCAATATGACCGACACTATTTTCTATCAGGGACATGAGCATCCTCAGATTTTGGTGTCCACAGATTTTGGTATCTGCAGGGCGTGCTGGAACCAATTCCCCACCGATACCAAGGGACAACTGTATATAAAAAATGCATAGAATACATCTGATTATATACGAGTATACATGTATATTCATGTATATGTATACACACATAGACACACACAATATACTTCAAGGAAAAGAAGAAGAACATCGTCTCACCAGAGCCATCATAATAGCCTCCTTTCATCTGCCTGGGTCTGTTCTCACCTGCCAGTGTCCCATGCCCTACAGAATAGCTTGTTATCATGAGTAAGAGCTATAGATCAGCTACTTTCTCAATTTATAACCTTCCAGTGTTTTTCCATTGTACTCCTGATAACATCTCCACTATGGCCCACAAAACCATACCCAATTTGTCTCCTGTGTACATCATGTTTGAAATTGTGCTCTATCACATTATCACACATTTAATGAGCTTCTCAGTCATACTGGCTGCCTATTCTTCAAACTCTAGCCAGGACTTTGTTTCAAGCCTTTGAACTTATTGATTCCTTTTTTTAGAACACCTGCTTCCAACTTCTTCCCAAGTGTGTCAGTGGGATATGGCCAAACAATAATGTAGAATAAGTGTTTACAAAACGTGTACAGCATAAAAATCAGCATTTCTCTAGCTCATATGGCACTGGGAGGCTGAGGGACCACTGGAAACTGGCTCATGCAGGCTGGGCTCAGTGAGGTGGCTCTTCTGGCCCTGCCTGGGCTCCGTCCCATATCTGCAGTCGGTCAGCTCCTCTGCGGGTGGCTCTGTTCCACACACCTATCATCTGGCCCCCAGGGTCAGAAGGCTACCCTTTGATGTTCTTCTTACAGCCATAGACAAATTGCAGGAACACAGATGGCAATGCACAAGACTGCTTGGGAACCAGCTTAGAGTCATGCCTGTTTTATTCTGTTGACCAAAGCATGACCCATGGGTCTAAGTCAGAGACAAGGGATGGAGAAATATCCCCCGCCCCTTTTTTGGGAGGAATTGGAAAGTCACAGTAGCAAGGGTTGTGGGTACTGAGAGGTGTAAAGGATCAGGTCCACCGTTTCAAGCTACGACACCTCTTCTCTCCCCCTGTGGTCATTCAGTTCTTAGCTCATTTGAGACACCTCACAGAAGTAATCCTTATCCTAAAGTAACATTGCACCAAAGATATCTCTGCACATCACTGTATTTTATTTCTTCAAATCATCTTGTCTACGTATGCACTATCTGTGTTCCTCCCACCTCACTAGAATATAAGGTCCATAAATCTACCCTGAGGAACTTTAGCTGTGTAGGTACAAGATAAGCACTCAGTACAGTGTTGCTGAATGGATGATAGGTTTAAATGTCACTTCCTGTTCACATTAATTTTTGCATATTATCTGATTTCACCTAGAATTAATGAGGAGATCAGGTTTCTAGTCTAGAATCTGCTTTTAACATGATCTGTGTCTTGGAGCAAGTAACCTCTTTATCACATTTGCTTCCTCCTATGTAAAACAAAGCCGTTAACCTATATAGGTTCATACTTTGCTTTCAGCTGTACCTGTCTGTGATTATAAACCCTGAGTCTATTGAACAAGGTATATTTGCATTGTGTTCATTCCTGAGTGCCATGGGAAGTGGTATTTCCACAAACTGAGCGGTAGTCCCAGATATTGCAAGCCTTCTCAGCAAGTGTTAATGAAGTCCCTACTATGTACAGAGGCCACATTAGAGAGGGGAGGGGGAGTCCGTGGATGATAGGGAGGCAACACTCCTGCTACCGGGAACTTACAGGAATAGCAAATGTGAAACATCAGTATAAAAAGGCAAAGTGCCCAGTACTGAGAGAGAACTTCCACAGGACTTAGGAGAGCTTTGAACACATTGCTACAATGCCAAGTATGACTGCTTGCTACCATCATTTTGGACTATGCATGTGTTCTCTAATCTTAGTGAAAAATTATTTAGCCACTTTTCGAGTAAAGGCTGTGCTTTCCAACAGTCTATACATTTTGGCTTAATGGACAGTATGTGAAATATCCCTTTTTACATTTTTCTCATAGAAACCAAAAGCAACTTACTGTGCATGACTGAGGATCTCTCTTGATTTTCACTCCTCCTGGCAGCTATGAAAACAACATATTCATTTCCCCTGGACTTTGATGTGACGTTAGTGTGCATGTAGCTGGCCATCTATGTGATGACTGTCAAGAAAATCTCTTGACTCACCTGAAATGTACAAATCACGTGGAAGCGAATCATCATCTTCAAGGAGGCCATATGGCTTATGGGGTTGCTAAGCCAAATCAGCTTTAAAAAGCTTTTAACCCCACTTCTGCATAACCAGGGAAAGCGCTGGGAAGCGCCCCGTGGTTGTGGCTCTGAACCATTCCTGTTTGCTTCATGTACCCTCCATGTCAAAGGGATATTTGCTCTTGCACTGCCGGCTTACACAGGAACCACGGAAGCCAGAAGTGAGCCCCTTGGTTTTCTGTTGGCATGCCTTGGAAATCTGTCAAAATGAGACCTCTTAGTCTGACACTAAATGATACATAACAGGGGGTTGCCTAATATCAGGATGATATGTGCAAAGATGAGGGGAAGAAAAAGGCATGGGTGAATTGTAACTGAAATATAAAAACTTTAAAAACCCTGCAAGTATTAAGGAATTTGACATTTTAAAAAAAATACATGTCAAGAGGAGTAAGTTCCCCGTGACGTTTGATGCCAGCTGCATTTCTCTGCACCTCCCAGTGCTTTAAAAGGTGTGAAGCACAGGCTTTACATCCGGCACAATGCCAATTTATTTTAGTCTGCAATACTGAGTATTGAGCAAGTAAAGGAAAAACATCTTCCTCTCCAAGGTGGGCCTTAATTCCTTGGTGACAATTACCGGTCTTTCCCAAAAGCCAAAAGTGCAATATTTCAGGGTTTGTCATCAAGAATTTTCTTTTAACCCACCCTTCACATCTTTACTGCCTCCTGCTCCCCACCCACTTTCAGCACATTTAAAATCAGTCCAAAACTTTTCCCAGCCTTCAAGTGTCTGAGACCTGATTCATTTCATGGACATATTAAAACACACTTGGACCCAGCCAATGTGTGACCAGTTTTACTTGTCTTTCTTCTATGCTTGTAATAGAATTTGTATAGTACAATAAAATATCTGGAATCACATCACATTTTTTATCTTCTGTTTCCTTGAGTTGGGATAGTTTTGCCAGGATGCCATTGAAGAAAGTTACTTCACCATGATGGTGCTAGGAAGAAAACCAACCAAACAAACAAAAAGTCCAGTATTCTTGCAGCTTCTAAGCTTGAAAGTCAGAAGGACTTTCCAACCATTTAATTTCCCTGATTTTTTACATACCCTTGTTTCTAAACGATTAACCTTTTTTTTCCCCAGAGTGATTAGTTTTATAGAATGTGTATTTTAGCTTTTGGAAGAAAATTCAGAAAACCTGAACCTCATAGGTCTCTGTAACTTCCATACCTCCATGTGGCATCAATTTGGGAATTTACCCAGGTGTCCACCCTCCTGTGTCTCTTCCTCTTCCTCCTCAACCTCCTCCTCCTCATTGCTGTTGAATAGACAGCACATGTACATGAAAACAATTACAAACTACAGAGGTTTTTACTAATAAAATAGTCCTCTTTCCTGTGTCTTCCAGAAATCCTGCTTCGGAGCTGTGTCCTTTGTCTGCATCTTCTTTCTGAGACCCACTTTTGCACACATAGACCTATAATCCTTGCTCCATCTTCACAAACGTTCACATAGCACACACTGTTTGTTTTGCATCTTACTTTGAGTCCATGAAAAATGCATCTTACACAGCATTTCCATATCATAACATGTAGAGCTGGCTCATTCTTTTGAATATGTACAAATAATTTTATTGGGCACATGTACTGTGATTTATTTAACCAGTCTCCTACTAGGATATGCTTAGCTTGTTCCCAATCTTTATTTTATATCATGCCACAAAAAGTATTTTATGCACATATCATATTGTATGTGTGTACACATATCTGTCTCCTAAATGCTTAGAAGTTGAGCCAAAGAAAGAGATTGCCAAATTCTATAGACCAGTTGGATTATCCTGTGAAAGGGAAGATTTCAAAAATAAAAATAATGACATAGTACTTAGAATAGGCAAGAGTAGTATTTCAAATGGCAATAATTTGGGAGTGCCTTTTAGTTTTTCTTGCTACATCTCGGTCCATCTAGAAAGATGATCCGTGGAACCTGGGAAGAGAGAACCATATCTTCCCAGTTCCAAGTCAGCTATTTTTTTTACTCCCTAAAATCAGATGGACATTATATTCAGTAGTTTCTTACAATTATATTCTGCAGAGTTTTGGTGAATATTTTAGTGTTACACGAATTAAGACATGTCTTATAATCAGTGGGGTTTAAATTCTAATAAAACATGGTACTTTTTATAATGGAAATCGGATCAGATTATTGTGGTTTAGAAAGAAAAAAACTTTATTAGCCTTTTTTCAAATATGTTATCTAGATAAGTTTTCAATTTAGTGCAAAATCTTTAGGTTAATAACTCAATACTATTTTTATTATCAGTGCTGTATTTTACTGTCAATTGGACCCATCTTGAATTTTTGAAGGAAAGAGATGAATTGCTACTCATTCTTGTGCTTATTTATTAAGTAGTCAGAATTATCCATTTAAATATGCATCATGTCCTACACTCTCAAACTCAAAATTCTTCATGTTTTACATTTTCTCATTTCTCTTTGAATTAATTCTAACTAATGTATTTGCAAATAATCCCCCTCATTAGAGGGGGAAAAAAGCTTCGTGAGGTCAGGTTTCTTTTTTCTCTTTCTTTCTTTATTATTATTATTTTTTGCTATCACTGTACCTTCAGTGACTGGCTTGGAATAAACACTTGATAAATAAATATATGTTGAGTGAATGTATGATGTGGCCCCACCCTAGTTCCTAAAACCGAGAAAAAAAAAACCCAAAAGCCAATTTCACTCAAAATGCTGATTGAATGACAGAATCCATTCTGTTTCATTGGCATGCTATTTTCAGAAAGAAAGAATGGAATGTATGAAGCCGTTGCAAAGTGCAGCATGGATTTTCATTCTTCTTGAAGCCTTCTTCCAAAGCACAGTTCCTCTGTTCTGAAATTATTGCTGTTTGATGATATGGATGATGCATGCTCTAGGAATTTTACCACCATCACCATCCTCCGATACAAGGGATGCATAGTAGATAATTGATGTTGTCATTTAAGGGTTACCCACGAATCTTTGGAAGCCATGATGAGGATATGCCATTGGCTACCCTTTTGATCTGACTCACTGGGCCCTCAACAGTGCCCCCTTCTTCCTCAACCTTCATTCCAGTCCTTCTGCCTGCTATTCGGAGTTTGTATATACCTCTTTCTTTCATGCCTTGGGTTTGGAGACGTTCTGCCTTCATTCCTTTTGTGGATTCTTGAGATGTCCAGATGTCTTCAATATTCTTTTTCTTTCTTTTCTCTCACCATAACACATCCATAGCTTCACATGGTCAGCGTGACCACTGTGAATAAAAGACTTGACTTTTTAGCTTCTCTTTTGCATAGATGAAGTCAGATGCTGGTGGTCCGTTCAATGGAAATATGACTGAAGATGATGCTTGCAATTTTCAAATTGGACCATGACAAGGGGGTGAGGTCTCAGGACCTCCTCCCTCCTCCATGCTGGTTAGAAAATGAGCTGTCCTGGACTGTGTGGATGAAGGAGGACAAAACAGTTATGATAGTGAAGCAAAAACACAGGATGCCCAAGCCCTGTTGCCATTGAGCTCTGGGCTGCTTGCATCCCGACAGCCTAAGGAAAAACAGACGGCTGTCTCATTTAAGCCTCTGTGATTTCTGGTCTTTGCTGCAGCAGATGCAACTTTCTTCTGAGCGATCTTCTCACCCTTCATTTACACAGCCAGTGAAAAAGAATGGAAGCACAATTCTGCGTCCTATTCATTGGACATGTTGCCAGATTCTTACAAGATCCATGAGAAACAGGGGCAGAAAGTGAAATAACGTTTGGAAGCATTTGCCACTTAACAGTATACCTGTGGGAGCAGCAATATGAAAAGTGGGTAATTGGAAGGAGGAAGCGCCTTGCATGGTGATTGTATTAGAAGGGACTTGGTGGAGGCAAGCCTGCTGCAGCGATCTGTTCCAGCCGTGGCGGTGTCAGAATGTGGCAGTTCTGACGTGGTGGCCCTTTGTGTCTCAGGAGCAAAGTGACAAAATGGCAAGGATGGGGGTTGCTCATCTCAACCTCACAAATGAGACGGCACCTGGAGAAACACATTTCATCCCAGACACCTCATTAGCAGAGAGACACAGATAAATTGGACAGGGTTTGGAGAGGAATGAAAAAAATTCAAAATATAAAAAGAGCAACACTTTAACCAAGGTACTGAAGGAATTGATTTATGAAGAAAGATTAAAGGAACTAAATATGTACTCCTGGCTAAGTGGTAACTAAAAGAGAACATAATAGAACATATTTGAGAGGGTAGAAACAAGATACATGAAAAGGGATGGTTTAATTTAGTCTCAGAGGGGAGTGAGTAAAAACAATGAAATTCAGAAAAGAGAAATGTACTATAAAAGTCCAGGGAACAATCCAGGAGATGAAATCTATTTGATCACACTAATCTTGCAGCAGGAGATTCACTACTTGATGGAATTAATCCTACTGGTAAGAACAGAATAAATGTTTTTATGTTGAGCTGCGATAACTCTGTCTGCTCGCCGAGGGACTGTGGCTGTAGATTTGCTCAACCACCCATGACGATAAGCTTTGGTCCACCTGCCCACAAGTCATCAAGCAGCCAACCAAAGGAGATCAGCTAGTTGTCCTGGAGAATGTATATTACCTGCATCACTGTTCTTTCTCTAGGGTATTAGTTGCTGGTTGAAATATGTGTGGGGGTCTACACGGGGTAGGAGCAGGAGATAGCAAGAAGGACAGCTGGAAGTGAATACTTATTTGTATACTTGAATCGTTTGTCCTTGCATATGCGGGTAGGTACCAATTGTCCATCCCTTCCCCCATGTATTAGTCTGTTTTCATGCTGCTGATAAAGACATAACCGAGACTGGGTAATTTGTAAAGAAAAAGAGGTTTAATGGACCCACAGTTCCACGTGACTGGGGAGGCCTCACAATCATGGTAGGAGGTGAAAGGCATGTCTTACATGGTAGCAGACAACGGAGAATGAGAGCCAACTGAAAGGGGAAGCCCCTCATAAAACCATCAGATCTCATGAGACTTATTCACTACAATGAGAACAGTATGGGGTAAACTACCCCCATGATTCCATTATCTCCCACTGGGTCCCTCTACAACATGTGGGAATTATGGGAGCTACAATTCAAGATGAGATTTGAGTGGGGACACAGCTAAACCGTATCACCTCACAAAATAAAGAGCTTCTGACTGATGTCTCCTACTTGTTTAAAAAAAGGAAAGAAAAAGATGAGTGCTTCCAAGCCATTCGAACCACTGCAAGAAGGTTTCTTCTATTTTAAACCCCAGATTGTGTATCACAAGGCACGGCTGAAGGAAGGCATTCTGATAATGCTTTCAGGAATGGTACCAATGAGTAATTTTGTTGCTACTTTCCATTTTGGGGTATGATTCCAGAAGCAAATAATTAATATATTAAAATTAAACATTATTTGGATTTATAAATGAGTATAACACGGTGAAACCCTGTCTCTACTAAAAATACAAAAAAAAAAAAAAAAAGAAAAAAATAGCTGGGCGTGGTGGCAGGTGCCTGTAGTCCCAGCTACTTGGGAAGCTGAAACAGGAGAATGGTGTGAACCTGGGAGGCGGAGCTTGCAGTGGGCGGAGATGGCGCCACTGCACTCCAGCCTGGGTGGCAGAGCAAGACTGTCTCAAAAACAATAATAATAAAAATAAATAAATAAAAATAAGGAAAAAACCCCACAATTCACCTTTCATCCACCTTCTCTGGCAACTCCATGCATCCTATTTCAGGCCCATTTTCTTCATTTCTTTTATTTGTCTTAAGGCATTTATATTTACACCAAAGTAGGTTCCCAGTAATTACAAACTTAACATTTACAATTGTGAATATGTATTGACGAGTGATTCAGGTCTGGAGATTATAAACATGTTGAGTGATTCCGGAGCACAAGTGAGTCATGCTGGTTAGCCAGCGAGCTCAGTCCTCTGTGAGGGCTGAAAAGAGCCCCTCAAAGAAGACTGTGGCTTAACCTATAGAATCTGTAGATGTGCTGCTTTAGGTAGTGAAAGGAACTTTGAATATGGAATTAAGCGAATGATCTTGATATATGGAACTTTTCTGAATGATTTATGTAAATCCACAGAAATCACAAGCATTTTTACAGAAGGGAAATAGTAGGGTCAGAGTAAGAGATGGAGACTAATAAGGCAAGTTGTCTGAGTGATATGGGGCCACCAGCCAAGGAGTCTGGGCAGCCATCAGAAGCCATGAAGGGTGAGGAAGTGGCTCTTCCCCGGTGTCTCCAGGAGGAGCTCAGGTCTGTCTGCACCAGGATTCCAATCTACTGAGACTCATCTTGAACTTCTGACCTTCAGAGCTATAACGTGGTTAATTGCTGTTGGTTTGAGGCACCATGCGTGCGATTTTATTTTTTATATCATCAATAGGAGAATAATATACCCCCTGGCCAGCATCCTGATCTCACTGAAGGTATGTTTTGTTGTTTGTTTTGTTGTCATACTTTGTGGTGACACAAATACGGCTCCTTTGTGGAAACTGCCCATTGAATAGGGATGGTGAGAGCCGAGAAGGCCTAAGGTGAATGTCAAGGTGTCACGTTTGAATTTTAATGGAAATGTGACTCAGGAGAAAGCTAGGCATCTGCATAAGTACAAACCGTTCCATATTTACAGCTTTGGGAATGCATTTCCTGAGGGCTCTGGAGCGAGTTTTTTTTTTAACTTTTAAGTTCAGGGGTACATGTGCAGTTGTGTTACATAGGTAAACTCGTGTCATGGGGGTTTGTTGTACGAATTAGTTCATCACCCAGGAAATGAGCCTAGTACCCATTAGTTATTTTTCCTGATCCTCTCCCTCTTCCCACCTTCCACCCTCACATAGGCCCAGTGTGTATCCTTACCCTCTACGTGCCCATGTTTTCTCATCATTTAGCTTCTACTTATAAGTGAGAACATGTGGAATTTAATTTTCTGTTCCTGGCATTAGTTTGCTGAGGATAATGGCCTCTATCTCCATCCATGTCCCTGTAAAGGACATGATCTCATTCTTTTTTATGGCTGCATAGTATTCCATGGTGTATATGTACCACATTTTTTTTATCCCATCTATCATTGATGGGCATGTAAGGTTGATTCCATGTCTTCGCTGTTGTGAGTAGTGCTGTAGTGATATGTTTTGCTCTAGCTGAAATTGCTATGCACATGCTATTTTTACATTTTTTATTTCATTTGATTTTTTATTAGCATTTTCCAACTTATTTTATGGCCTTTACACCTATATCCTACTGTGTTGTGAGGGATTAATGTATTTTGACTGTGTGAAGTCAGTGGGCTTTGTTTATGGTTCATGGTATCTATCTCATATTTTCTTATTTTTAACATGTATAGCCATTTACTGAGTCTTCTATCCTTTCCCTATTGATTTGGAATGCCACCTTCATCATGTTATGTACCTGCATTAGTCAAGATAGGCTAGGCTATGGTATTGTAACAAATAAGCCTTGAAGATCATTGGTGTGTATCATGGACTGAACGTTCACTCCCAGGTTCATATGTTGAAATTCTAACTCCACGTCACTTATTAGGAGGTGGGACTTTGGGAGATGGGTTATGAGGGTGGAGCCCTCAGGAATGGGATTAGTGCCCGGTGTAGCTCAGAGAGTTCTCTTCTCCTTGCCACATGAGCATTCAATGAGAAATCAGTTGTCTACAGCCTGGTAGAGGGCTCTCCTAGAACCCGACCACGCTGGCACCCTGATCTCAGACTCACAGGCTCCGGAAGTGTGAGGAGTCAATCTCTGTTGTTTGTAAGCCACCCAGTCTGGGATACATTGTGTTAGCAGCCTAAAGTGACTAAGACACTATAGCCAAAAACACCCTGAATTTGTCCCACAAGCACAATCTAAGATAGGTCACAGTTTCATCTTAATGTTATTCTATCTGTGGCAGATGGCCTTGAAGGTGGCCTTGAAGGTGGCCTTGAAGTTGGCCACAGGATGGAAGTCGTGACTATAAGGTCTAAGGCTGGAGGAGGCTTACATGATTCCCATCACATTCAGGAGGCAAAACTCAGCTGGACGTCCCCAACCTAACTGCAGAGGAGGCTGGGAGCTTTCGTAGTCCTGTGAATGGAGGCAGGAAGAACTAAGGTGAACACATAGCCGTGTCTCTGCCACAGTACAATGTGTGCCTGGTTCTGCTGCTAGACCCTCTATTTTATTCCAAAGAACTATTTGTCTATTCTTATTTCAGCACAATTCTCCTTTAATTATTATTATTACAATTCTGCAGTGCATTTTGACATATAATAGGATGAATCTTTCTCTATTATGTTTTTCTTTTCCCCCTCCCAAATATTTTTCGCTTTCCTCTTGCAAAATTATTTTTAAAATTTATCAAGATATACCCCCTCACACACACACAGACACACACACACACACACACACACATGCATGCATATCTCATTGGTATTTTGATTGGAAATGCATTATATGATACTTTCATTTTGAGGAAATATCAATCTTTTTATATTTCTCATCTTTGTGCTAGATGCTTCTAAAATGGCCAATTTGAAATCCCTTTGAAAGAATTCCGGGAACATTTAACATGTGATAAAAATTAATGAAATTTTGAAAAATCAAACTTGGAAATCCATGTCAGCAAATCACACAACTGTCCAGTCATTTGTGCATTTGAGGAATCATTTGAGACAGCTCCTTACATGCCAATAATCTCCACAAGTGCCTCAGTTACGGTTAATAACGCATGGAACGCGCGGCCCACACGCAGCCAACCAATGACAGCGCTCCTGCCAGCCCTGCGGCTGCTCCACTTTCAAATGTGTTGAAAAATTGCTGATCTTCTCTGCAGATTCCTGAATTGTGCCTCCAAAACAAATGGGTGGTTTTGAGTGTGTGGCCACCTTCTTTCTCTTCCTCACAAAACCTCATCCCTGCTATGTAGAATGTGGGCGTCCTTGGCTATGTAGAACATGGGCATGACAGTGTGTATGTAACACTCTTGGCTTTTTCCCTTAATAACATATGTTTTAAATTGTTCTACCATTCTGATGATTTCATTTGTTTCCTTAATATGGATGAAATGCCATTGCCTCTCCTTAATTCCTAATGAAAATGATAATGAAGACACTGTGTATTGATCAGTGTTATATGTCAGCACTGTTTTAGTGACTTTATTTGTATCCATTTCTTTAATTCTCAAATCCATACCTCAGTGATACTAGTATTTTCTTCATTTTGCAATCGAGGAAACTGCCACATACACTTTAAATAAGTAGCTCAGAGTCTCTCAGATTTAAAGCAGACTCCACATGCAACACCCCATGCTGGCTCTGTCCCCACTCTCCTGTTGCCACATGAGAGAGATTCCCCTCTCTTTTGCTAGCATATGAACACATGTGGAGCCGTTCTTTCTTTCCATCGGTAATTTCATTATGTATGATTGAATGGCTGGAGATCTTTTTAACACTGTCTGAGAACATGCCAGTCTTTCCTAGACTAAGAATGTCCTTTCAAATAATGCAGTGTTTCCAACCCACAGGTTGAAGCCAAGCCCTGTGGAGCCTAGTCTAGGCCATCTGGTTCCTTCGTCCTCTTTAGAGCAATGGGCCAGCTAAGAAGTGCTCTCCGTTGGGATGGCAGAGGTGCGATAAAGCAATTCCATCCACCCCAGCCTGTCTCCGGGTGGCTTGCTTCATGCTTGCCACGAACCAGAGGCCAAAGCAAGTCACATGGCTGAGCCTAAAGTCAAAGGGAGGGGGAGTAACTCCCACCCACCATGAGGCCAAAGGAAGTCATATAGCCATGCTCGAAGGTCGTGAAAGTGGCAAATTATGCCTCTTGCATAGAAAGAGTGGAAAGGAGGCTATTCTTTTAAGCAAGAAGCAGTATGAACAATCTGTATCAATCACTAGGGTTTGCTATTAGGTAAAAACATTAGTACTGAAAATAAGAGAAATCTATCACTTATATTAGCAATACACTAGAGACAGAAATTGCATCTGGGGAGATACTGGGTGGAAGAGGAAGAAAGATCTTACTATTCTTTGAAACTTTTTGACAACTTCATTTTTTTTTTCACCTTGTACTCCTTCAGCAAAAACTATAGCAATCAAAAGCTTTCAAAGTAGGAATGAATTGTGACCAACTATTTATTAGCCTTTTCTTTCTATTACTACACAGTGTGATTTAAAATTTCTAACTTTTGAGGCATGTTTAACTGGAGGTCTAATAAAAAAATTAACTGTTTCCTATTGAACAAAAGGCTCACAGGTTTCAGAAACCGAAATATTTATTTATAAAAGAGAAAATTTGTAAGAATACTCTGATCAACTAATAATCAAAGAGGTTGACAAACTACCTTTTTTCCCTTTGGTCCGTTGAATCAGGAAATAAATAATTAAATGAAAACACTCAGTGTGTTGGTGAACAGCCTATGAAGCTGCTACATCCTTTTCCCGATTCTGCACTTGGGTGATGCTTTCTCGCCATTTATGTCTCCAAGGGATTCTTTGCTCAGACAGACCCGCCTCATTCCTCTGTCTAAGGCAAGCTCACCCCCCACGGGTCTTTCTCTATCCTCATAGCGCAGGTTATTTTCTTCATAGCATTCATCTTGTTTGTTGGTCTGTTCTCACTGGAGTGCAAGCTCTGTGGAAGCATGTGTGTTTACCTCTCACCCGCAGTGCCTAGAATGATGACTGCTTGTTTCAGCTACAAAAGCAAACTACCATTTTAAAATTCAGATTTTAGTTTACAAAGAGTCAACGTCACCCATTGTGGTGTATAGTTCTGTGAGTTTTGACAAATGCACAGATTTCTGTACCTGCCACCATCAATACACGAAACATTTTATCATCCTAAAACTTCCTTCATGTTGTCATTCCTTAGTGAAATCCTCACCTCCCTCCCTCTCCACTAGACCACAGGCAGCCAATGATCTGCTTCCCATCACTATAGTTTTGCCATTTCTAGACCATCAAGTTAAGGTAATCATAGAGTACATAGCCACGATGAACATTTTTTTGAGGCTTACCACGTGCCAAGAATTATTCTAAATGTTTCATATGGACACAATCTCCTAAAACCTCTTTTAAATTATTCCCATTCATTCTGTAGATGATCAAAATGAGTCTCAGGGCTGGGCACAGTGGCTCACGCCTGTAATCCCAGCACTTTGGGAGGCTGAGGTGGGCAGATCACAAAGTCAGGAGATCAAGACCAGTCTGGCCAATATTGCAGTGAGCTGAGCTCGTGCCACTGCACTCCAGCCTGGTGACAGAGTGAGACTCTGTCTCCAAAACAAAACAAAAAACAAACTCGGCTGGACGTGGTGGCTAATGCCTATAATCCCAGCACTTTGGGAGGCCGAGGTGGGTGGATCACCTGAGGTCAGGAATTCAAGACCAGCCTGGCCAACATGGTGAAACCCTGTTTCTACTGAAAATACAAAAAAAGAAATTAGCCAGGCATGGTGATGGGTGCCTGTAGTCACAGCTACTTGGGAAGGTGAGGCAGGAGAATCGCTTGAACCCGGGAGGCGGAGGTTGCAGTGAGCCGAGATCACACCACTGCACTCCAGCCTGGGCGACAAGGTGAGACTCTGTCTCAAAAAAAAAAAAAGAAAGAAAGAAAATGAGTCTCACGTCTTACAAGTAGTTCAAATACTATTTACCTAAGTTCTCAACACTAGGAAGTACTAAGCTAATGTACAAACCCCAGCAGCCAGCCCTCAAGGCAGAGCTCATCACCCCCTGCCTCAGAGATACTCAGCAGTGAAATGGGTGAGTGTGCATACGTTTCCAGTGCCTGACACTCTGCATTGAGAGCAATAGAGTTACTTGTAACCCTGGGTCTGTGACCCCATCTCTGGGGGGTAAGTACCAGGACCACACTCCGAAGTAAACTAAGTGTCAGATGAGTTCCACTGCAGCATGGCTGATTAAAACAGAAACAAGCCAAATACCCAACAACGTTGAGAGAAGTACAGCATCTACGTGCTCCCAAAACATCTGGAAGGAAAAGGGACTTGGGATGCTGTCAAAATTGTGATCACAGTGTCAAAAATACATGGGATCGGCCATGTGGACTGTGATGTGTAAGTCATTGTTCTGACACAATGTAAAAAGCAGACGTGTTTCATCAAGACGGGAAATAAAACCAGAGAAAACCTCAACTCTCTTTGGCATAGCACAGCTGATACTGACCCTCCCGTCTGTACCTGCTGTATCTCATTGATGCTCTCAGTGTTAAACATGCTGTGGGTAGTGATGGTGTTCTGGGCAAATGGGATGACTTGCAAATCATGTTCAAACGAAGTCTGTTTTTGACTGTCTCAGTCTGCGTGTGTTATAAAGGAGTACCTGTGGCAGGGTAATTTATAAAGAAAGAAGTTTACTTGGTGTGATGGTTAATATTGCCAACGTCATTGGATTGAAGGATGCAAAGTATTGTCCCTGGGTGTGTCTGTGAGGGCATTACCAAAGGAGATTGACATTTGAGTCAATGGACTAGGAGAGGCAGACCCACGCTCAGTCTGGGTGACACCATCCAATCAGCTGCCAGCTCGGCTAGGATAAAGCAGATGGAAGAAGGTGGGAAAAGCCAACTTGCTGAGTCTTCTACCTCATCTTTCTCCCATGCTGGATGCTTCCTGACCTTAAACATCAGGCTGCATGTTCTTCAGCTTTTGGACTCTTGGACCTACACTAGTAGTTTGCCAGGGGCTCTCAGGCCTTTGGCCACAGACTGAAGGCTGCACTGTCGGCTTCCCTAATTTTCAGGTTTTGGGACTCAGACTGGCTTCCTGGCTCCTCAGCTTCCAGACGGCCTATGGTGGGACTTCACCTTGTGATCATATGAGTCAATACTCCTTAATAAACTCCCTTCCAGATATACATCTATCCTATTAGTCGTGTCCCTCTAGAGAACCCTAGTACACTTGGCTCATGGTTCTGCAGGCTTTGCAAGAAGCATGGTGCCAACGTCTGCTTCTGGTGAGGACTTCAGGTGGCTTTCACTCATGGCCGAAGGAAAAGGAGAGCTGGCTGTGCAGAGATCACGTGGGCAAGAGAGGAAGCAAGAGAAAAAGTTGCTAAGAAACCATCTCTAGAAAGAACTCTCGAGGGAACTAATAGAGGGAGAACTCACTCAATACTGCAAGGATGACACCAAGCCACCATGACCCCTGCCGGCAGGCCTGACCTCCAACATTGCAGATCAAATTTCAACATGAAGTTTGGAGGGTCAGATATAGAAACTACAGCATTTGCCAGTAATGTTGTCCGTGCATTGCAGAGTAATGCCAATTGAGAAAACTGGTACAATTGATGGCTATCACTATAAATCATTAATCATTATCTGATGTCAATTTGGAGGTATAGAGTTCCATATCAGACTCCTGCCCATGATTTGAAATTTCTGAATATCAGTGATGAACTATGTCAATCTAATTTACACTAACAGGATAAAGGTCAGAACAGACAGTGATTTATTTATTTATTTATTTATTTATTTTTATTTACTTATTTATTTATTTATTTTTGAGATGGATTATCACCCTGTCACTAGACTGGAGTGCAGTGGCGCGATCTCGGCTTACTGCAACCTTTGCCTCCCGGGTTTAAGCGATTCCCCTGCCTCAGCCTCCTGAGTAGCTGGGTCTACAGGTGCATGCCACCACGCCCAGCTAATTGTGATTTTTAAAGGGATCTCAGTATTTGTTTCTGTAGGTTTTTAAGATGATACTAAAAAGATGTAGACATCTGTTACTAAATGAAGATGACTGTAGATTCCACCAAACCTTCCTCCAACATTTTATGTGGGGAACTTTCTTTAATAACACAAGACATTCATGTTGGACACCTTTGGGCACTATTTCAAGTTCTCTCGATTTCAACTCGAATGCAGGCGTGGATGTGGTGACCAGTCCTGTACAGGCTTCAGCTGGATGGGTGCAGGTGTAATCTGATGGCTTCACATTTCACTTAGGCTGTGTGTCTTATTTTCGACCCGAGTTTTTTTCACCTTGAAGAAAAGGTGTTTGCATCCCAGAAAGGTGGAGGAGTAAGTGCTTCCTGGGACAACCTTGACTAACTGGGGAGCTGGAGCCAAGAGATAAACCTCCCTTCCTTTCGTTCCTCAAGTGGGCAGCTCTGCACTGACCCCTTAAGGCCTATTGGGAAGTACCATGGGCCAAGTAGCCACTTACCTCTTTGGATGGTCAATGTGATGATGCGTCTTGTCTTTATTGTCCCTCTTCCTCTGCTCTTGCTAGTCCCTCTCCCTCCTGCACCCTGAGATCACATTTCCAAATAAACCACTCATACCCAACTTTACCGTAGGCTTTCCCTTTGGCAGAATCCAGGCTTATGTGTCTCTCATTGTGATGGTTAATATTGAGTGTCAACTTGATTGAATTGAATGATGTAAAGTATTGCTTCTGGGTGTTTCTGGATGTTGCCAGAGGAGATTGATATTTGAGTCAGTGGACTGGGAGAGGAAGACCCACCATTAATGTGGGTGGGCACCATCCATTTGACTGCCAGCATGGCTAGAAAAAGCAGGCAGAAGAAGATAGAAGGAGCAGATTTATGAGTCTTCCAGCCTTCATCTTTCTCCCGTGTTGGATGCTTCCTGCCCTCGAACATCAGACTCCAGGGTCTTTGGCTTTTGGACTCTTGGATTTACACCACTGGTTTGCCAGGGGCTCTCAGGCCTTTAGCCACAGACTAGAGGATGCAATGTCGGTTTCTCCACTTTTGAGGCTTTGGGACTCAGACTGAGCCACCACTGGCCTCTTTGCTCCTCAGCTTGCAGATAGTCTATCATGGGACTTCACCTTGTGGTTGTGTAAGTCAGTTCTCCTTCATAAACTCCCTTCCATATATACGTATATCTGATTAGTTTCGTCCCTGTAGAGAACCCTGACTAATACACTAACTAAAAACAAAAATCTGTGTAAATTCTAAGGATAGGTGAAAGAAGGTAGGTTTCATTGAGATTTCAACTTTCTCTTGTGGCAATATTGCCCATACATTCAATGTTTCTCTCTTTACAAAAGGCATCTAATAGGATAGGATCAGCATTCATCGTTCAAAAGCATTTTTCCCTTGGAAAATTGTTTTTAATATTAAAGAGGGATTCATTCATTTATTTATTTCAACAAATATTTAACACCTACTACCAAGTACTTTTCTGGATAGTGAGCCTTCAATGGTAATAAGACCAAGTCCCTGTGATGGTTAATTTTTGATGTGTTAACATGACTGGACTGTGGGATGCCCAGATAGCTGGTTAAATATTATTTCTAGGTGTGTCTGTGTGGGTTTTTCTGGGAGAGATGAGCATTTGAATCAGTGGACTGAGTAGAGATCTCCTGTCAGCAAAGTGGGTGAGTATGCTCCAACCCGTTGAAGGTCTGAATAGAACTAGAGATTGAGGAAGGTTGAATTAACTCTGACCAGTTGCTTAAGTGGGACATCAGTCGTCTCCTGCCCTCATCACTCTTGGTTCTCAGACCTTCAGACCCAGCCCAGAAACGACACCATTAGCTCCCCAGTTCTCTGGCCTTCACGTGATATCACCACCTTTCCTGGGTCACCAGCTTGCAGATGGTATAGATTGTAGGATGTAACAGCCTCCATATTGTGTGGGCCAATATGCCAATACTGCATAATAAATCTCTTCATTTATATATATACGTACACATATATGTGTATGTGTGTGTGTGCGCATGTGTATTGTATAATAGATATATAATTTTATTATCCCCTATATATAATATTATTAGTCATATATATATACATACATATATATATATACACACACACACACACATAATTGTATTACTCAGCGTTCTCCAGAAAAACAGAACCAATCAGATATACATAGAAATATGAGAGGTAATTTATTACGAAATTGTCTCATATGATCATGTTGGTTGAGAAGTCCCACAATCTACCACTTGCAAGCTGGGGCCCCGGGGAAGCCTGGGGTGCATTCATTCTGAGTCCGAAGGCCTGAGAGCTAAGAGGGCTGCTGATGTAACTCCCAGCCTGAGACCGAAGGCTCGAGGACTGAGGAAGAGGGGAGAAGAGGATGCACCGGTCCAAGTTCTGGAATCTGAAGACCTGAGAACCAAAAGCTTCAATGTCCAAAGACAGGAGAAAACAGATGTCCCAGCTCAAGAAGAGAGAGAGAGAGAAAATGGACCCTTCGTCTGCCTTTTTCTTCTGCGTTGGCCCTCAACAGATTGGATGGTGAATTGGCGAGGATGATGTTCTTTACTCTGTCTGCTGATTCAAATGCTAATCTCTCCAGCTTGTAAACACCTTCACAGACACATCCAGAATTAATGTTTTATCAGCTATCTGAGTATCCCTTAGCTCAGTCAAATTGACACATACGATTAACTATTCTCTCTCTCTACAGACACACACACACAGAGGTGACCTTTGAACAACAGAGTTTGAAACTTCATGGGTACACTCATGCAGATTTTTAAAAATAAACATAGTGGAAATTTTTTGAACATTTGAGACAAATTGAAAAAAGTTGCGCATGAACCTTGTGGCCTGCAAATATCAAAAACTGAACGTTAGGTATGTCATGAATGCAAATAATATATGCAGATACTAGTCTCTTTTCAGTATTTACTGCCACAAAATTATACAAATCTAATATAAAAAGTCAACATTTATCAAAACTTTTGCATACACTGGCAGACCTTCACAGTGTCATTTATAGTCAAAAGAAATGTAAACAAATGTAAAGATGCAGTGTTGAATATTTCTATTTTATTTATATAAATATAGATATATATTTATATAATTATATATATATAATTGTATGTATTTCAAGGTTCTCTAGAAAAACAGAACCAAGAGGATATACATAGAAATACATATCACAACTGCATAAAGTTAACTGCAGCATACACTGCACTACTGTAGTAATTTTGTGGGTGCCTCCTGCTGCTGTTTTGGCAAGCCTGAGAGTTGTGAGTATCTGCTTAAATCCCTGTGTGCTGCTAGCCATCTTGGCATGGGCAGTTCATCTCCAGTAAATTGCATATCACAATAAAAAGTGATCTCTAGTGGTTCTCAAGTATTTTTCGTTGTGTTTAGTGCAATACTGTAAACCTTCGGTGACACCATGGGGCCCATACAGAGTGCCACTAGTGATGCTGGAAGTGCTTCCAAGAAGCAGAGAAAAGTTATGACATTGCAAGAGAAAGGTGAACTGCTTGGGATGTGCTGTAGACTGAGGTCTGCAGCCATGGTTGCCACTATTTCAGACAGACAATTCATCTTGTAAACAAACGACACAAACGTACAGTATCGATAAATACTGCAAAGTGCTGGAAATGTGTTTTCTCTTTCTTATGATTTTCCGAGCGTTCTCTTTTCTCTAGCCTACTTGATTCTAAGAATACAGTATCTAATACATATAACATACAAAATATGTTAATTGGCTGTTTTTGTTACTGGTGAGGCTACCCATCAACAGTAGGCTATTAGTAATTAAGTTTTGGAGGAGTCAGAAGTTATTCACAGATTTTTGAATGTGGGGAGTTTGGGTTGGCACCCCTAACCTCTGAGCTGTTTCAAGTCAACTGCATATATATGTGTGTGTGTGTGTGTATAATATGTATTCCACATATTTGTGTAGCTACACCTACACATATATATGTGTATATATTTATGTAAACAGATATATGTACACATATATGTGTATATATTTATGTAAACAGATATATGTACACATATGTATGCATATATGTTTATACACACCTATACACATACTTATAGACACACATATACAAATATATACATATATATATTCTGTTGTTCTGTTTCTCTGGAGAACCCTGATACAGTCACCATTTTCATGGAGCTCATTCTGTGAATCTATTTTAATTACAAATCCAGATAATTATTAATTGTAAAACGTTATAGTAAGAAAAACCCAAGCAACACTTAAGAAGAAATTGCTACAGTTTCAACCCACACCATTTGGAGTTAATTTTTCGGGCAGCATTATCGCGGAGATGGTCAGTGTAGGTAGAGGGTATGCAAAGAGAAAGCGGAGCTTGCATGCAAAGACGCATGGGCCGAAATTGGCTCCCACATGTGAGGACTGGCCTGGAAAATACTTAAAATGTATCTATCTGGGCCGGGCGCGGTGGCTCACGCCTGTAATCCCAGCACTTTGGGAGGCCGAGGCGGGTGGATCACGAGGTCAGGAGATCGAGACCATCCCGGCTAAAAAACGGTGAAACCCCGTCTCTACTAAAAATACAAAAAATTAGCCGGGCGTAGTGGCGGGCGCCTGTAGTCCCAGCTACTCAGGAGGCTGAGGCAGGAGAATGGCGTGAACCCGGGAGGCGGAGCTTGCAGTGAGCCGAGATCCCGCCACTGCACTCCAGCCTGGGCGACAGAGCGAGACTCCGTCTCAAAAAAAAAAAAAAAAAAAAAAAAAAAAAAAAAAAATGTATCTATCTGCAGACATAATTGAATTAACCATCCACAAATCTACAGGTTTCATTCCAGAAAAAATTCATTCCAGAAAAACGGAATTTTTGTCTTTCATTAAAAAGTCCAATCTGACCACTAGGCCCGCGTTTCTCCTTGGTAGCAATTGGTCTGAGCTTTCTGGCATTTACGGATTTTAGCAAGGCAGGACTTCTCAGTCTGGCACATGGACGCAGCGCTCACTGCCTTCTCTTTGATACCCGGTTTGTTTACCTTACCAACCGGCCCCGGTAATCACTTCAGGTTTGACCATTGCAGTCAAGGATATCTTCACATTATTTAGTGAGAGATGTCTAACACCAGCATGCAAGCGAGTGGCAATAAATTATTTCAGCAGACAGCCGCTGGGGAGCCATAATAACGCAGGTGCCATCAGCCAAGCTGAGCAGGACCGGCGGAATGACTTTTGACTCCTCCAAAACTTAATTACTAATAGCCTACTGTTGATGGGTAGCCTCACCAGTAACAAAAACAGCCAGTTAACATATTTTGTATGTTATATGTATTAGATACTGTATTCTTAGAATCAAGTAAGCTAGAGAAAAGAGAACGCTCGGAAAATCATAAGAAAGGGTCTAGGGGATTGAGGGCCTACATTCCACTATCCTTCTGCAAAGCATCTTCATGTGTTCCAGGTGGTAAGAGGGTCTTCTTAGACTCCATATGTAGCGCCAAGCAGATCCGATGAGAGAGTGAGCTGCCTTCCTTAGGAGCGTTGACTGCATTGTTGCTCTGGCTGCGTCTCTGCAAGCAGGAAGAGTGTTTGGTGGAGTTTCGGGCATCTGCATCTCCTTTTCCCTGGCAATCCGGCTGCTTCTGAACTTCCATCATTTTGACCTGGCTGCTTCCTTAGTTGGAGGTCTTTCTCATTGACTTTATTTTGTATTGCATCACCTGTCATTTGATATCTGAGAACACTGAGGGGCGCAGCAAACCTTAGATTTCCCAGTTGTTCATGTGTGGGACCCACCGTGATATTGTGAAAAAGCCCTGAGCTATATTCTCGGGTTTTCATCTCGCTGTGGATGCTGACGGCTTATGTGAGCCTGGATACCTCACCTTTCTTCTCTGAGTTTCAGCTTTCTCTCCACTCAGAAGGGCATTCATAACATCTCACCCCTGTGCTCCTAACCATTGTTCAACAACTCAATAAACACGAAAACGTGAAATGCATTTTGCTCTGCACACAATCGCTGCTCTGGCTAATGTAGCATCATTTCGCCCCTAGTCAAAATAGAAATTCAAATTCTAGTGCATAGGATGCCTTTGCTCTCTAATTGTTTTTTGACTTTTAGGGTTTTAATATTCCCAAAGATTCTGATTCAGAATAGAGGAAACCCAGCATGTATATATCCCCCAATAGTTTATTACAAAATGTTTTAGACGTGCAGTCATGTTTATCAGATTTTACACTTAACACCCATATACCCATCACCTAGATTCTATAATTAACATTTAAACCATGTCTGCTTTATCACATATCTATCAATCTGTTCATCCTTCTTGCATCTATTAATCCATCTTACTTTTGATGTATTTCAAAGTAAGATGCAAGCATAAATATACTCTACCCAACTATCTCAGCATGCCTCTCACTAATTCGAGTTTAATGTTTGTTCCTCTTATTGTAAACGTTACACACAATGAAATGCAGACATCTTAAATGTACCAATTGATGAGTTCCAACACATGCAAGCTCTGATTGAGACAAAGATCATCACCCGGGCCCCATAGAGTTCCTCTATGCATCTCCTTCATCAGTTCCCATCCTTAGGTAACCAGAGGAAATTATTGCTCTTTTTTTTTCCATCCTAGAGTAGATTTGCCTTTTCTAGAGTTTTTTATAAATGGAAGGATACAATATCCACGCTTCTGTGTAACACTTCTTTCACACGGAATATCCTGAGACTCATCCATGTAGTTGCATGTGGAAGACACTGTTATCTTTCCCTGCTGTGGAACTATTCAGTGCCTGCCCTTGCCATCAACGTTTATGCATTTTCTTCTTGGTGGACACGTGGGCTTTTTCTAGTTTGAGGCTATGCTAAATAAAGTCACTATGAATATTTGAACAAAGAAAATCTACACACAGTCACACATCCAAATTACCATGATCCACAATTGTATTTTAAAAACTCATTGGAGAATTTGGACTCTAGAATTTGTTTCAGAGAGATCTAATGATCTAAGGGCAAATTCTACCTCTCCCACTTACTAACTGGGTGAGCTCACGTGAGTCCCATGACCTCCCTCGGTCACCCTGAGTGAGATGCATGGTGGATGCTCCACAAGCTGAAGCTGCTAAGATGAAATGATAAGCACGGATGAATGCTGTCTGGGCAATGGATGCATCAAGCCTCCCTCTTCTCTCAGGTCTGGCTCCTCAGGCCTCTGAAAAGCAGGAGCTTTCATCTCAGCTCTCCCTGGAGTGGTCCCCTGTGGGCTTCCTCTCCAGCGCCCTCTGCTCATTCCTCATCCCCAGCCCGGCCCACAACCATCCTCACAGTAGTGAGTCCACAGCTGGCCGATGAGCCCCTGGGAGAGATGTCTTTGTGTAGGCGCAGGGTCTCCATGGCTGCCCCTGGCTGTGCAGTCACCTAGCACCACGACACAGAGCTGCTTTGCTCTCCTGAGCCCACCAGATGGATTTATTTATTGTTTTTATTTGTATAGCATATGAGTAATATTCCAAGTAACATCTTTTCAATGTGTCTATCTAACCCTTCGTTACCTACATTGCATCCATTCACTGAAACAACAGTTCTCAATGAAGTATAGAAGTCGCATTCTAAGAAACATTTACAAAATTAATTTAATTTTCATCAGACTGATTTTAGAAAGAAATTACTTGAAAGCCACGAAATTGGCTTTCCTCAGAATCCAAGGAAAAGAATCTAAGGAGTAATTATTTCCAAGCAGAGGTACTGGGGTTAGTGCACCCCCAGTTTACAAACAGACCCTCTGGGCCGGGCGCGCTGGCTCACACTTGTAATCCCAGCACTTTGGGAAGCCGAGGCGGGCAGATCATCTGAGGTCAGGAGTTCAAGACCAGCCTGACCAACATGGAGAAACCCCATCTCTACTAGAAATACAAAATTAGCTGGGTGTGATGCCGCATGCCTAGTAATCCCAGCTACTCAGGAGGCTGAGGCACGAGAATTGCTTGAACCCAGGAGGCGGAGGTTGCAGTGAGCCAAGATTGTGCCACTGCACTCCAGCCTGGGCAACAAGAGTGAAACTCCGTCTCAACAAAAAAAGAAAGAAAGAAAGAAAGAAAGAAACAGACCCTCTGCCCTGGGTGCAGGCCTGCCTGCCTCCCAGATCCCATCTCCCACTTCCCGCCTTAGACCCTGTGTGGGACACCGGGCACCGTCCAGGGCAGGCCTCCCTCTGCCCGCCAGCTCCACACAATTCAACAGGCGGCGTCAAGGCAGCACGACCTTATTCCAGACACTGTGCACAGCATGAAGCTTCACTCACGTTTGTTACTTTGCCTTCTCTCAAATCTACGTGACTCTAGTTCACCTAAAATGTGACTGTGCCCTGTGTCTGAGTCAGCGTGGATTCCACTGTGCGCTGTCGGGAAGGGGCAGTGAGGCCCGTTGTCACCCACAGGCAGTGAAGTTTCCTGTAGAGGGGAGTCTGTCATCCTGAGTTCCTGCAGGGTGAGTACCTGCGGATGAGGTCACCTCTTGATAGCCCGTTAGCATGCATGGCAGGGACACCTTGCTGCTTTTCATGGTGCGTGTAGCAACTGAGCTTTATCCTCATTTCCCACTAGCAAGCATTTACCCTCTGGGATTGTGCTGTCTAAAACCCATAATCAGGAAGGAGCTTTTGCTTTTTTTAAAAAAAAACTTTTCCTTATTCACAATGGTCTTTAAAAAAAATCCCTAAATATTTTCTTTCTCTAAGTTAGTGTGTACTTTCTTCCCTTTGCATTGGGAATAGCAGATCAAAAATGGGGTCAATTTACTTCTAATTGGCTGCTTCCTAAATTCAGAAAGACACACTTTGGCAGTGCCCCTTTTTCGAAATGAGCCCACGGTGCACATGCAAGCCACTTCTGCTGTTTGTGTCTCCTCTCCCTCCGTCTTCAGGTGCATTTTAAATTTCTTTTTTATTATTATTATTTTTTTTGAGATGGAGTCTCATTCTGTTACCCAGGCTGGAGTGCATTGGCAGTGGTCTCAGCTCACTGCAAGCTCTGCCTCCTGGGTTCAAGCCATTCTCCCACCTCAGCCTCCGGAGTAGCTGGGACTGTAGACGTGCGCCACCACGGCTAGCTAATTTTTGTATTTTTGTATTTTCCATAGAGACAGGGTTTCACCATGTTGGCCAGGCTGGTCTTGAACTACTGACCTCATGATCCACTTGCCTCGGCCTCCCAAAGTGCTGGGATTATAGGCGTGAACCACCACGCCCGGCCTTAAATTTCAAACTAACACTTAGACAATAAAGAGTAGCCTGCAAATAACTCCTAGCATTCATAGAGGTTTTGTGGTCACCCTGCGGTAAGAATGGGATTAAATTCCTGTTCAACAGTGTCCATCCAGGGACGGGAAAGAGGACAACTTCCCTTTGGCTACATTCAAATGGAATAGAATTACCTCTAACGTATGGCTACATTCAGATGGCATAGAATTATCTCTAACGTAGTCTAATTACAGCAAACATGATTGATTTCTGACCCATCAGCCCCTCCCCCTTCCTTGGTGACTTCACAGCCACCCTTGGCTTCTGCATTCGTCCTGTCCCTGGCTATGTGCTGGGGGAACATGATCTCCCAGCCACAGCAGACGAGTCATTGTTTACTAAGCCCGTCTCAGGGATCTCCTCGTTCATGTCAGTGATTGGTCCAGTTTCATGTGACCTGAGCAACTTCTGGGGATGTTTTCTTATTTCATAATATGAATGCTACAGCCACCAGTAACAACAATAATTGAATATTTCAGAAATAAATACGAATAACAACCACCAATAACAGCAGAGATGGAATCCTACCAGAATCAACCACCTCTTCATTTTAATCTGGGTGCAGTCTTTAACCACCAGTCCAGGACCCAGAATTGCACTGGAATTATCACCCCTAACAGCAGCCCCGATCAGATGCCTGTGGCAGTTACATTTGCCCTAGGGTAGCTCTGAGGTGTGTGTTTCACACCTGCTCCCAGAGGTCCCAGTGGGATTAACCTCCAGTGACCCATTGAGGCAATTTTCTTGGTCACGAACCTGTGGTTCCTTTTAGGTCTTACTCCTCATCTTTCCCAGTGATTCTTGGATTCACCTCTTAAAAAAGCTTTCTGCACGCGAATCCTTGTCTCAGGCTATCTATTTGAATGAAACTACATGAAGGTAGATGTCCTTGTGGCACCATGAGATGCTTGGAACTACAGTGGACATCTTGGGACCAGGAGGAGAACCTGAGAGTAGAGCCTTATTGAGCTATGGAATTGACCAACCGTGATACTGCTCCTCCTATGGATTCTATGGTTTGTAAGAGGATAAACCCATTATTTATTTAAGCAACTTCTAGATCGTCTTCTGTTACTTCAAGCCACAAGCATCTTCACTGGTCTGCTGACATGTGCTCCAGACTCTTGTATCGTACCATTAAACTCACTATGGCACTTCTGGTTGATTTAATCAGCCAACAGAAAACTACCAAAAATTGGTTCCATCACTCGGCTTCTTTGAGTCTCTTCCCGTAGAATTGAAGAAACAGCTGGCTTTATTTGCCATTCAGCAAAAATCACACACCCACTGTTCTGCAGGGACTTAGAGTTGAAGTAGGATACGTCCATTTCAACTAAAAACGTTCAGTTTCCATCCACCCACCACCAAACCCCCAGTAGAAAAATTAAAACTTTCCTCCTTTTTATACGGTAGCAGCCAGTGGGTGATAATTTAACTTTTGTTTGCAGATTTCAGTTCTCAGCAGCCAGTCATCTCACAGTAGAGCTGGGTAGAATTAGGCTGGCACTTCAGTGGAGTCATTTCATAAAGCCTGCAGGGTCAGCGTTGAGGGTGTTACATAAATC
This sequence comes from Homo sapiens, assembly GCF_000001405.40. NCBI lineage: Eukaryota > Metazoa > Chordata > Mammalia > Primates > Hominidae > Homo > Homo sapiens. The sequence continues at coordinate 129,569,671 of NC_000012.12, read as the reverse complement.
GGCACGCTGTGTAACCTTGAGCAGTACTTGTATTTTGTGCTTACATCTTTTGCAAATTACGTTGTGAAAATTTTAATAAAATTGTGTTTACCCCTTTGAATCCTAAAATGTCTTAATACCAAGGAGAAATGCCTTTATTTGCCTTTGCCTCTCTATACCATGTACTTCATACTGAGTCTAGCATGTGATAGGATCTCAATGAATATTTATATTACAGATCAAATCCAAGGAGATGGTGGCACTTACATACTTGCTAAGCCTGGTGGCAGGAGTAGCACTGTAATGTCAACCTGAAAACTCTTGTCCATTTTTTTTGTACCTGTGCAATAAAACTCTCCCCAGATATCCAAGTTTACCTTCAATTTGATTCCAGCTACTGGTTGCCCTGAGCATCTTTGCACTTGTAGTGCAGAGACATTGATCTATTAAGTCAGAAGATCTTTAGCATTGTGTAAACCCATTTGAGATCTCATTGATCAGGTTATTAGGTTAGGATGCCTGTTCTTCCCGTTACCTACTGTAAATCTTTCCAAATGTAGCTGTCAGCAGCTTTAGTAGTCAGCAGCTAACCATGTTATCTCACACTAAGATATTCCAGGGTAGTGGCTCTCGAAGTGTGGACCCAGGACCAGCAGCATTTGTTAGATGTACAAATTCTCCTGTCTCACCCCAAACCTGCTAACTCAGAAACCTCAGGTATGGGGCCCAACCTTCTGTGATTTAATCCCTCCCAGGTGACTCTTATGGATGCCAGGGTTTGAGAGTCACTGCTTTAAGAGTGGAGATTGTGCCCCTATTTATACTGACATCTTAGCTTCCTGACCTGTGATTCCAGTTACTGTAGAAATCTATGGTTGAATGTGGTTTTCCTTTATGCTGAACCAACCAAACAACAAAACCAAGCAAATTCAAGTTATCTTCAAACATACCATTAAATATAATGAATTGGAGATACCAATAAGATAACATGAAATATAGAATAATGAACCAAACATAAGAAGTTTGTGTTGCTTAATATGTTTCAAGGACTTTAAACACTTTGTTTCAGAAACACTCTTCTTAAGAAATGAACTGCCTCTCCACAGATTTGCAAGTGGGACTGCTTACAGAAGAGAATAGTTCGATTTGAGATTTTTTGAAAGCAACAGATGCATTCACATATAATGCTGTTGATATAATAAAAGATAATTCCCAAGAGACAGTCAGACAGAAAATTGTGTCATAAAACAATGGTTTCTTAGTACTCTGGGGTATGTCTGCTCCCAAGAAATGAAACTCTCCTCTAGTTCCACTCACAGGGAATTGCGTTTGTCAGTGCGTTGGATTATGGACCAGGGGGTGACAGGATCTCCTCCAGGTTGTCGTGTAAGTTGCCTGGTAGCAAGTGACAAAACTTGCTCAAGTGGACTTACTAGCCAAGGGAATGCCTGCCTTAGGAAACTGAAAATTCCAAATGTGAGGTGGCTTTAAGGAGACTGGACTCCACACTGCAGCAGCACACCTGCAGGAACTCTGCCTTTGCAGGAAGCTGCTGTATCCTCAGACTGTTCCTGCCACCCAAGCAGTTTCCATCTCCCCACTTAGAGCTCCTGTAATAGACACCTCATGCCAGAGTGAACAGAATGGGAGAGAAATGAAAACTCTTTTCCTTTTTAAAATGCCCAGAACCCCTCCTGAACTGCTCACTACTCAGATGGCAATCCATCCCTAAACCACCTATGGTGGTCAGACATCAAGACATATGGGAGATATGCTGATTGGCTTAAACTGGTGGTTCTCAATCTTTTTGGTCCCTGGCTCCTTTTATTCTGTTCAGAACTATTGGAGATTCTGCAAAGTCATTTGTTTATGTAGGTTATACCTATAGATGTGCACCATATTATAAACAAAAACTGAGAAAATTAAAAAATATATATTTATACATTTATTTTAAAAAGCAATTGTAAAGCCATTAAATGGTAACATAAATGATGTAATTTTATGAAAAACAATTATATCCCCCCCAAAAGAAAATCACTGTGAAAGGTGGTACTGTTTACAATTTCGTAAATGTCTTTAATGTCTGACTTAGCAGATACCAGCTAAATTCTCATATCTGCTTTTGCATCCACTCTGTAGCAATAATGTTTTTATTGAAGTATAGTTAGACTATTCAGCCTCATATATATATGTAGTTGGAAAAGAGAATATTTTAATAGCTTTTTCAGATTATTGCATATATACTTTTTTAATACTACACTAAAACTTGTCACGTGGTGGCTTCTTATAGTTAGTTGCAATGTGGATTCTAAAATCCTATCAATGAACTTCTGGTCTATCTTGCATTTTGAATGGTTCTTGTATCTACACGTGATTGTATAATATCATGAATTGGTAATTTGGAAAATATTGATTCACTAGTGATGTTGCACTTCCAAATGTTGACCCATTTCATTTTACAATATCAAAAAATCACATTTTCTTTTAAATATCAGCACCAATGTCATCAGGAAAGCTTGCAAGTATTGTTGACAAAGAGTCAAATACTGTAAAATATTTGAAGAGATTTATTCTGAGCTAGATATGAGGACCATGACCTGTTACATAGCCCCAGGACGTCTTGAGAACTGGTCAACAAGGTAGTCCAGCTACAAGCTGGTTTTATACGTTTTAGGGAGACATGACGTCAGTCAATACACGTAAGATGTACATTGGTTAGGTCTGGAAAGGCGGAACAACTTGAAGCAGGAGTTTCCAAGTCATAGGCAGATTCAAAGATTTTCTGACTGGCAATTTGTTGAAAGAGTTATTATTTAAAGACCTGGACTCCATAGACAGGAATGTGTGAGTTAAGATAAGGGGTTGTGGAAATCAAGGTTCTTACTAGACAGATGAATCCTAGAGGCTTAGGTAAATAGATTATAAATGTTTTTTATCAGACATAAAATGGTGCCAGGCTCTTAGTTAATTCTCTCCTCAATCAGGAAAAGACCTGGAAAGGGAAGGGGATTCTCTACAGAATGTAGATTTTCCCCACCAGAGACAGCTTTGCAGGGCCATTTCAAAATATGTCAAGAAATATATTAGTGGGTAAAATACTTTGATTTCTTTCAAAGTCTGCTATCACATTGATATCTTATTGCTACAAAGAGTCTGTTTTGTCAGTCTTACAGTCTCTATTTTAATATTAATGCTGGTCATTTCTGCCTGAAATCCAAAGAGAGGAGAGTATAATGAGGCACGTCTGACCCCCCTCTTTTTATAATGGCCTGAACTAGTTTTTCAGGTTAACTTCAGAAGGACCTTGGCTAAGAGGAGGGGGTTCATTCAGTTGGTTAGATGGCTTAGAATTTTACTTTTGGTTTGCAATGTTGAGATGCTTTCGAAATCACAGTAGCAGATACCAGTTTTCCAAAATTCTGATTTCTGCCTTCAACCTGTAATTTGATCATTGGTAACAAATATTGCCAGTTTATTTGTTTATTATTTTTTGACATCACTAGCTCACTTTGTTCATTTTTCAGAAAATCTTTGTCAAATACTTAATCAAAATAACCATAATTTCTTAGTCATTCTTTTCAGTGAAAATGGTGTTCCCTGAAAAACTCAAACTTAGCTTACAGCTCAATCACCTAAGTGCTTTTCTTCAAGACAGCCATAGGAATTCAGTGTGCGGTATAGTGCTATACGCATTTTGTCACAGACCAGTAAAAAGACGTGCATTTGAGGACAAATATTTAATAAAAGTAATAATGTTTACTGCATCTTCAAGGACATCCCTAAGTGAAACTGGCACTTCTCACATTGTGAGTGTGCTTCCGTGACTAACACTATCACTGGGAAGTGTGGGTCCTTGGTTCTCAGTCTTCTTAGGAGAAAGAATTCGACCAAGAGACCAATCAGTAAACCAAGCAAAAGGTTTATTAAGGAAATAAGATTCCTCTCCAAGAAAGGAGCGGGCTGACCCAGCTGGGAGCTGCAGTAGCAGCGAGGGTTAAGTAGTAACAGAGTTTGCTTAAAAGAGACAGTTCGCTCTGAAAGACCAGGCAGAATGGGCTGCTGGAAACCAAAAATAAAATTCTCAGCCACCCAACCCATTGAATGACCCCCTCCTCTCAGCCAAGGGCTTTCTAAAGTTAGCCTGAAAAACTAGTTCAGGGCATAATGGAAAGAGGGGCTTGCACCTGCCTCATGATACCCTCCTCCCTTTGGAATTCAGGCACACCTGATGAGCATTAATTTTACAACACCTTAGGACTGACCAACAGACTCTTTGTAGCAATAAGATATCAACATGACAGCAGCCCTTAGAGTTCTTTCCTGTGGTTTTTATTGGGTCAAACTCTTTCTTTAAGTCCCTGCCTCTATCTCAAGTCCCTGCTTTTGTCTAGGTCTAGTTTCCTGCTTCTGTGTGAGGTTTCCATCTTTGTCCCACCTAGTTCCCAACCAGGTTTGTGGGATTCTTCTTTACTGTCAGCTGATGCACCTGTGTGGGGCTGGTGATCAATATGAATCTCATCTGATGGCAGTGTTGCTCCTTGCTGCCACCCCAGGAAGGGCATAGAGCAGGGAAATCTGTACTTTCTGCACTTGTGTGTCTCTTAGGAATTTCCCGTTCACCCATTTTTCTTCTCATCAGCATGTGGCTAGCCACATTCTGACAGTTTAACCACAGAGTGAGTAATTAGGCATCTTAAGGGACATTTGGGGGCATTTCTTCCTGCATAGGTATTTCTCCTCCTTCCTTTCTCAGGGGCTCCCCACTTTTCTCATACCTAGTCATCTGCCTACTCCAACAGTACACCAATTCCTAGCACAGTTGGGTTTCGCTACCTTCCATGGTCATGCCAGCCTGACAACAATACCCATCATTGCCTTTGCACCATCAGTACAAATGGAAGCACAGTGACAAATGTGAAAAACATCTTGGTTTCACTGTGAAAATAGTTTTGACTTTGCAGAACCCTTGAAAATATCTTGGGGTTCCCTCAGGACTTCACAGATATTTCATTGAGAATCCCTGACTTAAGCCATTGAGAACATACTTGTAATTAAGAGTAGGGTCATTTCCAGCCAATCCACATGGCTTGAGAGTGGCCGAGGGACGTGTTCACTGGAGAAATACAAGTGAATTGCTTTAACGAAAGAAGGGTAAAAGAAAGTTGAGTGGCAAAAATAGCAGACGCTCAAGATAACTGTCCAAGGAGACTGTGGGCTTCTTCCTCCGCAAAGTGCTTAAAGAGGAGGGAAAACATGACCTTGTCCCAGATGATTCAGTGATTTCCTTGCCAGAAGGCACCAGGTTGTCATATCATGTTCCTTTTAGTCTGTTAATTCTGTCAGATCTTATGAACATGCAGAAACTTTCTGCCATGTGTTTTGCAGGAACTATGCCACATGACATATCAGAAAAATCCCTGGTTTTGTTTTAATAGACTTGACAAGTCAAGGAGACTTAGATTCTAAGACCAGAGCTGCCCTTAATTAGCACCTGGACTTTAGGCATGTCATCAGCTTTGAGTATCAGTTCTCTCATCTATGTAAGATTTAGTGATTACCTAGGCAGGTCAGCTAGGTGCTCACTACAACTGCCATGTGCCTGATACTTTGGGACTAATTAATGAAAATACCCTGAAACGTCTTAGTTATACCTGAAATATTTTCAATGTTTAAAAGTAGCTGTTGCCCATCTTCAGAAATAGAAGCTGCTTCCTATCAGCCAGGAGTTTGATTCTGTCTTTTGTATCATTTCCTTTATCCCCAAACGCTGTCCCAAGGCTAACATTTATCTGGCACAATGCAGTACCGCCATGTCAGCATTCATGGCCATCCTGATTGGTCTCTTAATGTATTGATTGTTCAGTATTTTTTAAATATTATTACTGGGTACAAGATTCCATCTCAGATGGGTGTTCTCTGTGGGTTGAATGTCTGTCTGTGGGTTGAATGTCTGTGGGTTGACCCTCCCTCTTGTCTTCCCCACAATCCCAGATCTTCTTCCAGCCAGGCTGTCCTTCCCTCAGGGTCCTGAATCTATCCTAAAAGGACAACTTTATTTGACCTTTGATGTTTAATATGGAGGGAGCCTTTATGCACTTCAGATTTTTCAGAATGAAATATCTACCAGAAACAGACACATCTCTCTTGTCACCTCCCTCGTAGGTTGACCACAGTGCCTGATTACATTGCCAACTCCGTGTGTCTAAGCATGTCTTCCCACTCTCCCCTCTTAGAAAGATTAAGAAGGAGATCAAAGAAAGAGGGCTGGGAAAAGATATCCATCTATATCCTCAGCTATGCACAGGTGCACACATACCCAAAACTAAGAGCACTGAGGATCAAAAATACATAAAAGAACAAACTAAAGCTGTATGCCTTCTAAAACAGCAGAAATTTATGTCACTGTGTCCCTTGAACAAGATCTTGAAGGTTTTATGAAAATGGACAAGAGAAGACGGAATAATATGTTTAAACATTACTTTGGAGAGTTTTATCTTGCAGTTATTCTCTACTGCCTACTTTTAGCATTCCAGATGTATGTTTGGAATAGACCAAAGCACCCCTGGCCTCAAAAAAAATTAAATGCAAATGTGATGATTTTATCAGCATACTTGTTGATCACGTAGTACACACAAGGCCAGGGCTATCTTGATGAAAAGTATACAGATAAAGGCGCTTGCTGTTTCCTGTGATAAATTAGGCCTTGCTTATATCAATTACAGCACAAGATGGTAGGTGCCGTAATAGAATTATCTACAGAGTTCTACTGGAGTACAGGGGATGCTTATCTGATTTGGTCAAAGCAGATTAAATCAGAGAAGTCTTCCCAAGAGGACTTTCTGTAAACCGGGTCTTAAAGGAAGCACGGGGTTTCTCCAGGTGGAACGAAGGTTGGGAGGATATTCTACACCCAGGAATAGCATGAGCAAGGGCCCTTTAACATGCATAGAGGGCATGGGTGATTTGGGGAGTGGCAGGGAGAACAGTGGTTAAGTTCTTGCACACACAGTCTTAGTTGATCCTGTTGTTTGGGCTAAGCAAGTTCTTACCATTTCCCGTATTAGAAAATTGAGGTTCAGAGACATTATGATCCAAGGAGAAAGAGCTGGTAAATGCCAGATCTCTAGATCTTGAGTCTGGGTCTTCCTTCTGTAAGAGTACAGATATTTATACCCTTCTATGAGGTTCCAGAATCCATGCAGTGACTCAGGGCTTGTTCACAACCTCCCTGATTGAATCTGTTCTCTGTTGACAGGTTATCTACCTGTAAAATGATCTGTTTAATAACCTGATGTGAAGGAAAAATGCTTGCTAGTAGGGAATGGCGTTCGAGCTGGGTAACTTGGTCTGCAGCAACACTCTGGTCTTCACTAAGAGTAGAGTGTGCCTCAAATCCATTACAATCTACTATGGAATAATCTGCAAATACATTGCCACTTTTCAAACACATGAACCCAGATATGACCTGGATCTGGTGAAATGATGAAAATCCACTGAGATGGATTATCCACACTCAAATACCTGGGATTTTGGAAAAATCCTTGTTTAGCTGAAGCCCAAGTCCTTCATGAATTTTATGAATTAATTAATCAATACATAGTATATTCTATACAAAATTTCAGTGTTTCACTGTAAAATGTTCCTCAAGAAGGTTTTTAGAAAATACAACAGTCATTAAAATAAAGTGGCATTTCTATTTCTGGAGGTAAGTCCACTTAAACGCTCTGAATTAATTTGCACAGAAACTTTTCACCTTCCTTCAGTTCAAACGGATACTGTCCAAAGAGTCTGACTCTAACTCACAGCAGCAACAATTCATAAGCTGAGCCTTAACTGGTCTTCTGCCCTTTTGATAATTAAATTTATTTCTGAAAACCTCCTGAGATTTATATTCTTAATATCTCAATTTGGATGAGGGCTGATTTCTTATCTGGACAGAATGTTTCCCTTTCTGAAATGTTAATTGGGCAGAGAACCCAGAGATAAACAAATTGATTTAATTTTAATCTTCTTTCATGGTGATGCATAATGATAACTGGTTTCTGTCTCATAGGGTTGAAAACCTCAGCCCTTAATAAGAGTTTGTGGGTATATTATGCAGCTTTAAATAGCTTATGTTGTGCTAGACTGCTCTCCATAAATTATTCTAACTCCAGCACTATCTCGGGGAGTCCCAATTCTTGTCTGCTGTGGATTTTCAATCAGTGAAACTATTAGTGTGACATGAAGAAACTCTGAGCCCTCTGCTATGAAGAACAGCTGAGATTCCATGCCTAGCGTTCCATGAATGAAATTAGTTCTGGAGAACATACATTGGTCTCTGTTGCCAAGTGAAAAGCAGTGCTTGCTGTCAGGGAGGATTCAAAACCTAGGCTCCCATGCAAGGCATTTGAAGGATCTATGCATAGCTCTCATATTGGTTGGATGAGTGGTTCAGACTGTTTATCCCAAGTTAGGGATAGTTAGTCTGGTTAGACTCAGGATGATAAGGTCATAGACTCTTACAGACATGTTTTTACGTTCCACCTTAAGTATCATCTCTCAGAGAGGCATTCCCTGAATCTCGCAAACCAAATTAAGTCCCCAATTTTCTTTCTCATGGCACCTTTAACTTTTCCTTCCTTCCTTCATTGCACTCTCCATTATCTGTCATCCAGTAATTATCTGTTTAATGCCTGTCTCCCTGCAGTCTGTTGCCACCATTCACTAATATCTACTGGGCAGAGAAGTAGTTCATACTTCTCCATCACTGTGAAGCTAGAAATTCTCATATAATTTTCTCTAAGGAAGGAAAAATAAATGTGAAAGTGACGCGTGGCTTACAGGGAGACACAAGTAGAACTAACATGAAAGTTTCATCTTCTCCAATGGAGGTGTCTGGCAGCATTCCCGGTGGCAGAGCCACTCTTGACTCTCCCTGAAGAAGGTTGTCACCCACCCTTGGTGAGCAAGTACCTGAATGGGAGATAAACTTTTGTTGTTTGTTTTATAGGTGGTATTTGTTACCACAGCATAAGCTACCTTCACCTGCCTAATTTATTCCTACCTGGGTGTTAAGCTCTTTGAGAGTATGAACCAGGACTAGTTTGTCTTCTTGTATATCTCTAGCAATTAACAAGTGCTGGCCGGGCGCAGTGGCTCATGCCTGTAATCCTAGCACTTTGGGAGGCTGAGGCGGGTGGATCATTTGAGGTCAGGAGTTCAAGACCAGCATGGCCAACATGGTGAAACCCTGTCTTTAATAAAAATACAAAAAAATTAGCTGGGTGGTAGTGGTGCACACCTGTGATCCCAGCTACTCGGGAGGCTGAGGCAGGAGCGCTTGAGCCTGGGAAGTGGAGGTTGTGGTGAGCCGAGATCGTGCCACTGCACTCCAGCCTGGGTGACAGAGTGAGACCCTGTCTGAAAAAAAAAAAAAAAAAGAAAACAAAAGCAAAAAAACTACAACAAAAAACAAGTGTCAGACACAAAGAAGATGCATGTTGAATGTTAAGTGTTTTCAAAGAAGATGTACATTAAGACCCCTGGATGTCTTGCTTGGTGCCCACCTATGAAGAGTTGAGCCCACTCCTAGAAATCTACATATTGCCACACACTTTATGTGGTTGCCCATAGAGCTGTCAGCGTTACACTTTTCACATTGAATTAAAATATGCTTCCTTTAACATTCATACATTGTTCTGGCCTCAACAGCTGTTGGTTTTCCATCCAAACCCTCCTTACCCTGAACAGTACTCTTTTCACTGGAGGCCAGCAGCTGTATTCCACGTGCATGCTATCCTGTTTTCCCAGGGGGTTTTCTCCATGAACATGTTCCTTGGATGGTTGGATTTAGATTAGATTCACACGACAGAAAGCAAGGGTATGCTTGTGATTTTTACATCGATAAATATTGTAAAGAAATTGAAGTATATTAAGGCAGGCTTAATATTAAAGATTCTATCAAGTTGACTTTTTGAGGGGATTGTATTCCAGCATAGAGCCCAAGGTAGAAGGACTTTTAATAAACACTTCTGATTCAGGAAGCAAGAAGAATTCTAGGTTACATCATGACATCTATGTTAGATGAAGAGGAATGAAATTAAAATAGAGATTTACCATTTATGCTCTTAGATGGTAATAACTTATGAAACCTCTCACACACGTAAAATATTACATGTGCGTAAGACTCACAGGCTTTTGTACCTGCTGGAAAAAATAACCAGCGTCTTCCCATTTGTGTGGGCGAGTTGTGCTGTGATTGTTCATCTACGAGACCTCTCGTCTCCTTTTAGACCCCTGAGGAAATTTGCTAATTGCAGAGGTCTTAAATTGGGCTACGTGTATACCTGTTGCTATGCAAAACCATTCAAAGGATATATGGATGTAAATAGTTTCAAGAGTATCTGTTTTCTGAGTTCTCTACTTCTGTGTATTCTCTTTCCTAAAATTGATCTGCCTAAGAAAAATACCTAGAGTTAAAGAACTCAGCTCCACATTTGCCTTTGTACCTACTTTATAAATAAAGCCATTTTGTCACTTATCTAGGTGGATTGTGTTGGGTTGTAAAACCTTATGGGCTGACAGCCCTGTAAGACATTTAGGGATGCTGATGTCTTTGAGAAAGTGGATTACTCTAATGGTCTTTGAGAAAGTGGATTACTCTAATGACTGGATATCAACTCCTTTGGCATCCATGTAATTTCTGATTCTTTGCATTCAACAAAGTAGGAGGAGAATGTGTTCATATTGTCAGATCTTGAAATATCACTCTTGATGACGGATTACTGTACAGTTTTTGTCGTAGGAGTTCCAATAATTGAGTGCCATTACTATGACAAAGTACACTCCATTCAGTGTTTCTCAGGACAACATTTATAACATTGAAATGTAGGGATTGAGTTGAGGCTATGCTGTCTTGCTCTTGGAGTAAATGCAACGCTTCTCCAGTCCATGGACCCGTCTCCTTAGGGGAGAATGCCTCAGCACTAGAACATCAGTTATCAGTCATTGACACTCCCTTTACATTCTCTTCTGCATTTCAGAAGAGCACGCTTCACCTGACTTTCCCAGATTCCCTTTTCCCGTGTGGTCCTGGGTTACGGTCTGCCAATGAGAGGCATGAGGTTTTGGAAGGTAGACAGAAAGTCACTGTGTCCTGTGGCTTCACAGAGATTGCTCACGTTCCCAGCAGCTTAGGAGCCCACGCTCGAAATCACCCACTGAGCTGATCTAGTCGCCTGTAGCCCCCTGATCCTTACCCCTTGCTTGCCAGTGGTTTCTAATTCCTCATTTTAAACACTCTCTAATTGAAATATTCTAAAGCTGCTTTAGTTTTTCTGTCCAGATGAAACCCATAGGAATGGGACCCTTCCCTGACCACATGAAGTAGGCTGTGGTCACATGACTTGCTTTGGCCCAAACGATGTGTGTCACTTCCATGTAGAAGCATTTCTGAGCCAGAATGTGATCTTTCATGCTGTCTCTTCATTTGGTCAGGAAATTCCAAAGCAATGTGTAGTGAGGGCAACATCCGTCCTAAGATGGGTTCCATCAGCCTGGATTCTTGCCTGTCCCTATAAACATCAAATTTGAGCAAGTGATACATCTTTGTTAAGCCAGCAAGAGTTGGGGTTGTTACTTCAGCATATACACCACCCTGACTATGTAACCCCATTCCTGATAGCACTCATTTCTGATAAATGGTTCACTGTATTATGTTGAGTAATTGCTCTTTAAAATATATAGTTTATTTTACTGTCTTTTTGCTTATGTGTATACTGAATATAATTAAAAGGAAATCTCAATGTAGAACTTTATGTATTTTAAAATATTTAGTTGACAAATACAGATTGTACCTATCCAGGGTATACAATGTAATGATTTGATATATGCGTATGTTGTATAATCATTGTCACAATCAGATTTACCCATCCATCAGCCCCATGCTCAATGTCAGAACCATCACTTGTCCATGCTTTTGTTTTGTTTTGTTTTTGAGTCAAGGTCTTGCTCTGTTTCTCAGGCTGGAGTGCAATGGTGTGATCACAGCTCACTGCAACCTCCATCTCCAAGGCTCAGGCAGTCCTCCTGTCTCAGCCTCCCAAGTAGCTGGGACTACAAGCATGCCTTACCACACCTGGCTAATTTTCTGATTTTTTTGTAGAGACAGGGCTTCCCTGTGTTGCCCAGGCTAGTCTTGAACTCCTGGACTCCAGTGATTTTCCTGCTTTAGCTTCCCAAGTTGTTGGGATTACAGGTGTGAGCCATGGCACCCGGCCATAACTTGTTCATCTTATAACTGAAAGTTTGTACCTCTTCACCCCTTAAACACGTCTCCTCATTTCTCTCATTTCCCACACCCTGGCAGTCACCATTATACTGTCTGTATTTATGAGTGAACATTTAGAGCCTATAAGCACAGATAAAAAATAAATTTGAATCTATATGCATATTTTTACTGCTGAGAAGTATGACAGAGTAATCAATAAAAGATATTTGAACGTAAAAATAGAACACATTAGAGCAAAATTCTGTGGCATAAGTAAAATAAAAATGGAAGCTAAAAAAAGTAAACCGCTATAAAACTTAACTCTGATAAGGAAGAGGTTGTCTATATATTTCTTTAAAAGTGAATAATGGTGGGTATCAAATCACCATGGTATTTAGATTCCAGTGAACACTTTTAAAAGAAGGATATAACAGTTTAATTTTAAAATGTCAATAGTTACAATATACTGAAAATTTCAACCTTTGCAGCTTAGGAGGGAAAATTTTAAATGTCAACTTTAAAATGTGCCTGGGGATACAAAGTTTTGTCAAAATTATTCTGGAGCATTTCTCTCCAATAGAATTTTCTGTGGTGATGGCAGTGTTCTCTAACTTCACCGTCTAATATGGGAACCCCCATCCACATGTGGCTGTGAGTTCTTAAAGTGATGCTGCGCAGCTGAGGAGCTGAATTTACTTCATTTTATTTTAACTAATTGAAATTTAAATAGATTTCCATTATCAGGGGCTATCGTTTTGGACATTGGATTTCCCAGATGTATGCAAATAAGGTAACTAGGTTATTGGACTACCAGGTATAAAAAAGCTCCAAGTAAAATTGCAAAGTTATTTCTATTCACTGCTTTAAAAGGAAGGCAACCTATTATATTAGTATTTGAGGTTTTTTCTACCATTTTCGGTCACCACTGAGACAACCCTCTGCTTCTCACTAAAACACCTCTGGGGGAAAAAAAAAAGCTCCACCCCATTGCCAGGGGAAGACATGATAAGAACCAGTGTTCTGGCGAGAGACATGCTAGGATTTGCGCTCAGCTTGGACCCATGGAGCAGAGTCTTCGGGACCTGCCTCTGCTCGGTGCCGATCCAGGTGTCAGGTGGGCAGGTGTTGGCAGGGGTGGTGGCAGAGGCAGAAACAGCACCTTTTTTTCTAATGTTGGTGCACAGACAGCTGCTGGGTGAGACGAGCAGCGGTGGAATGTTTGTGTTAGAGAATGAAACAGAACAGAGCATGACTGTTCTTCCCAAAGCCTTGCACCTGCCTCGGGACTGACTTAAGCAACCTTGATACTCGTGTAGTGAAGGCAAAGGGAGTGTGGAGCACCCTGTGGCCTGTTCCATGCTTTGCGTTGGTGTCTAGTTCATGTACATTCATGACAGAAAACTGGCATTTTCATGGAAAAACCATAAGTCGGAACACATAAATCCCGTGTAACCCATCACCCAAGAATGTCAAATTTGATGTGTATGTCCAGCTTTCTCATACATTTCTATATTTGCACCTAAATTATCTACAGAGAGAGACACAGACAATGAAAGCCATATTGTCAGAAAATCTTTGTACTTAAATATTAGGTTGATGCAAAAGCAATTACGGTTTTCTCCAAGAAAAGTAGTGGCAAAAACCACAACTACTTTTGCACCAACTAATATATATAATCAATGAGTGTTTTCTTTATTTTTATTTTTTGTTTTTTATTGTATTTGGGTTATAAAAGGATATGTGGTGAATTAGCAGAGTCCCATTAAGAACTTTAAAAGGCCTGGACATTGATGGGCATGTCACACTTATCTTTCCCTGACAATTAGTTTGAAATACCAACAACAAAATATGATCTGCAAAATAAGTTTTAGAAGGTCCAAAAACATTTTTCTTCTTCTGATGACTTTCGAATGTCATTTTATACATGAAACTCTTCGAAATAAATGTATGGTTGCTTCCCTAGCTATTTTAACATGTATGGTTAATAAGGCCGACATTTTTTTCTGCTTTTGAGGTAATCCAACTCTGCTCAAGCAGGGTCATCCCAGGGTAATTCTGTTTCTGTAGACCCAACTTTCATCCCACCTTAGGCTTGTTCCGTGAAAGGTACTGCCTGAAACAGACTTACTTTTTCATTGGGGTATTCTCGAATTCAAGTCTGTTCTGTTGTAGGCTAAGTACATTTCCATGCATTCAACACCGGTGTTATGGAGCAAGCTGTATGTGAATACCATCGGGCTGTTGAGTACTAATAAAAAGGAGACTAAATTCTGTGCAATCAGCTTCCTTTTCCAACGTGGAAATGAAGGCATTGCAATCAATTTAGCAATGTGCTACAATCCTATTATTGTCATTGTTTTCACTGACAGCCTAAGCATTGGCAGGATATTTGGTGTCTTGGAAGGACAGAGAGATGCTAAAATAGCTGGGGAGAATATGTTCTTTGGAGGGCTGGAGGTTTTAGGCCACAGTAGGGCTAGAAGAGAGAATTATGCAAGCGACTGGAACTCCATGAAAAACAGGGAGAAGTCACCAAAGGAGACCAGGCCGTCAGCATTTCAGAAACATTTTGTGGCCTGATGAAGGAGAATCTGATCTAGTTGGAGTCCACCTCTTTGAGAAGTTGTAGGAAGCTGGACTCAAGTCTGACCCACCTGGTGCTCCTAAGCCTTTGGCCTCCCTCCTGCAGCATCTGATGTGATTCCCCATGAAAGCAGGTCTCCAGGTTTATCTTCCCAATAAAGGAAAGTCACTGGCGGAAAATATCCAGTTCAACAAGTGGTCCCATGTTATAGGTCTCTGTGTAAGAGGTGACAGTAGAGAGAAGGTGGTTATAGGTGGACAAGATTCAGAAGAGAGGGTTGTCTAAAGAAGGAAGAAAATCACATGGCTGTTCATGAACATAAAGTACTGTACCATGAGGCCTCATGGAACCCACAGTAAGCAACTGTGATGCCCTCAGGAATCAAGGGTCACCTTTTTCTTTCTCTCTCAGTGTCTCTGCTGCACGCTTCTCTCTCTCGACCACCTTTCTCTTCCACTTGCAGATGGCTGTCCATCCTAGGCCATGCTTGCATGAATTTTCCATATTGAAACCCAGCACCACCTGGCATCGTTACTTAGTGCCTTGTGGTTCAAATTACTGGGAGAAACAAATCTGATTAAACATTTTGAGCTGTCATCACAGTCCACAGGCCACCAGCCAGATGAGAAAGGGCAGTCCTCAGATGAGGTCTCTGACCCTGGCTTGGTGTGGCCAAAGAGTGGTGTGATGATGCAGTGTGAGCCGTGAGCACCACTGTTTTAAGGAATAGAAACTGTGGAAGGGACATAATCACACAGGGGGGAGTATGGAGAAGACAGGAATTCCGACATATACCTAGTTGAGGAGAAACTGGGACTATATCTAGAATTTTGAGGAAAGACCGATTAGATAGTGTTGATTAAAGGATAATCAAAGATTTGTGGAGAGACCCGGAAAGAAAGCTTGGAGAGTTTCCTTTGAGATGGGCCCTGGCTTTTGGACATACGCAAAGCATGGGAAGTGACATTTCTCCCATGGAGTCCACTTGCGTTAACTTACTTAGGGGTTGAGGATCCTCATGGGCAAAGAATCTGAGTTGTGTCTGTGATCATGAGGAAACATAAATAGCATGACCAGGGAACTGGAAAATGGAAGAGGACTGCGGAATAGACGGGCTTTCTAGAGTGATAAATTTAGAGATGAAAGGAAGATGAGTGCTTGTGGTGTGCTGGAGCTTGGGGGAGCCCAATTTGTGCATCTCTTCCCAATGACACATTCAATGCTGTCATGTTGGGAGCTTGAAAACAGTCATGGTGGGAACATTTACACCATGGAAATGGGCAGGTGTTACAAATCAGGCTGGTATCCACGCTCCCTCTCCCTGCCAGCTGCAAAACATTTTCCATCCCACCACTGAGTCAGCCTCATTGCCTGAAGGCACAGACGTACAGTGTTTCCAAGTGACAACGTGGTAGTTTCTCCTTGAGTCTTTCCTAAAAGAGTGCCTATCATGGGGTAAATGTTACATATGGAAGCCATGGACCTGTCAGTGCACAGACACGCACAGAGCAGAGAGTGAGGGGGCAGGGGAAAGGCGAGCCTGACAGCAGCAGCACAGGTGCAAAGTCTCGTAGCCCCAGGATGGACTCACGCAGCCAGGGACCACGGGCCACTGTGGCAGAGTGAAGAGCTGGGCATCGGGGCAGCAGTGGTGAGAGCGACCAGCAGGGAGCCTGACTGATGAGCCACAAGCAGTGACTCAGACACAGCTGGGAGCAAACGCGCAACACTCTCGGAGTCTCAAAAGGGGAAGAGCCTGGCCTTGAAAGGTTGAGTAACCGAAGCTGCTCCGGTGGATGCTGTCAGACCAGCAAGGCTGGGGCTCGGATGGTGGCGTGACCTTTCTTGTCCCCAGAGACTCGGACTTGGGGCATCCATGTTGTAGTTGTTGGATCTGGACCGTGGATGACCTTAAATGCCAGGATCAAAAGGTGACACTTTATACTTGGAGAACAGTGAGTCACTAGCTATGACTGATCGATAAATAGATAGGTAGATGATAGATAATATAAATAGATAATAGATAATGGATATAAACCGGTAGATAGATGCTAGATAGATACGTAATAGGTAGGTACGTAGCTAGATAGATGCTAGGTAGATAGGTAAATGACAGATAATAGAGATGATAATGTAGATAGATAATAGGTAATGGATGTAAACAGATAAATACTAGGTGGATAGATATCAGGCAAGTAGGTAGATAGATGCTATGTAGATAGGTAGATGACAGATAAATAATAGATGATAAATAATAGATAGAAAATAGATAATGGATGTGAACAGATAGATGATAGATCGATCGATAGATAATAGGTAGGTAGTTAGATGCTAGGTAGATGGGTAGATGACAGATAATAGATGATAATGTAGAGAGATAATAGATAATGAATATAAACAGATGCTAGGTAGGTAGGTAGATGGATAGATGCTAGGTAGATAGGTAGATGATAGATGTATAGGTAGATAATAGATAATGGATATAAACAGATAGATGTTAGGTATATAGATAATAAGTAGATAGGTAGCCAGATATATAGATAATGGATTGATGATAGATAATAGACATAAATGCATAGGTAGACAATATGTTAGATTTTAATATGGAAGAAAACAGTTACAAAGTTACTTTCTTGTTGCAAACTCAATCCTTCAATTGCTGATCTACATACAGTGTATTTAAATGGTTTGACTTGGAGTTGTCCTGATAGCACATGGATATACCTCCCTCATTTCTTTGTGATATTTCTTCCTGAACACAACTTATTCATTTACTCTCAGGCCCAACACTAGTACTTTTTCCTGATTTTGTAGGAAGGAATTTAGAGCAAGAGAGACCCTTCCCTCGCCTATGTATAAGGACTTTCTGGTCAGAAGAGGACTCAACTTCATTTCTGCCCATATATGCTACTTGTCATATTCCCAGTGATATATCCCTCACCCCAACCAAAATATCAGAGGGTGTTGAGTTCTCTTTATTCTCTTTATTTTTAATATCAGGGGATGATAATCAAACTATTAAAATCTGTGGTTACTCAGGCATTAGCACTTTGGACCCTTGGTGAATTCTAAGGGCAGAAGCAGAGGTTCCCAACTCTATGACCTTCAGTGAGACAGGCAGGTAATACAATGAAATGAATTAGGCAGGGCGTGTAGAAGAGAGAGGTTTGTGTTTGGAGGTGCTCCATGAATCGTGGGAGCTGGCACAGATGGAAGAAATCAGGCACTGTTTAAAGGTGGCAGCCCCAACTGATTGGCGCTATACTAAAGTAGATAGGTCAAGTGTTATTGTGTTATGTTCCAAGACAAGCCAAAAATCTGGATTTTTTTAAAGCAAATGTCTTAATTTTAAATTATTGGCTCAGATGATCAAAATGGAGTAAAATTACATTAGGGACAATATTTGTAGGACACATTCAACCCCTGAGCTGCTATTTAATGACTCCCAAGAGAGAGACATGCCTTCCTAAGCCCAGCCTGGCCTCTGTGCAGACCCAGGGCAGGCAGGCAATGATTTTCCAGTTTCACTTCAGAACACTGTTGTTCCACTTTTGCTCGCTGCATAGCAAAGCACACAAACTTAATGCTCTAAACAACCACCATTTTCTTATGCTCCTGGATTCCGTGGGTCAGGAACTTGGAAGGACAAAAGTTAGTAGATGCCTCTACTCCACAATGGCTGGGGCCTCAGCCAGGAAGTCTTGGAGGAGCTGGCAGATCCCTGAAGCTTGGGATCCTGTGAAGGCCCACTCCAAACATGTGCAATGGTTGAGGCTGGCTCTTGCCTGGGACCCCCGTTGGGGTTTCAGACTGGTTCATGGCACTACTTTGTGGTGGGGCTTCCTCACAATATGGTGGCCTTGAGCTTCTTAAGTGGTGGCTTTGAGCTCCAAGTATCACAAGAGGATGGTGGAGGCTGATCTTCCTCTCATAACAGAACTCACAGCCTCATAGTGTGACTTCTATCTCAGGCACAAGCTTTCCTCCTCCTCCTGCCTGTTGGGAGGAAGGGTGCTAGGGTTAGGAGGTATATACTGTTGTGGTCATCTCTGGAAATACAATCTGCCATATCTGCTGAACACCAAGTGGACTGAAGTAGTGAGAGGAAAGCTGAGTGGAGATTTAAACTGATCAATTAGAAGGTACAAGCTGTCCCTTCTTGTTTATCAAAGTGTCTGTCTTCACCTCCCCTGGTGTTCTTTGTAGTTTACAACCAGTTTAGCACTTAGCTTTCACCCAGTGTCATTACTGCAGACTGGTAATGGCTGTGAAATGGTTGCTTAAGTGTTGTACAGAGTGGAACACCTGGCTTCTGACAAATCACCGCATTAGAGCATGTGGGCTGCTAAGTGCCAAGATGCAATGTCAACAAAGGAGCGGCCCAGGAGTGGGCTGCCAAGCATTGTGCTTGGGAGTCAATCAAGAGGCTGGGAAATACGGAAGAAAGAACCATTTCAGAGGGGCAATCAGAGAGGGGGAACATAGTGATTAATCCCTTGTTAGACAAATCCCATTTTACAGTTGTAAAGGCAGAGGAATTAATCCTCATCTTTAGTTCCTGAAGTTAGAAAATCCATAAGTTGCTCTTTCAGGGTTTTTTAGTGTAAAAATATAGAAAAAAAAATACCAGTATGGAATAATTATTAGCTTTGTCAAAAATAAGATGTGCCCTCTGCCTTTTCATCCAGTGCTTGCTGTAGAATCTGGAAAATTATCTCTGTTCTACTCTATTAATCTTTCTCATGACAACCAGGTCAATTTGTCTCTTATATAATCAGAGCTGGGTAAACATCCACATATTCTTATTCCAGCTTTTAGTTTGTATGTTTATATCCTAACAGGAAAGAGAGCCAGAGAAGGTTTTCCTAAGACACAGTTTATCCAGGTTAGGCCTCAGTAACAAGCAACCTGAAGACCTTCGTGTTTTGAGGCCGACAATGTTTACTTCCCTCACACATTACAGACTTGCCGAGGTCTTGCTTAGATTGTCCTCAGCAAGGGCATGAGCTAACAGAGCAGGCACCTCTGAGAACATTTACGGTCACAAGGGGTAAAGGAAAAGATGACATAACAAAGCTTTATTCCTTCTAGCTTCCACCAAAGGTGACAAACAGGCCTTCAGCTCACAGTTCATTGGCCAAACACGTGACTATGCCCAAAGTCAAAGGGAGTAGGGAAGTGTATTTGTCCATTCTCATGCTGCTGATAAAGACATACCTGCGACTGGGTAATTTATAAAGAAAAAGAGGTTTAATGGACTCACAGTTCCACATGGCTGGGGAGGCCTCACAATCATGGCAGAAGGCAAAGGAGGAGTAAAGGCACGTCTTACATGGTGTCAGGCAAGAAAGAATGAGAACCAAGCCAAAGGGGTTTCCTCTTACAAAACCATCAGATCCCATGAGACTTATTCACTACCATGAGAACAGGAGGGGGGAAACCACCCCATGATTCACTTATCTCCCACCAGGTCCTTCCCACAACACGTGGAAATTATAGGAGCTACAATTCAAGATGAGATTTGGGTGGGGACACAGCTAAACCATATCAGGAAGTGAATTTCACTGTGTGTCTGGAGGAAATGACACATCTTACATGGTGGCAGGCAGGAAAGAATGAGAACCAAGCCAAAGAGGTTTCCTCTTACAAAACCATCAGATCCCATGAGACTTATTCACTACCACGAGAACAGTAGGGGGGAACCACCCCCATGATTCACTTACCTCCCACCAGGTCCCTCCCACAACACAGGGAAATTATGGGAGCTACAATTCAAGATGAGATTTGGGTGGGGACACAGCCAAACCATATCAGGAAGTGAATTTCACTGTGTGTCTGGAGGAAATGGTGATACAATTCTCACCAATCACCTCACCCAACGAGTGATGTGAAATTTCAGAGGTGCTCCTTTCTTTCACATGTCTGGCAGTCTACTCAGGTGAGCTAAGGAAATATCCAGTCTTTGGAAGCTTTTTAAATAATCTGTTTTCTTGTTTGTAAAATGAGAAAGGAGGTCGTTTGTTGAAATACTTAAATGTGCTTTCTCTTCTGCATTTCTGAGTAAACCACTTTCTTCTTGGCCAGTCCAACACATCCATTCACCTGGGTTGGAAGGGGGTGGTAGGATTGACTTCCTCACCCCCCCTTGATGTTAGGTGAGGTCACATGTGAAGTGTGAGCCGAAGAGGCATGTGTCAAATTCAGGTGGGAGCTCTGTAAGTTTCAGCAGGCTCTTCTGTGATGTTGGATAGCTGGTTCTACAGCAGGAAGTTGAAGAGAAAAAGAACAGGCCATTACCTAGGTCCTAATATCCAATATGGGATTTTCATCCTCAGCAGGAAAGTTGACTTGAAAGCCAGATTTTATGGCGTGACTGAGAGAGGGATCTCTTGAAAAATCTTCCTATTCCTTCCCTTTTTAATAGACCATAAGGGAGACCTAGCAGATTACATTAATAGATTTTATTATACTCCAAGGGCAGGGAGGAGGCGAACAGGATGGGTAAAGATCAAACCCCAGCTCTGCAGACATAAATTCAGGCCTGAGGGACTGTGGAAAGAGAGAAGGGAGAAGAGTGCTGCGGACTGCCTCCAGCACCGAGTGAAGGAGGTGTCTCCCCTGCCCCTGATGGGGCTGAGACCCTAATCTGGGAGAGGGATATAGGCGGGAACCCCAAGGCCAGGCCTCCACTCTAAGTAATCTGAATTCTGGAAGGAAATTGCCCCACGGGGTGATTAAGCGACAACTAAATGTGCAGGGTTTATTGAAGCCAGGTGTAAATTCCTATCAGCACAGGCTGACTCTACTCTGTAGCCTGGCGGTATCCATGTACTCAGATCCATGCTCCCTATGAAGAGACGGGAAATAGGGCACAAATTGTCACATTTGCCAGCAGAGACCCTCCAGTGACCAAAAGTAACAGCACAGCACAGTGTGTAAGAACAGAGCTCCTGGAGTCGGCCGCCCACTAGCTGTGTGACTTGGAGCAAGCTACTCAACCTCTCTGTGCTGCAGAGAACTTAATCTGTAACATGGGGTAAAACTTCTTTTCATAACAACTCTTACAAAGTTATACCAGTTTTCAGACAAGACTCTTTTAGTAGGGTATTGATTTTTCACTCCAACAGCACACTATGAGAAGTGCTCTTTCAACATTACAGGTTTAAGCAATTTACTCATCTCACACTTTCTAGTTGGAGAACATCCTGTAGAACAACATTTTAATTGTGCACTGTGTTTGGGTGGAAATGGCATCCATGAAAGTCTGCCCACTGAAGTTTGCAGAGAACCCGCTGAAATGACCGGTGTTGAGGGTTGAACTGTGCTCCTGAAAATGCCCTCATCCCTTGTACCTGTGAATGTGACCTTCTCTGCAGATTTAATTAGGTTCAGATGAGGTCACACTTAGGGTGGGCCCTAAACCCAAGGTCCAGTATTCCTTTGAGAAAGCCACGTGGCCAGGCACCGTGGCTCACTCTTGTAATCCCAGCACCTTGGGAGGCCGAGGCAGGAGGATCACTTGAGCCCAGGAGTTTGAGGCTGCAGTGACCTATGATTGAACCAATTCACTCCAGGCTGGGCAACAGAGTGAGACCCTGTCTCTAGAAAAAATTTAAAAAGGAAGGCCCCGTGAAGACACAGACATGCTGGAAGGGAGCTGTGTAACCATGGAGGCAGAGACGGGGGTGATGCTGCCCCGGGTGAGGAATGCCAAGGAGTGCTGGTTGCCACCAGAAGCAGAGGCAGCAATGGGAGGATTCTTCCCTAGAGCCCCAGAGGAAGCAAGGCCTTGAGAGCTAGTGATTTCTGACTTCTAGCCTCCTGAACTGTGAGAAAATCAATTTCTTTGGTTTTATGCCACCCAGTTTGTGGGAATTTGTTATGGCAAGGCTAGAAAACTAACATAACCTGTATGAATCCTAATTAGCTTATTAATAAACTGTATGGAAATAGATGGTTCTAAGCTGCTTGCAAAGATGTCTTTCAGAAGTCTCCAAAATTCTCCTTACAATGGTAGCTACCCTTGTCTACAGCTTTTTTCTTTTCTTTTTTTTTTTTGAGACGGAGTATCGCTCTGTTGCCCAGGCTGGAGTACGGTGGCATGATCTCGGCTCACTGCAACCTCCACCTCCTGGGTTCAAGCAATTCTCCTGCCTCAGCCTCCTGAGTTGCTGGGATTACAGGTGTATGCCACCACGCCTGGCTAATTTTTTTTATTTTTAGTAGAGACGGGGTTTCACCATGTTGGTCAGGCTGGTCTCGAACTCCTGACCTTGTGATCCACCCACCTTGCAGCTTTCTTCTTAATTTAAATCCTAGCCTTGCAATGGATCCTCTCCTTGCTTGCTGTGAATTACTGGGGCTTGACAATGTTAATATACGTGCTCTAAAGGAGAATGCAGGTGTAGCTTAGGTTTCTAATGTCTAGGGAGCTGCCTATTTGAAATGGAAACCATCATAATCTTTCCTATTAATATGAATAATATACACACGCAGACATGTATTTTCAATAGCATTTCATTTAGCAACAGGGTTTCAGGAATGAATCAAAGTTGTTATTTTATTCATATGAGAAAAAACAAGTGGATGTTTGAAGCTTTTTTGGTACATGACAAGGGTTATATAAACATTTGTTAAATAAAATAAGCACATTCTTGGTTATGATTGCAGGGCAGAGTACCTGGGCATCAGGACAGGGGACAGTCAGGCCAGTGGAAGTCTTAACCAGACTTTGAGGATCCCATAACACAAATGAAACCCCAGGGGACCCCAGCCACTGGCTTCTGCAGAAGATGCTAACAGAGTGCCCCATTGCACCTGTGATGATCGAACCCCACGCTAGCTCAGACAACCTGAGAACAGACAGTGCAGATGTCCAAGAGGCACCTGGACATGTCCCTCCTTCTGCTATGATTCCCATGTAGACCATGTTCCTCCTCATATTCCTGGTCCTCTTGCTGGAGAGAAGAGAGACAGCTCCGAGAGACGGTTTTACCTGAAGAGTTAAACCAAGTGTTCTCACCAGAGTGGAACTACCCTATTGAATGAACATTTAGTTTTGTTCCCACTTCACTGTAAGATGGGAACTTGTGTAAGAAGTCTCAGAAGTTGTAAAGACAGCAAGAAACCACACTTACTCTCTACACCTAAACGGATGCTTTCAGCTGATGGTGTCAGAAAATGGTTAAACTCATAGAACAGAGAGTAGCGTGTTGGTTGCCAGAGGCAGGGAGTGGGAGAATGGGGAGTTGCTGTGCAATGGGCATGAAGTCTCAGTTATGCAAGACGCATAAGCTCTAGAGATCCACAGCACAGCACTGTGCCTATAGTCAGCAATACTCTACTGTGCACCTAAAAATGTGTCTAAGGCATAGATCTCATGTTAACTGTTCTTACCACAATGAAATATAAATATTAAAAATATAATAAAAGAAAAAGTAAAAATAAATGAAAAATAAAAGAAAAAATTCTAACTTGAAATGATTAAAACATTTAAAAAGTGGGCTAGCAGAGAACTGGATGTCTCCTGTAACAAAAGACAGGCATAGATCTTGCTTCAGGAATGGTTGAATCCAGGGCCCCAATGCCAGTAGGACTTGATTTTTCTCCCTTCCCATGGGCTGACATCATGCTCAGCCTCTTCGTGGTGCAGTAGATCAAATCTCACACTCTCCCAAGTCAAGTCAGGAATGAGGAAGCTGGGAAGGAGGGAGTAATAATTTTCTTGTCACTCCTGGAAAATTCCCAAGATTCATCAATATGTTTGGACCCAATCACAGTGACCAGAAAGAAGAAAGCTGATCATTGTCGGAGGCCAGCCTCATTGGATGCATTGAGCCAAGGCTGTTGCCCAAAATGGATACTATGAACGCAAACCACAAGTCACTTAGGGATGCGGCTGTTGTAAAGGAAGCTATCCTGAGGTCGCTGGTGCGGTGTTGTGACTCAGTCACCCTGATGTCTGTGAAAACACATTTGCCAGTTATCATAGTCTCAGAGAACTACCGATGTGGGTTGTCACTCACATAACTGACTGATAAGTGTTACTTTTAATCTCTAGGAGGAATGTTGTCCCAAAGTCTGGTAGCACCTTTTGATAGTCTTCTGTGAGTTTTTATTTTTTCTTTCTCTTTTTTTTCTTTTCATTTCTTTTCTTTCTGCAAACTGAAAAGTTATCTTTAAAAATGTGCTAACAGAAGTGGTTCTTACTGAAATATGTGGTATTAGGATATTCCTGAAAATGAAGCAATAGGAAGAAAATAGCCCTACCAGATATTAAAATATGTCATAAGCTATTGTGTTTAAAGCATTTAGGGACTGGTGCATGAGAAGGCAGACAGACTAATAAAAGCAAGTGGATAGTCCAAGAAAATAAGCCTAAAAACACAAATAAACTTAGTATATTTTACCAATGGCATTTATGCCAACAGGTACTGGATGAATCATTTAATGAATAGTGTGATTTTAAAAACCATACAGGAAAATATAAAGCTGGATCTTTATTTCATGCTAAAACAAATTCCAAATGGACCAAGGGATTTTCCTTACAAATCAATTTCCTAATAAACAATAAAAACAAGACTAAGAAAGCAACAGGGAAATGGACAAAGGATTTGAACAGACGTTTAACTTAAAAACAAAAATTCAAAGATAAATATGTGAAAAAATGTTCAATACCACTCAGACTTAATGAAATACTGTGTTCATCAGAATTGCAAAGATCAAAAAGAAAGAAAACAAGGACTTTAAGACACTGTCAGTGGATATAAACGTGTATAGGATCTTTCTGAATGTCAATTTCGCAAGTTCTATACAAATTGAGCACATGCATCTCTTTTGACTTGGCAATTCCTTTTTTAAGAATTTATCCTACACATATATGTGTGTGCAGTGTTGTGTGGACATGGCAGTTTCCTGAAGCACTTGCTATGGTATCAAAGATTAGGAACCACCTCTGTGTCCATCGAGGGGGCACCAGTCAAGCAGATTTTGCTCAGATACTAGCACACAATGGATTAGTATGTGTAGAAAAAAGAATGCAGTGGATCTATAAATGCTTTACATCGATACATTCCCAAGATATGTTTTTATGTATATATTTGTGTGGATGGCCTTAGCTTATGGTGGTTCAACTTATAACTATTTTACAATGGTGTGAAAGTGATAAGCATCCAGTGAAAACCATACTTGGACCACCCATGGCACCATTCTGTTTTTCACTTTCAATACAGTTTTCAGTAAATTACATGAGACATTCAACACTATAGATGATTTTGCCAAACTTTAGGCTAATAGAAGCACCCTGGGCATTCTCACAGTAGGCCAGGCTAAGCTCTGATGTTCACTAGGTAGAGTGTAGAATGCATTTTCAATTATGATATTTTCAACTTACAGTAAGTTTTATTGGAATGTAACCCCATCATAAGTTGAGGAATATCTATCTATCTGTCTATCCATCCATCCATCCATCCATCCATCCATCCTTACATCCATCCATCCACCCACTCATCCACCCGCCCACTCATCCATCCATCCATCCATCCATCTATCCATCCACCCACCCACCCACCCACTTACTCACCCCCTACTCATCCATCCATCCACCCACCCACCCACTCATCCATCCATCCATCCACCCACCCACCCACTCACCAACTCATCAACTCATCCATCCATCCACCCACCCACCCACCCACCCATTCATCCATCTGTCCAGCTGTCCATCCATCCATCCATCCATCTATCCATCTATCCATCTTTCTAATCTATCTATCAATTTACTGTCATGCATTGCTTAATGACAGGAGTACACTCTGGGGAATGCGTCATTAGGTGATATTGTCATTTTGCAAACATCATGGAGTACACAAACATAGGTGGTATAGCCTACTCCACACCTAGACTGTATGGTATAGCCTATTGCTCTAGGCTGCAAACCTATACAGCATGTGCCTGTTCTAAAACTATAGGTAACTGTAACACAATGGTAAATATCTGTGTGTCTAAACATATGTAAACATAGAAAAGGTACAGTAAAAATACAATATTATAATCTTATGGGACCATTGTTGTACATGCAGTTAATTGATGACTAAAATGTCGTGCAGTGCATGACTGTGTGCATGTACGTATATGCGTGTGTGTATATACATTATATATATACCTACATATACATATATGTAGTATAACTGTGTGTACAGCGTGTTGTCATTGGTGTACATATATTTTAAATCCATGTATCTAAGTATGTTAATCTCTTAGAAAATGTCCCACTAAACTCAGAAGTTTGACGATAGATGTCTGTAGCAAGAGGAACTTCTCTTATATCCCCATTCATGCCATTTGAATATTTATAACGTTTCTATACCATTTTTCAATGAAAAATTGTTAATAAAAAAATTAACAACCTCCCAAAAGACATCCCTGAGAATTTACGTTTATTAACCATAGTTCCGCTTTTGATTTAGAATGCCTTCTTTAATTAAATAAGTATATTTAAGCAATTTCTCTAAAACACTGGTAACCATGAAGGCTGAGAAAATAGCAATACAGTTCAATTATGTAATGTAATGAAATTAGGGGGTTGTGGTTCTTAACAGACAGTAAAATTAGGTCTTATCCTAAACCCTGAAAACTAGGCACATCTCAGCCCCCTGTGAATCGTGGAGCCCTGGGAACATGGAAGTTAGTTGAGTGTTCTGAAATAGTAGGTGCTGGGGAGGCCCCCTGAGCTGCTTGTCTGCAAATATTTGTCCTGCTGGCTCTGCTGAGGTGATTGACTTGGCTACATTTGGAACTTATGAGGCTGATTAGAACTTTGAGCTCACATCTGATATCTCCCATTGGAGGCAAGGATTATGCTTTGTTTCTTTTTGTTTTGTTTTGCTTTGTTTTTGTTTGTTTGTTTTTAAGAAGAGTCAGGGCTTTGTTTTTAAGAAGAGTGGATGAGATGGAAAAGGGGTAAAATTTTATTCAGGTATTCAGGGCATCCAGGTTTCTGTGTAACAAAGAAGATAATGGTAATAATCATCATCATAGCTAAAATTGATTTTCTACCAGACACCGTGTTAAGGACTCGACATGGCTTAGGGTTCATTATGTGCAACAGGAGCGGGACTCTGGTTTTGCCTGTCTGCTGGTTTATTTGATGACCCCATGATGGGAGACTCAGTGACATGCGAAGAATGAGGCCGCCACATCCCAATCATTGACATGTGGGCAGTTCAGAATGTGTTGTCGTTTATTGGTTTGGTATCAATGAGGCAAACAGTTTGCTCTGTGTTTCTGGAAATGGTGATGAATGAATGCAGGTCCCTCTACCCTCTCTCGCCATCCCCTCCCAATTTAGCCATCCATTTCTGGGAGGGTGTGTTGAGGGGTGCAGCCTATATCAAAGTTCTGTTTTTCCAAATGAGAAAACCTGGTCTGCATGGAGTCATAACGATTCCTATGAATCCATAGACAATGTTCCCACATAACAATTTGTAAAATATTTAAATAACATCCTTGACTGTTGTTGGGTGGTGGTCTGTGTTCAGTAGGAACAAGGAGAGTTCTTTCTCCAGTCTCATATTAGGCAGAGGGCAAATCAGGCATAAAAGACATCTGTGTATGTCTACGTATTTCCCTTCTGCCTGCCTGCGTGTGTTCCTTGCTGGCTTTATGGTTTTTCAGAAACATGAGTAATAAAATAAGGTAAGTGGTTCTAAGTAGCCGCTCCTTACACTGAGCCCTCTGACCTCTTGCTTTGCTTTGTTTCTTCATGGAACTTATCAGTGTAAGAAATGTGTGCATGCATGCGTTCTGTCTCCTCCACTAGAATGTTAGTTCCATGGCAATAGAAAACGTATGTTTCTTCTCACCTGCATATCCAGTGGGTGAAGAGTATATGAAAAGAGGGAGCACTCAAAAAGTGTTGAATGAAGCTGGGCACAGTGATAGCTCATGCCTGGAATCCCAGCACTTTGGCAGGCCAAGGCAGGAGGGTTGCTTGAAGCCAGTTTGAGACCCAGCCTGGGCAGCATAATGAGACCCCATCTTTGCAAAGAAATTAAAGTATTTGTTGAATGAGGCTGGCATGGTGGCTCACACCTGTAATCTCGTTACTTTAGGAGGCCAAGGTGGCAGGTGGATCACTTGAGGCCAGGAGTTCGAGACCAGCCTGGCCAGCATAGTGAAACCCCATCTCTACTAAAAATACACAAAATTAGCTGGGGGTAGTGGCACACACCTGTAATCCCAGCTACTCAGGAGACTGAGGCATGAGAATTGCTTGAACCAGGGAGGTGGAGGTTGCAGTGAGTGGAGATCACACCAGTGCACTCCAGCCTGGGTGACAGAGCAGGACTCTGTCTCAATTAAAAAAAAAAAAAGTTTGTTGAATGAATCAGTGAATGAACAAACACACCCAGAGGCAGATTGATTTACTCTCCTCGAATTACTCACTTCAGTCCTTTATAGCCACGGATTATTATTTACTTATTTTGAGTAGTGGGGGTGGGGACATTGACTTCAGAGCCTCTAACAGCTGGTGTCCCTGTCCATCGCACTGGCACAGCTCCTGGCTGGTGTGCAGCCCCTTCTCCCTGTTTCTACTCATCCCACATCTCCCATGAACTAGCTAGCACCTGTAGGAATGCCTGGCCTCGGGGACCCTTCTCATGCATTGACTGTCAGGAGGCAAACCAGCTGCTTGGGAAGACTAAAGACGATGTGCAGAAAGCATGTAGCTCTAAGATGGTTTTTAAAAGCCATTGAACATCTGTCTGTGCTGGCAATTTAAAAAAAAAAATAAAAGCCCACAGACTAGGCTTAATGGAGTGAAATAGGTGGATTCAGATGTATTCCAGGAGAGACAGGAGGTCCCCAAAGCCATCAGCCAGCCTGGCCGGAGACTTGACACCACGCTTGGCTCACCCTCTGGGCCATGTCACTTGCTCTGTGCCTTTGGTCGTTCTCCCCGCTGGGCTCCCCTGAGTTGGCAGGTGGCTAGCCCGTTTCTGGCTTTGAGCTGCTTTGTCTCTTGAGCTGGTAGAGAAAAGAGACCAGGGTGATCTGTGATCAAAGCAGCATGTTTAATATACAGTAGTATCCTTTAATCCAAGGTTTTGCTTTCTGGGGTCCGAAAACATTAAATGGAAAATTCCAGGCTGGGCGTGGTAGCTCACGCCTGTAATCCCAACACTTTGAGAGGCTGAAGCAGGCAGATCACTTGAGCCCAGGAGTTTGAAATCAGTCTGGGCAACATGGTGAAATCCCGTCTCTGCTAAAAGAAAAAAAAAAAATAGAAAAAATTAGCCAGTGGCGGGCTCCTGTAGTCCCAGCTACTTGGGAGGCTGAAGCAGGAGAATGGTGTAAACCCAGGAGGTGGAGCTTGCAGTGAGCTGAGATCGCGCCATTGCACTCCAGTCTGGGTGACAGAGTGAGACTCCGTCTCAAAAAAAAAAAAAAAAAGAAAAAATTAGCCAAATGTGGTGGCTCACACCTGTAGTCCCGGCTACTTGGGAAGCTGAGCTGGGAGGATCACTGGAGCCTGGGATGCAGAGGTTGCAGTGAGCCGAGGTCGTGCCACTGCACTCCAGCCTGGGTGACAGAGTAAGAGTCTGTCTCAAAAAAAAAAAAAAATCCGGAAAT
Source organism: Homo sapiens (assembly GCF_000001405.40). Classification (NCBI taxonomy): domain Eukaryota; kingdom Metazoa; phylum Chordata; class Mammalia; order Primates; family Hominidae; genus Homo; species Homo sapiens. The sequence goes on along the minus strand of NC_000012.12, from coordinate 129,539,225 downwards.
AAACATTTCACGAGTTTTAAATTGCATGCCATTCTGAGTAGTGTGATGAAATCTTGTGCTGCCAGCCCCATCCTTCCTGGGACATGAATCATTCCTTTGTCCTGTACTCGCAACCCTCCTGCATGAGACACCTGCCCCCTTGTCACCCACATGGTCTCTTCCTGACATCCAGCCATGGACATCAAGACTCAGCTCCAGGATCACTTGCAGCAGAGGACGCTCCTTCTGACCTATCGCCAGGGGTCACTAGTAGCCAACGCTCCTTCTGACCTATCGCCAGGGGTCACTAGTAGCCAACGCTCCTTCTGACCTATCGCCAGGGGTCCCTAGTAGCCAACGTTCCTTCTGACCTATCGCCAGGGGTCACTAGTAGCCAACGCTCCTTCTGACCTATTGCCAGGGGTCACTAGTAGCAGAATGCTGCATCACAGGGCCTGTGCCAGTCACCTCCCTTCATCTCATTGTGCAGAAATTTTATTACCTCTCATCGTCATCCTAAGAAAAAGGGTGAATACAGTGCAAGAAGGTATTTTGAGAGAGACCGCATTGCCATAACTTGTATTGCAGTATATTTTCATAATTGTTCTATTTTATTATTAGTTATTATTGTTAATCTCCTCCTGTGTCTAATTTATAAATTAATTTATCATAGGTATGTGTAGAAAAAAAACATAGTATGTATAGGGTTTAGTACTATCCATGGTTTCATACATCCACTGGGGGTCTTGGACTGTATCCTCCAAGGATAGAGTGGGACTACTGTCATCACAGCTACTGTGCACAGCTGTGCAGGTTGTACACTGCTCCACTGTATGAGGCCCCATTCATATCATACTCTATATGAATAAAGCCTCCTGGGGTTAGCCAGTCACAAGTTGCATGGCCATATGGCAGCCCTCGGCATGATCCTATTTATATAAAATTATAGACTGGGTGTGGAAACGTACACAGAAGAATGATGACTAAATTATGGATAGCTTAGGTGTAAAGTGATGGAAGTTCGGGAGTTTTTTTGTTTTTGTTTTTGTTTGCTTTCTTCCTTGTATCTTTGTGTGTGTCCATTGATTGAGGCATTCATTCATTCTGAAGATATTTAACTTCCTCATTTACAGCTCACGTAAATCTCAGAAGTGACAGAGGACATCGCTCTGCTTTAAATCTTTAGATGTCTTTTTGTCTTGGACAGTGTCTTCAAATGTTGGAATTTCACATAAAAGTCAAGATTTGTCTTTGGCAGCACCTGGCCTGTGTGCCGCGTCGATGAGGCCAGGACTCTGCAGTTTTGAGTTTTCAACGTTAGTGTATTTTGTGCTTTCTAATTAATGACAGGCTGAGCTTTGCTTCTAGGGATTTTAATGTTCTATTAATCCACCAGTTACTGAAAACTGTTCTCATCATTTTCCCTCAGTGCAGTGGAGGCCACACCCCCATGCTTCCGCATTCTTGGCTTTTCCCTGTGGGGGTGTGGAGACCCCCCATTTCTTCTGTGAACCAATTCCTCTTCTCTTTGGTCTCCTCGAACTGTTCTCTACTTCCTTATGTCCGTTTAGAGCCCTTGTAATGCCTCACAGTTAGCAAGACAGCAAAAATGGGTTGCATTGAAGTCACAGGTCTTACTTCTAAATTTAACTTTACCCACCAGAAGGGCAGTGGGAAAACAGATTCCCTTGTACAAGTGAAGGTATGAACACTTAGAGCTGGCAGGAGCATTTAAGCCCCATGTGAATATTGACATGAACACTTAGAGCTGAGCTTCCTTGTCACATGGCTGCCGCTGCTGTGTGTCATGCACCCCGTTCTTGGGAATTAAAGGGTCTAGGGGATTCAAGTGTCTCCTTTATCGTGGGGTGAGCACATCCTAAGGGGAATGTAAAATGATTCATTGGAGGATCAACTAAAATCAGGACTTGGCAACTGATTATTTTTAGTCTCAAGGTTTAAAATGTGCATTTTCATGTATGTTTTGTAGCACACATTATTTCAATAGTCCAACCCATGGTTCAACTGTAAAGTTTATAAACATAAAAACCTATATAAAGGTTGCATATGAATTTTTTTTTTTTTTTTAGACAGAGTTTCACTCTGTCACCCAGGCTGGAGTGCAGTGGCACAATCTCGGCTCACCGCAACCTCTGCCTCCCGGGTTCAAGCAATTCTCCCGTCTCAGCCTCCTGAGTAGCTGGGTGGGATTACAGGCATACACCACCACATCTGGCTAATTTTGTATTTTTAGTAGAGACAGGGTTTCTCCATCTTAGTCAAGCTGGTCTTGAACTCCCGGCCTCAGGTGATCTTCCCACCTCGGCCTCCCACATGGCTGGGATTACAGGCGTGAGCTACCGCGCCCGGCCGCATATGAAAATATTTTTACTGATAGGGGTGCATGACAAAGAAGTTGGAAACATATCATTCACATTGTTACTTTAGGCTTAGCTCTTTCTTCTGCTTCACTGTTGGTCTTTAACTGGCTATAGTGGAATAGTCACAAAGTAAGGAGACTTAGCAAATATATTCCAGTAATAGAAAGAGGGACCTAGTGTCTCCCAAAGTGAAAAGTGGGACATGATTCCTAAAATACTGACAGTGGCATTGTAAGCAGGCATATCCATGTAACTGCTGGCGAGGGCAGGGCCAAGACGTCCAGATCGGGCTGGAAGTGCTTCATCATATAAGCAAAATGTTATGTGATATATCAACATGTTGATGTAGTGGAAAGTAGCGTTTCCATAAATTTGTTTTTCTGGTCAACTGGAAATTAGAAGCCAAGAGTGATTGCACAATATGTTAATAGAGCTATGACCTATAAAAAAAATGAAGCTTATTTTATGCTCTGTCACTATTAATGAGAGAAAGTAAGTATGGAGACAAAGAGCAATTCAAAAAAGCTTTGCTGTGACCCCAAAGGGCATGTTTCCATCAATTAACTGGGAGGAATGCTATCACCAAATCTACATGCGTAGGAGTGTGGCACCCTTTGGTGGGTGCACACTGTGTATTGTTCCATAGATTGAGCCTATATGGACTCAAAAATGGAGATATCAGATTTTACCAGGATTTTATCTATGCAGAGACTATGTGGCCACATGAATCTCTGGGGGAGACACATGTAGACAAATCTTTCATTTCAGAAGTGAGAGAAGCAGTCCAGAAGTTTGGATCTCTTCGTATCTTCCTTCCTCCAATTCCCTGGAATTCTACAGTCAGTTATTGATTAAAGCCAGTATTAGCCTGCGGATAGCTGATTAGCCAATAATAGTTTCTAACAGGACTATGTTCATTATAAACAAATAGCCTGAGACTTACACACAATCCAAATTTCTCTTCTTGGGCTTTGAACTCTATATAGCAAAACTTCTCTCCCTGTCCCCCTTCCTTTCTCTTTGCTCTCTCTTCCTCTTTCATTTTTTTCTAACAACACACACACACACACACACACACACACACACACGCACACAAATCTTAAATGAATCTCCCAACAAACAAAACACTGAAATTCCCCTTTATCCCACTTTTATCTCATCAATTTTGCTTTCTGTCTCTATGTGTTCTTTATAGCACACATTTGTATTAGTTCAATAGCCCCAGTGTGAATTTCATACATGAATATGCCTGTATTCAGGTTGCATATTAAGAACACTTCCACTGACAAGATTGCGTAAGTAGGGAGTTTCTCTTTGGGGCAATGTTGTCATCAGCCTAAGTCTCTGTACACAGTGCTTTGGATAATGAACTCAAATTTATAGACTTTAGGAGGCTGACACATCCCATCATTTGGAGTCCCCTGGTGGTTGTGGTGGAGGGAGATGCAAATCCTCCATCCAAATCCATCTCTCTTTCCACTATAGTGACAGGGTCACAGTGGGGATACGGCTGTCCAGGTAAAGACTGACTTCCCAGCACTCGCTGCTCTTGCAGTCAGGTGTGGCCATGAGACTAGGCTCCTTCCAATGGGAGGTGAGTGAATTTGGGCATGCAGTGCCCACCTCACCTGCTTAAGAGGAAATCCCTTGTTCTGGTCTACTGCTCTTCCCTCTTCCTCTTGGCTGGGATGGTCATGAGCACAGAGACATTAGAAGTTATACATTAAAAACAGTAGAGATGCCTTCAGCCTTGATCCCCAAATGACTGAGTGGAACAGAGACACCCAGCAACCTGGGTTACCAGCAATGGATGTTCACAGGAGGAGGAAATACACTTCCTTGTTCTTGAAGTCACTGAATCTTAGCCTCCCCTTGTTATATAATTGGAAATGATCATAAATAACTCAGGCTACGTTAAACAAGAAGGGACTGGATGGGAGGATGGGGAATATTTGTATGCCTAAAGGGAAGGCTGAGAACCAGATTCAGAAATGTTAGCTGTGTTAATTCCTGCAAACCAGAGAGAAGGAAGCAATAGACAGTTGTAGCAGGGCCACAAGGCTGGGTGAATTTCCCCCAACCTTTTTTATTTGCTGTGTCTCTTTGTTCAAGATTATATTCCAGAGAGAATCTTTCAGCTGGACTGGCTTAGGTCATGTGTCCACCTTTTGTCCAGGGTTGGAGGGAGAAACTCTTGACTTACAAGTCTACCATGGTGGTATAGAATGGCAGAGAGGTGGGTCATATAAGCAAAATGAAGATACTGCTATCCAGGAAAGAGATTGGGTATGGGGAGCAAAAGCAACAATTGCGCACCACATTTCTGAACCCTGGATGCTGTACTTGAAACTCTGTGTGTGTGTGTTGATGATATATACATATTCTACATTATGTATACATATATGTATATACAAATTGCATTTATATATTTTTATATATATATGTATATAAAATATACACAGTCCCTGCAGTTCTATTATGTTTTAAAAACACAATATACCTTTAACCCCAGGCAGGTTTTGTTGATACCCAATCACAGTGCATGTGCATACTATGGGGAAAATTATGGCTTTCCCCCATCACCATGGTAGATATATTATTAAGCATAAATCTACAGCAAAGTATCTTCAAAATCAAGTGCTATGTTTATCTCTGTGTAATGAGGCTGTCAGTGTAACCTGTATTTATTGAACCACAAGTAGGTTATAAAACTTCCATTAATGAATGTAAGTAACTCAGTTGTCATAAACAAAGGGAGAAATTAGTATTTGGCTCAGACCCAGTGGAGCCCAGGGGCATGTGTTCTAGGAACTACTTTAATGGTTCCAAATGGTGCCACTGACAGCTCTGAGATTCGTGCTTCAAAATTATTAACCCAACACACACCGTGTTCAGTAAATACCGTGTCTACATCTCCGAAGAATGACCATCCAGTTTATTACATAGATTTTCCTTGATATTCACACACAAGGATACCTCTTGAGTATGCCTTCTTCAATTCTGAACATCTAAAACATGCCCTAGAAATGTGTGTTCTATTATGAAAATGTTCTGTGTCTCTGAAAGACAGTTCCCAGTGTCCTGTATAAAATTCCAGGAAAAAACATTTTTGCAGAAATAATGCTACCGACTATAGCTTCATTTGCTACAGTGGAATTATTAGCAAGAAATGTTGAATACTTCATGGGTTGAACAAGCCACTGTGTCCTTTCTTAAGAACTTGAAAAGGATTCATTGGAGAAACATCATCTGAATTCCACATAGCCTACTTATGAATAAAATTTCAGAAACATATAAGCCCATTATATATCAGAAAAGGCCTATGTACTGATATCTCCTGTATAATGAAAAGGTTGTCACAGCCAGGTTGATGACCTATTTATTTAAAGCAATGTTGATTCAATAAAATTCCACTGCAGAGTAATTGGGACAGCCTTTAGAATTCATCTTAGTATAATAGTAGCTGTCCACAGCGGATTGTACTTTTGTTCGCTACCACATCTTGGTTGCCTACAATTTAAATGAGTTTCTGCAAGGCAGGAATCCTAACTATTCGCCCAGTGTCTCACCTGAGTATCTAGAAAGGTCAGATGGCTTTTTGGCGTCTGCATGCGATTCCCAGTTTTTAAACGACTGCATTCAAAGTGTTTGCATGCATAATGATTATTTAAAACATCAAACGTGCATTTTCCCCACAGAAATAATGTTATACGTGATGATCATTTTCTAAAAATGCTGACTTTTGCAGTAGGGCCACACCTAGAAGCAATTCTTTCTCTCTTTGTGGACTCGCCAAATCAGTATGTGTCCTGGGGGTTCCTAAGACCACCCCCAGGTCCAGCGAGTCACTAGGAGAACTCACAGGACTCAGCATGTGGTGAGAATCACTGCTCCGATGTATTCGCCAAGGAAAGCAAAGCATGGTCCGCAGAGGGAAAAGGCACAGGGGAGGAGACCAGGCTCACGCTCCCAGGAATCCTCTCCCCGTGGAGTCACGCAGGATGTGCTTAATTCCTCCAATTCCTCCAGCATATGGCTGGGACAGCACTGCCAGAGGAGCTCACCTGAGCCCAGGAGTTCAGGGTTTTCACTGGGGATTGCTCATGGGGGCACCCTCTGCCTGGCACGTACCAAAATTCTATGCTCCTAGAAGACAACAAAGTGTCCAGCATAAACCACCTCATTTGCCCAGTCTAGGCACCGTGAGCCCCTCTGACCATGAAAAGGGAGGGAACGCTCCCCAAATCCAAGTTCCCAGCCACCCTTGCCAGCAGGCTTTCCTAAGGAGGGCAGTCTCAAGCCTGCAGCCTCAGGTCTTTTCTGCACACTACATTTTAAAATTGTTTCCATGGGAAATAGCGTTGTTGGTGTTAGGGACAGACGTGTCCTGCTTTTTCTCAAAGCCCTGGTCCTATGAGTGTCATCTCCCCCTCGCCTTTTGTCCCTAATATTAATAGCAGAAGATGGTCTCACTTTCTCCTCTGGCATGACAGAGAGGGATTTTGAGATGTAGGCTCTGGCACCATTGCCTTACTGCATGTTTATATAGGCACAATGATTACAAGTCTGGAGGAACTCCAAGTCGGCCGCTCCCACCATCCTCGTCTGCCTAGGTCAGGTACCATCAGCGTGCTCCAGGTTCCCCTTGGTACTCTCGCTTCAAGACTTTTCCTATTTTCCGCTGAGGGACTAAGAGAAAACACAGCAGGAAACATTAGCTTTTTCAAACTTCTAGGCCAGCTTGTAAATCAAAATCAAACTGTTTGCATTTTATTTTATTTTATATTTTATTTATTATTATTTTTCTTTTGAGGCAGGATCTCACTTTGTCACCCAAACTGGAGTGCTGTGGGTCGATCTCAGCTCACTGCAGCCTCCGCCTCCCAGGTTCAAGTGATCCTCCCACCTCAGCCTCCCAAGTAGCTAGGACTACAGGGGCACACCACCACACTCAAATAATTTTTGTATTTTTAGTTGAGATGGGGTTTCATTATTCTATGTTTCTTTTAGAAACCTGAATTGGAAAGAACATATGGAATGGAAAGCATACAGTAAGAAGACAAGATTATAAAAAGCAAACAGGGCTGGGCGCAGTAGCTCCCACTTTGGGAGGCTGAGGCAGGTGGATCACTTGAGGCCATCATTGTTCCTTCCCCTATCTGAACCTCAGCCCCCTCATTTTGGGCTTGGAACCTTGCTAGGAAGATCAGATAATATAGACACAGTGTCCATCAGGGCCTGGCACTGGGAGACATTCAATGAATGTGCGTTCTTATTTCAGTCTTTACTTTTGCATTTTCATTGCCTTTTTCTATTGAGTTTGGCCAGGCTAAGGGTTTTCAGGTAGTTCTGTGTTTGTGTTTGGCTTGGCTTTATTTAAAGATACAAGCTAGTGCAAGGATATTCTATTTCTTTCTGTAACTAATGTTTGCTGGCTGTCAGTCTACCATCTCTAGCTCTTTAGTAAAGGTAGGAAAAACGGAAAGAAATTAGGGCAGATGGGTTGGAAGGCGACTGCAAATTTGTGTTTAAATCCTAGTATACATGAGCTTACACCTGCCAGGCAACGGTGAGCAATTAAGCTCCCCGTGTTCCCAGAACCAGCATGACCCGGGGATTCCCCAGAGCTGACTCAGACCCACACGTGCTGTCTCCAACAGGGCAAAGGTGAAGAAAGGCGTGAACATCATCGGCGTGCGAGCCAGCAGCCCTTCCATTTGGGATGTCAAGGAGCGCACGGATTATACTGGAAAGTATGCACCAGCTGTCATCGTTTGTCAGAAGAAAGCAGCTGGCTCAGAAAACAGGTGAGTCCCAACTGGCCTCCGATATATTCAGATCAGCTGCAAATGTGGCCTGATTTTTTTTTTTTTTTCCTAGATTGCTAACAACCATTTCCACTGTGGTTTGCATTTGGTGTGTGTCGTCTATTCTATCAGGGCCTCCAGGTAGATGAATGGAATCTTTCATTTGGGAAAGGTGGGCTGTTATTCACAGCAGACCTACTTAAAACCCCAGCAGAGCACCGTATCACCTGCAAGGACTGCACCATGCAGATGGAATTGACCCACAAACCATGTTCCTCTTCAACATGACCTCTTTCTAGTCCATGTTATTGGAGGAACTGAAACTCTGCATGTCTCATGAAACGGCCCATTTTGCAAGTGTTAGAAACCAGAGCCTATACGTCTCTCTTCACACGGGTGCATTCCACGTTTGCAGTGTATATTTAAATACAATGCATATGATTGTATTCACGGGCAGGCATTTTCTGATGGTACAGTGAACTATCTGCAGTAGAATTGCAGGGAATTGTGGATCACTCTAGGGAGAAATTAAAACCTGAATCTGTCTCTGATAGCCACCAAATTAGAAACAATCAATTCACAGCTGGGCAAAGGGAGGCTCGGAAACTCAGTAGTTCTTGTTTTATTGCACTTTCCTGAAATCTCATTTGTGGCTCTGGGGGTTTCCTAGTCTGGTCACATATTTTTGTCACCTGTATGTTGCTTTTTGCTCAGGATTCTATTGAAAATTTCAACAATAATGAAAGGATGAATTCCGATATGCCATGCATTATTTCTGGAGTGCATTTTTAAACTTCCTAGCTCAGTGTTTGGAAAATATCCTTATTTTTTATTATTTATTCTAGCAGGGAGCTCAGGAATCTCAGCTGATAACTATTATGATTTTTTTTGGCTTATGATCAAGGAGCATTTGAAACCAATGTGGGGATGATTTGATTTGGATTCTTTTCTGTACTTCTTTGCTCGATGTTGGTTTTTAGGAATTTGGATTATCAGCAGCTCTCGTTTGGGCCTTTCCTTTTTATTCTTGAAGATTTGCTTGTACAGCAAATGAGAGGGAAAAGAGAAAATCTGTATTTGAGTTCAGTCCTAGATATGTATGTAGTGATATGTTTATGTAGTGATAGTGTGCCATACTGGTGAACTGGGTGAACTTATAGATACACAAATTGAAACACATCTGTACCAGTAATATAATTTGGAAATCAGGTGCTATCTCAATAAAATATTTCTTTTGTGTTTTGTAGTTAGCAAAAATTGGGAGAGATGGACACGGGGGTGGACGGATGGGTAGACGGATGGAGGAATGGATAGATTGATGGGCAAATGGATGGATGGATGAGTGGATGGATGAGAGGGTGGATGAATAGATGTGTTTATTCTTTATCAGAAGAAAATAATAAATTTAGGGGAAAGAATCTCAACCGGTGAACTTTCATTTTCTCTTGTGATTTCTTTTGCCATCTCTTTTTATGTATTAGTAGAAGCAGTAGTTGTAGTCTTGTCTATGAGAGACTGAGGGAGTTGAACCATTAGAAAATATTTGTGCCCTTTTTATTGTTAACTTCTGACAAATAGTTCAGTTCATCTTGGACACAGAGAGAGAGCATGGGGGGGCCCAATGGTGGCTCCTTCCCATTGAAATGTAAGCTGCCTTTTTATAGTTCCAGAGGCTTCCAGAATCTCAGCACATTCAGAGGACATCCAAATGCAGAAATGCATGGTGGATGCCATTTATTTTTCTTTCATCTGTGTCAGTATCTTCTTTAAGAAACGAGGACCCTGAATAGAATATAAAGCTCTTCTTTTAAAAGCCCTAATTCTTCATTCTAAGTGAAGACCATTCCTTATCTCTTTGTACATTCTGATGCCAGTTTTCTGTTTCCTTTTTTATCTTTTTTCTTCTTGTCTTCTGGAGGCCAGGATATGTTTCCTCATACTATGGGTCTGGATGATGGAAAAAGGTTATACACATACAGACACACACACACACAATATGTTATATGTGTATAATATGTTATATGTGTGTACATGCATACAGCATATTATATATGCATATAGAACACATATATGTGATATAGGTATGCAAATGCATGCATGCATATAGATGTACATTTTACAGGTGTTTTGTTGATAGACAAATGTGTTGAGGTAGGGATTTTACACAGCAGCTAGGAAGGCTTTGCTTAATGAGGAAGCTCTAGAACGGAAGTCTTATAGTTTTGGGAGCAGGTCTTTTTCCAGTTATGCTCCAGCTCATACAGCAGTGTCTGGCACACAGTGGGCTGTCTATAAATGTTTGTTCAATTTGATAATTTGTTCTAGAATTAGGCCATATCTCTGGTATGTATGTATTATGATACAAATTTGTATGCACACATATTTAGTGGTTTTCTGTATGCTTGTTCAAAAAGTAAGGTGCATAGCTGCATGTATAATGCTGCATTTGGGGAAACCCAGAGAAGGGTACTTTTGTGAGCACACTATGTCCCAAGAAGTCTACACAAAGGACTGGCAACTGCGATTTCTACTGGAGAGAACTGGGAAGCTGGGAGAAAAGGCTGAATGTAAATTACTTTTTACAGTGAACCATTTGAACTGTTTGATTTTTTTTTTTTTTTTTTTTTGCTGTGTGCATGTATTACCTATTTCATAAGACATCTGCAACTAAAATAGAGATTTTTAAAATATGATGTATTCATTCATATATTCAACTTTTATCCTCGCTTTGAAACTTTTCATTTTACTTCTGCCTTTGGAGAATTAAACAAAGAGAAATCATGCTCCGTGATTACAGATAGTGAATGGACTGCGATGAGATGTGTTTTTCTTAAGGATAATTGGAAAATGGATTATAGAGTAGATGTTTTAATAATATTGGTAGGTTTTGCTTCAGAAGCTGTTTTGCTTTATAATTTCCTGCTACCCTCTTTGAGTGTTTTCTAGTTATTCTTAAAAGTCAGAATCTGATCATCATAATGCAAAAGAAGCAGTGTTAATTAGCTTGAGAGTCATAGATTTTGTATTGCTAATAATTTGCCATGGATCAGGAAGTTGTGTTAATGAAGTTAAGTCACTGTGACAGGTTTAATTTTGTGTATTAAGGAGACACTTTTGTGCTAGTGATGAACTCACCAGGAGTGAGCGAAGATCTCTTATCTAAGTTTAACTGCATCCTTCCCTGTTTGAAGAAGTTAGGTTGCTGAGAATCTGATCATAACAGTATGAACATGTGAATGTTACCCCAGCTATCAGATCTGTTTTGATTAAGCGTTGCCTGCAGGATAACCAATTATGCTGTGTCCATCAAATTGCATTTTGCATTTGCAAAATCTTGCTCAGTATACTCCTATGTTAACTTAGATAAATATGTAACAAAAGCCACATGTTCTCATTTCCTTGTAGTTCTCTCCATAGACAAGTGTTTCCCAAAGCTCACCACGGTTGATATGTAAATGATTTTAGGTGTCACGTAGAAAGGAGGATCAGTATACTTGAATGAGAAAAACTTACATTTATTTAAGTTCTCCAGCAAGACTTGATTGAAGAGAAGTTCATCTCTTTTAAGGGCTAGTATCTCTTTAAAGCCTCTATCCTTAGCTGGTACATTATAGATAGGCAAGAGTATGTAGATAAATTTAATCTATTTTCATAATTATCTATTTGTTCATTATCATACTGATTTTACATTTTTTGTAAATAACGTTTCATTTTAAAACGAATGTTTTGTTTCATTTTGTTTTGTTTCCTGAGACAAGGTCTCACACTGTTGCCCAAGCCGGAGTGCAGTGGTGCGATCTTGGCTCACTGCAGCCTCTGCCTCCTGGGTTCAAGCAATTCTTCTGCCTCAGCCACCCAAGTAGCTGGGATTACAGGCGTGCACCACCACACCTGGCTAATTTTTGTATATATAGTAGAGGTGGGGTTTTGCCCCGTTGCCCAAGCTGGTCTCAAACTCCTGAGCCCAAGCAATCTACCTGCCTTGGCCTCCCAAAGTGCTGGGATTATGGGAATGAGCCACCGTACCCAGCCTTAAATAGATTGTTTTCTGAAACAAATAGGAATATCTTAAACAAGACAGAAGTTTTTTCTTTCTCACATAAAAGAAGCTTAAGGCTGGCCACAGCTGGAATGGCAGTTCTCCAGTATCACTAGGGTCCCAGGCACCTTTCTTTCTTCAACACCATGTGAATGGAGGGCTTACATCCTCATAGATCAAGACTGCTTCAGGACTGTCTGTCATTGCATCAGCATTGCAGGCAAAAGAAAAGACAGAAAAGGGTCTTCTTAACTGTGTTGACTCTTTTTAGGCAACCTTCCTGGAAGCTCTTTTCAACCCTATTTCTCTCTCTTGCATCTCACTGATAAGAACTTAATCACATGACCAAACCATACTTCAAAACAAAGTAGGAAACATGATTTATTACCAGCAGTGTGCCCAGTTCAAAATCAGTGTTCTGTTCTAAAGAAAGAAGAGGCTGGGAGTGGTGGCTCATGCCTGTAATCCCAGCACTTTGGGAGGCTGAGGTGGGTGGATGACGAGGTCAGGAGTTCGAGACCATCCTGGCCAATATGGTGAAACCCCGTCTCTACTAAAAATACAAAAATTAGCTGGGCATGGTGGTGCATGCCTGTAATCCCAGCTACTCAGGAGGCTGAGGCAGGAGAATCGCTTGAACCTGGGAGGCAGAAGTTGAGGTGAGCCGAGATCATGCCATTGCACTCCAGCCTGGGAGACAGAGCCAAAGACTTTGTCTCGAGGAAAAAAATAAGAAAAAAAGAGCAGCCTGGGGGAGTGGGGCAACCAGCAACCTCTATTTTGTCAATTTATAAAGAATACACATGTGGGATTTCCATAGGATGATGAAAAAAGCATAGTACCTCACTACCTCCTTCACTTTATTAGGATCCCTTAGAAATTTGCAGTACAATATAATAGGGTGGGGAAACTCACATTAGCACGCTACCAGAACAGTTGTTGTGTGTATGTTAGAAACTTAAAGAAATGCTTGTTAATTTTCCAGCAGGCTGTTATCCACTAAATGAAACAATCAGCTCTTCTGAGACCCAGAATCTGAGTATCACCCAACCAAAAACAAACCTGAGACAGTGGTATGAAGTCATCAAAATGGCGTGACTTTCCTTTTGTGGGCAACTGTGATTTATGATGCCTTAAATAGTTTCCATATCCTCCCTATTGACTATGGATTACCACAGTTGTATGTATTACCATCCGAATGATGATTCCGCAAAGAGAGTGGGAAGAACATAAATGTGAGATCCAGAAAATGTGATGTTTCGTTCTCATTTTTATGCTGTGCGTCGCAGTGATGTCTGTCTGGCAGATGACCAGAGAGGAAAAGCAACTTCCTCTTCTGTAATATTGGCATAACAATGCCAGCCTTCCCTGGACTGTTGTGAGAATCAAATACAGTCACACATGCGCACACACTTTGAAATAATCAACAGAACCATTAAAAGAAACCCATCTCTTCATCATTTTTAGATTCTTAAAGCACCCATGTAGTATATGCAGCACACATGCCCAAGTCCTCCTAGACCATGAAGGATGCTTTTATTTCCAGAGTCTAAATTTAAATTTGCCAAAGTACAAGATGAATCACATTAGTGGTATACCGAGCCTGTATCAATGATAACAAAGTTTCCCCATTATGTTTAAATTTAGAATCTGTCAGAAGCATTTCCATTCAAGTTTGTTTTAATAACTTCTGCATTAGGGATACAACAGACCAAGATGTTGTTTTCAGAACTACTAGATATCATTTCTATTAATTATATTAGCAAAAAAAAAAAAAAAAAAAAAAAAAAAAACCGGCTGGGCACCGTGGCTCATACCCGTAATCCCAGCACTTTCGGAAGCCAAGGCGGGCAGATCACGAAGTCAGGAGATCGAGACCATCCTGGCCAACATGGTGAAGCCCCATCTCTACTAAAATACAAATAAATTAGCTGAGTGTGGTGGCGGGCGCCTGTAGTCCCAGCTACACAGGAGGCTGAAGCAGGGGAGTCGCTTGAACCCGGGAGGCGGAGCTTGCAGTGAGCCAAGATCGCGCCACTGCACTCCAGCCTGGCGACAGAGCGAGACTCCGTCTCAAAAAAAAAAAAAAAAAGAAAAAAGAAAAAAATATGAAAATAATAAAATGTTTTTCTGAGGATGAGGGACAACAGAGAACTCTTTTCTTTTGAGACGGAGTCTCACTCTGTCGCTAGGCTGGAGTACAGTGGCGCAGTCTCCGCTCACTGCAACCTCCGCCTCCCGGAAGAACAGAGAACTCTTATACCCTTCTGGGGATTTGTAAAATGGTTCTTCCACTTTAGAGATATATTTGTCAGTATCTGGCTAATAAGATTTAAAACCTGCGTCCTGTGACCCTGAAATTACAGTTCTAGAAATATATGCTCTAGATAAAAGCTTAGCCATCAATCTGGAGAGATGGATACAGGGCTGTAATTGCAGCCGTTTTTTTGGTAATAGCAGACAGTTAAAAACAGCCTAAATGCCCATCAAGATGTGAATTAATTTTAAAAAGTTGTGTTCATGTAATAAATTTTATGCAGCAATTATGAGGGATGCCATTGATCTGTGTATATCAGCAAGAAATTAACCTGAAACTGTAATGTTGAACGGGGAGAAAATCTTGAATAGTAGCATGTACGATATGTTACCGCTCATGTAATTATGAAGAGAACCCCCCAGCAATGTGTTGTTTTAGAGAAAAATACTGAGTTAATACAGGTATAGATGGCATAAGGACATGGCTGTTTCTTTCTTTTTTTTTCACCTTTTTATTTTTTTATTTTTTATTATTATACTTTAAGTTTTAGGGTACATGTGCACAATGTGCAGGTTTGTTACATATGTATACATGGGCCATGCTGGTGTGCTGCACCCATCAACTCGTCATTTAGCATTAGGTATATCTCCTAATGCTATCCCTCCCCACTCCCCCCACCCCACGACAGGCCCCGGTGTGTGATGTTCCCCTTCCTGTGTCCATGTGTTCTCATTGTTCAAAGCCAGTGTTTGAGAAATGCAAGTTCAGGTGAAGTATGCAAAGATATTTTCTGGACATTGTGGGGAATAGAGCTTTAGAATCTTCCTAAGATAGCACTGAGTTTTGCCCCAGTAAATGTAAGCTTATCTACATTGCCTCCTTGAGAAACATTTAAACTCAGCCAGGAGGCAGCAGTAATTCAAGCATATGGCCTGGCAGTCAAGGGGAATGATGAACCCCATTCTCTGTGAAATCAGACTTCAGGCTGACTCACTCACCATTTCCTGACGCTCATTCAATCTCATTATACAGTAGCAATGAGGGAGTGTGAGATTTGCCTTAATTTACCCTCGTATTGCTTTGCTTTTATTATATCCATATATCTGGTATTTAATATCTTCTGTTTCCAAGTAGAGCACCAAATTTAGAATTAAATTATTGAACATCCACTTTTCGTGGGTAACGGCACTGAGTTACCGCCACGCGTCTTTGCTAGCCGGAGCTGCCGTGGCTTTTTGATAGGATCTCCAGAGTGCTGTAATACTAAAATACCGACTGCTTCTCTTGCTACAGCTACAAGAGTCATGCGTGTGGCATAAATAATAACCTAATAGCAACAATAATTACATTATGCCATTTGCTGGTGTTCATCAAAATGCTTCATCAATACACTCCGGGGTTGTAGATCATGGCTCATGTTTGGTTGCTGTCGGTTTGTGATTTCAGAGTCCTACGAAGGCCACTAGATGTTGCTTCGAGGAAAGAGAAAGCTCCCATTTCAATGGAACTACCAAAAACACCTGCAGTGGCAGAAATATCTAAAGTGACACATGACATTCCATGTAGAAAACTATGTGCTACTATCTGTCTTCATGTACATGTCTGAACTTGCAGCTTCAATAAGTGTGTGTGTCTGTGTGTGTGTGTGTGCACGTGCGTGTGTATGCACACATGTGCAGCCCTTAGTGTCCTCTCTGAGCATGGAAACCGTCAGTAGCAGTCCTACAGAGAAAAAAATTTCTATGTCTGTATCTATATCTATGTCTACATACATCTATTTTTCTATATCTAATCTATGTATATATATATATAATCTATGTCTACATATATATCTAATCTATGTCTACATATATATCTAATCTGTGTCTACATATATATCTAATCTGTATAGCTTTGTCTATATCTACAGATCCATATTTATATCTATATCTTATCCATACCAATATCTATATTTACATATGTATTAGTAATATATATACACACACCGTAAAATCTAAAGTATTTTTTTATTTGTTAAGGATCATGAACATTTGCAGTCACTGTTTCTGATGGGTGTTCATTGTCAACAAGCGAATAGATTTCTGCATCTCTCCGAAATAGTCTTCGATGTTTTTGATGATGAGGGAGTGTTCTTTGCGACAGCCATTTCCTTTGATGACTTAACTGTGTGGGCCGCACGGTCTCGGGTCTGTCCCTTCACGCTCCATGACAACCCTTTACCGTGAGTATTTTATCAAACTTGCCGAAACCTCCAGTTTCCCCTGGTGTGTTTAGCTTGATGGAACAAATGCTATGTGTGGATGATCTGTGGCTTGAAGTCCTGGGGAACAGCTTAGAAAGATAATAGTATTTCATGGAACATTAAAAAAAGAAATGAAAGAAAAATTATAGGATCCATCTGAAGAAGCTTTATTTACAGTCCAACTGGTGCAAAGTATCATCTTTCTTATGTCCTAAAAATTTCATTCTAAGTGTTGTTTCTTATGGACAGGATGTCTTATTTTTTAAGTATTAATATATACAGTTTGGTTTCTATCATTTCTAAAAGCAACTTTCTTCTGACAGCTTTCACCTGCCATGATGTGTGTCAATCAGTGTAAGAACTTTCTTTGGTGACATCTTAGTCCTTTAACCCTGGTGACTAACTGACATCAGTTAGAGAAACTGGCAATACGGGCATATGACTTTAGATTCCTACTTAGAACCTTCGTTAAGCTCTTGCGTTATAAATTACATACTGTCAAATTGACCTATTTTAGGCACACAGTTAAATGAGTTTTAGAAGAATGTCTTTGGTTGTTCAGCCGTCACTGCAACCCAGTTTTCCATCATCGGAAAAAAAAAAAATCAGCTTTTACCCATTTGCATGAAGTTTTTATTTCTATCCCAATTCTAGGCAAGCCATGGTCTCTTCTGTCTATAATTTTGCTGTTTCCATAATAGCCCAAACTGTGAATCACCCAAATGTCTGCCAGCTGGTGAGGGATAAATAACCGTGGTACATTTAAGCAACGGAATACTACTCAGCAATGAAAAAGAACAAGCGACAGAAGCGTTGAGAAAACATAGATAAGGCCTGAAGTGTGACGCTGAAGGAAGCCAGACACAAGGGGACACGTTGATGATTCCGCTGATATTCAGTTTCTAGACTGCATTTTAAATTGATAGATTTTCAGCTTCTCAGTGGGACACACTAAGTTACGAAGTACCTGGTTACCTTAATTCTTTCTCAACTGCTCTTTGATTTTCTTTTTATTTTCTATATAAACTTGCTCTTTTCCTTTTAGAGCTTTTTCTAAAAGGAACTCTTAACTTCCATTTAAAAGCTCTGTGATCAGCAGTAGAAGAAATAAATGATCCGTTCACCAGCCATTCTAATCAGGGGTAGCGTTAAAAGCTTTTTCACCTTGCTATTTTGAAGACGTTTACTTCTTTAAACAAATGATTCCAATTAATAAATGCAGGTAGTTCTAGACACTTAATCTTTTGTCTTAAAGGTAGATCCAGTTTTTCTACCACAGAAAAGAGATGCTGGGTGTAAATTCAACTCGTATCACAAGACCAGTGACCCCTTTCCTATAACCTGAATTCGAAAATCCTCCAGAGTAAAATGGGTTTCTGTTTTGTGGACAGAATACCAACATGTGATGTAATTGTATCAGGATCAAATTCAAAGTCTACAAGAGACATCAACTGGGACTGTGTAAATATAAGAAAGTATCTCCTCAGTTAAGTCAATATCAATCTCAGCCACTGGGTGTTTTTTGTCTACAATTACTCAGCATTGTTTTTGAACAACTCTCAAAGTCTGGGAAACTTGCTGAATGTGGTTTTGATTACTCACTCCTGGAGGCAAGTGTAACATGGATGAGAGCAACATTTTGTTTGGTCTATAGGTCCTTATTATAGCAGATCTACAGGCAGAAAACCTGTGTGAAGGTCTTGAAAAGAAATGAGACCACGTGAGTGTCTGAAAGCACTGATGGGAGAGGATGATTGGATTTGGTTTTTAATATCAAGACACAGAGATGATCTCAACATGTACAGCTTAATCGTGGCGTGCCTTGATCATTCTTTTACCTGAAATCATTAAAAAGTTGGAGGGCTTAAGGTATAAAAATGGTGAAGCTTGGTCCAGGTTTCCTGAAACTCTGACAATAACAATCTTTTCACAATATTTATCGTGTCTACATCAAACTTTCAGGGTCACTTACATGCTCCTTTAACTCCTTTTACTTTTGAATTCAAGTAAATGTATTCCAAAGGGAAGTTATAAAAATGGAAAAACTAGGACAATTTGGATTTAGAAGTTAATTGTGAAAATCAAATAATGAAAGGAGTCACTACTAATGAATTCCATGTGGAGACTATTGTTTGCAGCCAGTTCTGGGGCTTTTTCTTCTGTGTTAGAACAGATAGTTGGGAGGTCTTACAGAAGGATTAGAGACGTATGCACCCCAGAGTAAGCCTTTCTCCTTAAGAGAATCAATGGATTGAAAGCAAAATGTCATGGTATTAAGCATTTCACTGTGTACTATTGTTCTCTCCAGCTAAACGCACAGTTGGAAAGAGAGTAGGGGAGTTGGGAGGCCCTAAGATTATTTAATGTCTGTTCTGCTTAAACACCCACCAAAAATCAAGTTCGGCCTCACTGAACACTGTCTTACACACCTATGGTGACAGATGCCCCACACTAACAAAAACAGTACTGTACAAGATACTTATCTATCTATACATATATGTGCACATACATCATATTCCTAGAGCCCTTTATAAGTTGCAAAATGTATTTTATATGGGAAATTTATGTTTTCTCCTGGTTGTTTCCTTGATACCTTTAAAACAAGCATTCTTGGCCAGGTGCGGTGGCTCACACCTGTAATCCCATAACTTTGGGAGGCGGAGGCGGGCGGATCACCTGAGGTCAGGAGTTGGGGACCAGCCTGGCCAACATGGTAAAACCCTGTCTGTACTAAAAATACAAAAAGTAGCTGGGCATGGTGGTGGGCACCTGTAATCCCAGCTACTCAGGAGGCTGAGGCAGGAGAATTGCTTGAACCCAGGAGGCGGAGGTTGCAGTGAGCCGAGATTGCACCACTGGACTCCAGCCTGGGCCACAGAGTAAGACTCCATCTCAAAGAAAAAAAAAAAAGCATTCTTATCTGTTTTTGGTGTCATAGATTGCTTTGACAATTCTGTGACATTTATGAATCTTTCCTCAGAATAATGTTTTTAATTTCCTAAAATAAAATTCTTAGGAATCCTGAGGAATGCAGCTATATTGAAATGCGGCTTTCAAAACATTTTCTAAATTGTGATAAGGTATTTTATGAGCTTCCTTAATAAAACTCTGAAAACAAAGCCTAGCAGCATGTGTAATAACTACTGTGATTTCAAGTAAGTGTTCAGGGCAGGGTACATTTTGAAATATCTTTTACAAATCCAATAGACTATGAAGATCACTGTGGCTTCTGTTGGCGAAAAGTCACAGCTACTCTGGTAGTCCCCGAGGTTCAACATTGAAGGACGTGCTAAATTTCAGTTCCAGGGTAGGAAAAATAAAGGGCTGTTTTTCCCCAGCCAAGTTCATAGAGCCCTGAATTCTAACTCCATCCACACCAGACTAATAACCCCTTCCTTAAAAGGAGCTCGGATTTCTTAAAACAGGTAAGACATAATTAAAGGGAAAAAGTATCTTTAACATGTAAAAGCCAAAACCTCCTTGGGCTGTAACTGGGAAAGTGTATTCTATTCAAACTTCACATGAATGGAATTGTAACCAATGGAAAGCTTCAAAGAACTTCCTATGTAGAAAAGAGATATGTCAGTGTGTGCCAACCTTCATTAAAATTTTTAATAACCTTTTGTTTCTACATTTTAGGATTTATCTTAAGTAAATAATCAGGAGTATTATACCTAAGCACGGTGTTCACATTGTTATTGATAATAGAAAAAATTAGAATCCTTAAGTGCTAGGAATACAGGCATGATTAAATAACTATAGCAGTTTCACAAGCAAAATGTAACAGAGCTGACAAAATGGTGTTTTAAAAGATTTATTGGCATGAGGAAATGCTCTCAATTTACTGGTATGTTAAAAAAGGCATGAAATAAAACATATAGAGTAGCAACCTGATTTTGTTAATAACCAAAATGTTATATGTGCATATTTTTATATATATGTGTGTGTGTGTGTATATATATACACACACACACACGCACATGTGTATATGTATATACACACATATATATACACACACACACACAATATAGTCAAGAGGCTAAAAGTGAAATAGAACACAATTTTAATAACAGTGAAATTGTGACTGATATTTATTTCCTCCTGAATTCAAACCATAAAATTTTGAGAACCTACCATGTGCTAGGCACTGTACTGTATAGGAGGACACCAAAGGCAAACGAAACAAAATGTGTGTTCTCATGATCTTAGAGTCTCATTCTTTCATTTGTTGATACTTGCCAAATCTACTGCAATAAGCATGACTTAGTTTTATTAATTAGAAAAATATATGCAGGGGTTTTGATTCTTCTATTGTTCTTATAAACTCACAACAGAAAAACTATGCATTTCCTTCAACTATGAAATTGAGGTTAACATGAAGGGAACTGTCAAGGTATTAGAAAATGAAATTGTTTATCCTCCTTAGGGGGGAAAAAACTTTCTTTGAAAGTTATTGCCTTGTGATGATCTTGTAGTTATATTCATCAATACATTTTTGTGTTGGCATTTAAGTGACTATCTTTTTGCCAGGTAAATTAGAATGAATCCATTCTATTGTACAATAATCTTAGGCTGTATATTAAAATAATACAAAGAAACTAAGGACACCGATAAGTTTCAAGGCAGTGGATGGTATTAGAAGTCGAATTTTCTTTTACAGCATAAATATCATCAGAAAGAAGCCAAGCATAATTTCTCCTTGTTCCTTATTCAACCATGCCTGCCACATAGAAAACTACCTCCAAACTAATTTTGGAATGACCTTGAGATGGGCTTATGAGCCTAAGAAACTGTATCAGAAACCTCAGGCAGGATTTACGAGAAGATGTGGATTGAATTTTGCATGGGGAAGGAAAATTTCATGTAGTTTTTATTGTCCAGTGCTATTTTAACATCAGGCAATGATGCAGCTTGACGCCCTTAAATATGCTCCCATGGGTCCACCCCACTCAGGGGTCAGCAGTTGCCATCCCAGAGAACTGTAGGAACAGCAGGCAGCTAATGTCTTCCCCACTGAATGGCCCTGGCTTCTCTGTCTTCCTCACCCCCTTTATCTGTAGACACGCCTCAGACCCTCTGACTCACCCCTTTTCGTTGAAGTATTATATCTACCTTTAGACCCTTTGAACTGGTAATCTGAGTACTAATGCATCACATTTGTTAATAGATAAATATGTACCAGCTTCTTCAAAGGGATTTACCTAGAGCTTGTTTCAATTTAACCAACTTGATTCTCCTAATGCTAAGGGTAAGTAAAAAAAATATCATCACCATTTGATGGATCTTGAAGCTGAGTCCCAGCAAAATTTAGGTAACTTACATTACTTTCTGTGGTGGGCTGAATAATACCTCCCACTCCCACTCCCACCCTCACCCTCACCCCAAATATGCCTGTGTCCGGGATCTATAGCTTGTCAATATATAGGTTACATGGCAACAGAGTCTTTGAAGATGTGATTAAGTTGAGAACCTCCAGATGAGACTAATCTGATGGGTCCCATGTAATTACAGAGGAGAGAGAGGCAGAGGGAGATTTGGTGTCAGAAGTAGGAGATGTGGTAATGGAACTGGAGGTTTGATGGATTTGAGGAAGGGGCCAGGAGCCAAGGAATGTGGAAGCCTCTAAAACTGAAAAAAGCAAGGCAATGGATTCTCCCCTGAAGCCTCCAGAAAGAACCAGCCTGGCCAACACCTTGATTTCAGGCTTCTGATCTCCAGAACTATAAGGAGTCAATCCACATTATGTTAAGCCTCTGTATTTGTGGTCATTTGTTACAGTAGCCATCAGAAGTTAGTACATCCCCTTAGTTCAGTTCTGCAGTGATGATGTGTTATGGTTTGGCAATTCAAATCTCACCTTGAATTGTAGCTCCCATAATTCCCACATGTTGTGGGAAGGACCCAGTGGGAGATAATGGAATCATGGGGGCAGTTTCCTCCATACTGTTCTCATGGTAGTGAATAAGTCTCACGAGATCTGATGGTATTATAAGGGGAAGCCCCTTTCACTTAGCTCTCATTTTCTCTCCTGTCTGCCACCATGTAAGATGTGCCTTTCACCTTCTGCCATGATTGTGAGGCCTCCCCAGCCACGTGGAACTGTGAGTCCATTAAACCTCTTTTTCTTTGTAAATTACCAAGTCTTGGGTATGTCTTTATCAGCAGCATGAAAACAGACTAATACATGGTGGAACTAGGTTTCAAACACTGGGGAGGCAGGTTCAGAGCTGGATCCCTCAGTCAGACGTTGCACTTATAGACTTTTGGAGTTGGGTCAGATCCCCTGGAGTGAGGAAAGTGAAATGATTAAGTGAATGTTAATGTGGGTTCACAGGGTCTGAGTCCAAGTCCATGCCCTGCTACCAATCAGCTGTGCAATTGTCTAGGATGTGTAGCCTCTTGATGTCCACACACATGGAATGGATGTAATTATGACACATCCAGCAGTCCTGAGGATGGAGGAAGTGAATGCATGAAAAGCACCTTGCGTGGTTCTTGTCTGATTGTCAATGTCATTGTAGGGGAGAGAAAGGAATATCTTTTCCTCACTTTCTGCATGGTTCATGGCTGACACCCCTATGAAAAAAGACAGATTAACAAGAGAAAAGCATAACGAATTTATTTAACCAAGGTTTTACATGTCACGGGAGCCTTCAGAAATAAAAATCCAAAGACCCAGGGAAAACTGTGGCTTTATGCATGGGTTCAATGAGGAATGGACAGTTACATAGAAAGGTGATTGGACAGAAGGGGATATGGTCCGTTGGTAATAGACTGGAATGGGGTTGGGGATATAGCAAGACTGCTTGTTTAGATTCCCCCTGGCCTTCAGATATAGGGCAGGACCCCTCTGGAATGAGGGTATTACAACCTTCTCTCTGGAGAGGTAGGTCAGAGAATTCCTTTATGACCGTGGCTCAGGGGAGAATGGGAGGAGGAGGTCATAGTGGCATTCTTGCTGCTGCTTCTGCTTCTGCAGTATTCCCAATCGCCAAAGTTCCATATTTTGGGGGATTATGTTCTGGGCCCTAGGAT
The DNA here is from genome assembly GCF_000001405.40 of Homo sapiens. Classification (NCBI taxonomy): domain Eukaryota; kingdom Metazoa; phylum Chordata; class Mammalia; order Primates; family Hominidae; genus Homo; species Homo sapiens. The sequence goes on along the minus strand of NC_000012.12, from coordinate 129,515,485 downwards.
CATGACCACATTCAGTAATAGAAGTCACTCTAAGATTTTATAAGGCCAGAAGGGTTTGAAATGTCAACTTTCAATCACATTGGTAGTGCCCTACCAATTTGTTCATTCATTTGTTCATTCATTTATCTATTCATATTCATTTTATTTGTAACTAATATGTGGGGAAAGGTATGTGTACAAAACGTCTTTTCTGAAATTAGTTCAAAAAACCGTGCAGAGCTGAAAACCAGTGTACCGACAGCAACAAGACACAGCGTTTCGATTTCTGGGGAACGTTAAGTCTGTGGTTGCCTGGTTTCTTCTGGGAAAGTCAGTGGGCATCTAGATTAAGAAATAAGTAAAATAAAATGGCTAGTCCTGTACACACAGTGCTTACGGAGCAAATATTGATTGGAAATATGCTGAACTGGGGCTCTGGGGAGATGCAAGAGTTAATGTTCTTCCAGAAGGGCCTCATGCTGTAAAGCAGCAGTTTATGCTAGCAGGCTTTGATTAAATGAGTCTCTCTGAATGACTAAAGAGCAATTCTATTATAGGCAGTCCTTGTTTTCCATCACCAGGCATTCTGGAACATCACTAATCATGGAGTATATTGTCTTACGCTGGACTCTATTTTCCCATAGGAACAGTGCTGCAATTTCAGGGGGTTGGAGGGTGTTGCATTCCTTCCTGAGGGCTTCAGCTTCAGACAAATCATAGCTATCAAGAGAATGGATCATAAAAGCAAAATTCTAACCATCTTAAACATCAATGATCATTTCACACAGTGAAATTGCAGCCGTTCTCTCCTGTTCAGCAAATGTATATTAGGCATCTAATTTACACCACACACTTTGTTAGGCCCTAAGGATGCAAAGATGAATGTTCGGGATGAATGAACAGTCCTGCATGTTCATTCAGCTCACATGCACAGATAAATCATTTCAATTCACTGAGGTTAGCATGATCAGAGATGGGTGCACATACTATTGATGTTCTAAGAATCCCCTGTGCTCTACACGCAACATAAAAATCTAGCCCTTCAATGTCAAAACTCAGACCATAATTTGTCAGCTGTGGTTTATCAGTAGGAACACTACAGTTAGAGTGAGAAGATATATTTTTGATTTCTATATCAGTTAAGAGTCTCTCTGTCTATTGAAAGTGACAGAAAATCCAGCTCCAACTAGTTTATTCAAGGGAGAAAAAAGAAGAAATGAAGAAAAAGATGTAATGGAGATGCTGGTGGTGGTGGTGGCAGCGATAGAATTATGGGTGCAGGAAACAAAAAGTCTTGAAGTAGCCTACTGCGGTTGGATATGGTTTGTTTGCACCCATCAAAATTCATATTAAAATTTGGTCCCCATTGGCCGGGCTCGGTGGCTCACGCCTGTAATCCCAGCACTTTGGGAGGCCGAGGCGGGCGGATCACAAGGTCAGGGGATCGAGACCATCCTGGCTGACACAGTGAAACCCCGTCTCCACTGAAAATACAAAAAAAATTAGCCAGGCGTGGTGGCGGGCGCCTGTAGTCCCAGCTACTCGGGAGGCTGAGGCAGGAGAATGGCACAAACCCGGGAGGCGGAGCTTGCAGTCAGCCGAGATCGTGCCACTGCACTCCAGCCTGGGCGACAGAGCGAGACTCCGTCTCAAAAAAATAAATAAATAAATAAATAAATAAATAAATAAATAAATAAATAAAAATAAAAATTGGTCCCCATTGGCCGGGCGCGGTGGCTCACGCCTGTAATCCCAGCACTTTGAGAGGCTGAGACGGGCGGATCATGAGGTCAGGAGATCGAGACCATCCTGGCTGACACGGTGAAACCCCGTCTCTACTAAAAATACAAAAAAATTATCCGGGCGTGGTGGTGGGTGCCTGTAGTCCCAGCTACTCGGGAGGCTGAGGCAGGAGAATGGCGTGAACCCGGGAGGCGAAGCTTGCAGTGAGCCGAGATCGCGCCACTGCACTCCAGCCCGGGCGACAGAGTGAGACTCTGTCTCAAAAACAAACAAACAAACAAACCTGTTTTTGTTTTTTTCCCACTACGTGAAGAACATCTTTCCAGGTCAATTAAAAAAAAATTGGTCCCCATTATGGCAGTGTTGGGAGATGGAGTCTAGCGGGTGATGTTTGGGTTATGGGGGCAGATCCCTCATCAATGGCTGAGTGCTGTGCTCATGGTAGTAAGCTCTCACCCTCAAAAGGCTGGATTGGTTCTTGAGGGAGTGGTTAGGTTCCCTTAAGAGTGGGTTGTTACAAAGCCTGTCAAGTTTTCTCCTCTTCACACATGTATGCTCCCTTTTTGACCTTCTCCATTGTGTTGTGTTGCAACATCAAAACCCTCACCAGAAGCCAGGGCCATGCCCTTGAGCTTCTCAACCTGCAGAACTGTGTGATAAATAAACTTCTTTTCTCTATAAGTTACCCAGCCTCAGATATTCTTTTCTAGCAACACAAAATGGACTAAGACACTGACCTTCAAATATGGCTGGTGTGGTGGTTTCAAAATACGTCTAGAAATTCTTCGACACTCCTGCCTTCAGAAGGTGGAGTCCAATAACCCTCCTTTTGAATGCGGGTTAGATGTAGTAACTTGCTTCTAATGAACTCCTAGCAGAATGATGGCATGTGACTTCTGAAGCTGGATCCTAAACTACATTTCTACTTCTGCTTTGCTCTTTCTTGAGACATTCACTCTGGGACAAGCCAGGCAGCTGCCATGACATGTGGACATGCGTGTAGCCAGTAGAGAAGCCCATATGGGGATGGACTGAGGACTCCTGCTATAGTTAGCACAAGCTGACCAGAAACATAAGTGAGCCTCGTTGGAAACAGAGCACCTAGCCCCTAGTTGATCACGGTCCTGGCCAACATCAGATGATAACTCATGAGCTAAAACAATCCAGCTAAGCTGCTCCCAAATTCTTGACCCTCAGAAACTGTATAGCTAATAAATATTTATGCTGTTTTGTTACACTACAATATTGCTGGGTTTATGACTTAGAAGATGTCACCAATGTTCAATGTCTCTCTGTCATCTTGTTCGTCTCTGTGCTGGCTATAATTCTAAGAAGGGCTCGTCTCTTTTGACGATAAATGGAATACAACAGTTCTGACATCAAACTGTCCCATTTTTGAGTTCAGTAAAAAAGACACTACAAAGTCTCTCTCCAGTAGTTCCTCCAGAAATCTTGAGATTTACTCTGATGACACCAGCCTTTGTCCTGTGCCTCTCCCTGGGCCAATCCTGTTGCTGCAATTCAGGTGCATGCCGGAGACACAGGAATAGGGTGAGAGCCACTGAAACTCAGAAAGTAGTGGGGTAAGAGGCAGCTTTCTACCAGTTGGATCATGGTCTTATTAGGAAAAGAGGAGTTTAATCAGGAATTATTTGAGTAGCTACCATTTGTCAGGCACAGTTCTAAGCACTGCAGATGCTGTACGGTAAAACAAAAAACAGAAGAACAAAAATGCCTACATTTCATAGAGCTTACATGCAAGTGGGTGAATTCTGGGTAGTTAAACACACTGTAAATGTAGCTAGTCATCCCATATTTATTATTTAACAGCTGTGTGACATTAAATGGGCAACTTTCTTCTGAGTCTTATTTTCCTCATCTGAAACATTAAGGTATAAAATGTCTTCTCCCTTCTTGGCAAGATTTTTCTAAGGATAAAATGAGGTGATAAAAGTGAAAACAATATATAAACCACAGAATATTTTTGTTTTCAGTATTAAAACTGATTTTGCAGCCCAGGAGGAAATATTTGCAAATCATAATGCTGACAAAGGACTCATACCCAGAATAGAAGACAAATGACCCAGTTAAAAAATGGGCAACATATTTGAACAGAGATTTCACAAAAGTAGATATACAGATGGCAAATAGGCACATGAAAAGACTCCCAGCACCTTTGGCTGTGAAAGAAATACAAATTTAAACTATCACGTCCACTACAATGAGTTACCATCACACATCCACTACAATGGCTAAATTTTAAAAGACTGACAAAGCCTTATACTTGCACATTCATAGTAGTTGTTTCACAATAACCCAAGTGTCCACAGCAGGTGAATTGATGAACAAATTTCTATATATCCATAAATGGAATAAGATTCAAAGATAAAAAGGCATGACACACTGGTGCACATAACACAGATGCATTGCAAAAAAAATTGGGGCTGACTGAAAGAAGCCAGACACAAATGATAATGTACTGTACTGTTCCATTTATGTGAAATTCTATAGAAGGGAAGTCCAATCAATAGTGACAGAAGGCAGGTTAGGAATTACTGAGACCAGAGAAGAGAAGGGAATTGAATTCACAGGTGCACAAAAGAACTTGGTGGGTTGGTGGGTATATTTTATATCACTATTATGATGTATTTACATGACTATATACATTTATCAAAGTTCGGCCAACTATATGCTTAAAATGGGTGCGCTATTTATGTGAAACTACAAAAGACCTAGAATACCCAAAGCTATCCTAAGCAAAAAGAACAAAACTGGAGGAATCACATTACTTAACTTCAAATTATACTACTGAGCTATAGTAACCTAAACCGCATGGTACTGGCATTAAAACAGACACACAGACCAATGGAACAGAATAGAGAACCTGAAAGTAAATCCATATACCAACAGTGAACTCGTTTTTGACAATGGTGTCAAGAACATACATTAGGGAAAGGACAGTCTCTTCAGTAGATTGTGCTGAAAGAAATGGCAAAAAATAATTATTAGACGCTGGAATACAACTACAGGGAGAAGACTATTTCTTAAACAATTGTACATGGATTTGGAAAACTGATTATCCATGTGCAGAAGAATGAAACTAGACCCCTATCTCTTGCCATATGGAAAAATCAAATCAAAATAGATTAAAGACTTAAATCTGAGACCTCAAACAGTGAAACTACTGCAAGAAGACGTCAGGGAAACTCTCTAGGACATTGATCTGGGCAAAGATTTCTTAGGTACTAACCCACAAGCACACACGCCAAAGCAAACACGGACAGATAGGATCACATCAAGTTAAAAGTCTTCTGCACAGCAAAGGATACAATCAACAAAGTGAAGAGACAATGCACAGAATGGGAGAAAATATTTACAAACCACCCATCTGACAAAGCATTAATAACCAGAATATATAAGGAGCTCTAACAACTCTATAGGGAAAAAATCTAATAATCTGATTAAAAAATAGGCAAAAGACCTGAATAGACATTTCTCAAGAGAAGTCATACAAATGGCATATGAAAACGTGCTCAACATCATTGATCATCAGAGAAATGCAAATCAAAGCTATAGTGAGATATCATCTCACTACAGTTAAAATGACTTTTATCCCAAAGAGAGGCAATAATAAATGCTAGTGAGGACATGCAGAAAAGTGAGCCCTTGTACACTGTTGATGGGAATGTAAATCAATACAGCCACTATGCAGAATAGTTTGGAGGTTCATTAGAAAACTAAAACTAGAGCTACCATAAGACCCAGCAATCCTATTGCTCGGTATATACCCAAAAGAAAGGGAATCAGTATATCAAAGAGATATCTGCAGTCCTCTGTTTCTTGGAGTGCTGTTCACGATAGCCAGGATTTGGAAGCAACCTAAGTGTCCATCAGCGATGAATGGATAAAGGAAATGAGGTACATATATACAACGGAGTACTACTCAGCCATAAAAGAATGAGCTCTTATCATTTGCAACAACATGGATGGAACTAGAGATTATTGTGTTATAAGTGAGTAAGTTAGGCACAGAAAGACAAACATTGCATGTTCCATCTTATTTTGGTATCAGAAAATCAAAACAATTGAGCTCATGGAAATAGTATAAGGATGGTTACCAGAGGCTGGGAAAGGTAGTTGGGGGCAGAAGGGGAGGTAAGGATGGTTACTGGATACAAAAAATAGAAAGAATGAATAAGACCTAATATTTGATAGCACAACAGGGTGATTATAGTCAGTAATAACTTATCTGTACATTTTAAAATAACTAAAAGAATATAATTGGATTGTAACATGAAGAATAAAAGCTTGAGGGGATGGACACCCTATTCTCTGTGATGTGGTTATTACATATTGCATGTCTGTGTCAAAATATCTCATGTACCCCATAAACATATATACCTAGTATGTACCCACAAAAATTAAAAACTAAGGTGTGCACTTATTATTTGTAAATTGTGATTCAATAAATTTAATTTAATAAATTTAATAAAATTAACTTGAAAGTGAATTAATATTTCACTAAGCCCTCATTGACCTTCTGAGACTTCAGAATGGCACTTTGGAGAAAAGTAGGAGAGAACAAGTTTCTCTAAAAGTGGCCTCAGAAAATTTCAGCTGGCATAGCTTTCTACATTTCTGCACAGCAAGCTGAGGCATTCTGAATCATTCAATTGGCTCAATTGCTCAAAGTGGTAGGTTCAGTAAATAATGTGTGTAATCAGGAATTGCAATATGGTGAACTGCAGGCCAGATCAGGTCTTCAGATACATTTTAGTTCACCCACACTATGTTTTCAAATTGGGACATTTTATATCCAAATGTAGATCTCTGGCTTCTCATGCAAAATGATAAGATCTGCAACACTGGGTCTGTCATGCTGTAGCAACCATCAGTGGGAATGGAGTCCAGTTCCCTACGTAGGAGAAATCACACTGCAATTTTCATCAATGCGTATCCCCCTTAGACCCAGCATTCACCACTCATTTTTTTAATATGTGATTACTCATTGATTT